>NC_000003.12:46070606-46373636 GCF_000001405.40 Homo sapiens | reverse complement strand
AAATAAACAATCATGATGGTGAAGATAAGCCTCACAGCCCTGTGCCTCTTCTTCTCATTTCGACACCGAAGCAGAGTTTTTAGGATTCCCGAGTAGCAGATGACCATGACAAGCAGCGGCAGGACCAGCCCCAAGATGACTATCTTTAATGTCTGGAAATTCTTCCAGAATTGATACTGACTGTATGGAAAATGAGAGCTGCAGGTGTAATGAAGACCTTCTTTTTGAGATCTGGTAAAGATGATTCCTGGGAGAGACGCAAACACAGCCACCACCCAAGTGATCACACTTGTCACCACCCCAAAGGTGACCGTCCTGGCTTTTAAAGCAAACACAGCATGGACGACAGCCAGGTACCTATCGATTGTCAGGAGGATGATGAAGAAGATTCCAGAGAAGAAGCCTATAAAATAGAGCCCTGTCAAGAGTTGACACATTGTATTTCCAAAGTCCCACTGGGCGGCAGCATAGTGAGCCCAGAAGGGGACAGTAAGAAGGAAAAACAGGTCAGAGATGGCCAGGTTGAGCAGGTAGATGTCAGTCATGCTCTTCAGCCTTTTGCAGTTTATCAGGATGAGGATGACCAGCATGTTGCCCACAAAACCAAAGATGAACACCAGTGAGTAGAGCGGAGGCAGGAGGCGGGCTGCGATTTGCTTCACATTGATTTTTTGGCAGGGCTCCGATGTATAATAATTGATGTCATAGATTGGACTTGACACTTGATAATCCATCTTGTTCCACCCTGTGCATAAATAAAAAGTGATCTTTTATAAAGTCCTAGAATGTATTTAGTTGCCCTCCATGAATGCAAACTGTTTTATACATCAATAGGTTTTTAATTGCCTACATAGATGTCTACATTGAATTAACTCTCTTTTTGGCCAAGCAATGAAGTTTTGTAGTGAAGGGAAGGTTTGCTGCTAGCTTCCCTGTCCACTAGATGGAGAGCTTGGCTCTGTTGGGGGAATTCATGAAAGCACCATCTCACCAAATAAAATCTTGTGCTCTATAGCACCATGGAGTGAATGAAGCTTTGACAACAATTTTAAGAAACTGGGTCAAGCATGGTGCAGCTCAGCCTTTTTGTTGTTGTTGTTGTTGTTGTGAGACAGGGTCTCACTCTGTCGCCCAGGCTGGAGTGCAGTGGCACGATCATGGCTCACTGCAGCCTGGACCATCCCGGGCTCAAGCAATCCTCTCACCTCACCCCTCCAAGTGGCTGGGGACTACAGGCGCCACCACACCAAGCTAATTTTGTTTATTTTTATAGATACAAGATCACACTATGTTGCCCAGGCTGGTCTCGAACTCCTGGGCTCAAGCGATCCTCCTGCCTCAGCCTCCTAGAATGCTGGGATTACAGGCATGAGCCACCATGCCCGGCTGCAACTCAGTCTTAACATTTTTATTGACGCTAGAGTTAGCCCACAAAGAACATGCACTATGAGCAAGCCAGTAATAATTAAGAGGCCTCGAGGGCACATACTGGATGCCAATCACTGTTCTAAGCATCATACCCATTCATTCATTTAATCCTTAGGGCAACCTTATGAGGCAGGAAATATTTTTCACATTTTGCAGACAAGGACCTTGAAGCACAGAGAGGGTGAGTAACTTGCTCAAAGCCACACAGCTAGTAAGCAACCGATTTTGAATGCGGGAAGCCTGCACTCTTAACTACCATGCTACCCTCCCTCTCAGTCCTCGAAAAGAGAATTAAAAGGCAAGACCATCAGATGTTTGGTGACATGATGTAGTCAGAGTGAAATGGCCGGGTGCCCAAGTCCCAGGGAAGGTCATAGATGACAACAGCCAATTGTAAAATCCTCACATTTTCTGTGAAGTTTGTGTTTGTAGTTTCTGAGTTGCCACAATTAAGAGTTGTCATACATACCCAAGAAATAATATAATAAAAAATGTTTCGTCTGCCACCACAGATGAATGTCATGCATTCTGGGTAGTTTAGTCTTATAACCAGCTGTCTTGCCTAGTCTATTTAAGTTCAGCTGCTCTAGCTGAGAATTTTCTCTTATTAAACCCTGTGAGTCTCAAACTCCCTGCACCTTAGACTAGGCAGCTGAGAGAAGCCCCTAGAAAAGCTCATTTTTAATTTTGAACCATAAAGAATTATATACTAACTGTGCCATGAAACTGATATATTAGAGGAAAATTTTATTTGGCGTTTGTAATTTAATATTAATTTTGACCATTTTTAGGCTTCCCTCTTGTCTGGAGGAAAAAGAAAAAAGAGAACCAGACTTAGACACAACTTCTTGTGGGCACATATTCAGAAGGCATCTCACTGGAGAGGGTTTAGTTCTCCTTAGCAGAAGATAAGATTTCAAGATTTCAGCTAAGACTCATCTCTCTGCAAATCTTTCTTTTGAGAGGTAAGGATTGTTAGTTATTAAAATACTATTGCTCCCTTTAAAGTCTTTCACTCACAATCATGTTTTGTATCTTTGATGTTATAACCGTCTGAAACTCATTCCAAACTGTGACCCTTTCCTTATCTTAAAGATTATATTTTAAGATAATTGTATGAGCACTTGGTGTTTGCCAAATGTCTTCTATGGGTTTCCTGTAAAGTCTTTTACTCATCTCAGAAGCTAACTAACAGGCCAAGCAGCTGAGAGGTTACTTACCGGGGAGAGTTTCTTGTAGGGGAACGGATGTCTCAGCTCTTCTGGCCAGATGAGCTGTGCAAATCAATCATATAGACAGTATAAAAGTAGGAAATGCTGTTTCTTTTGAAGGAGGGTGGAGTTAAATCATTAAGTGTATTGAAGGCGAAAAGAATCAGAGAACAGTTCTTCTTTTTAAGTTGAGCTTAAAATAAGCTAGAGAATAGATCTCTGGTCTGAAGGTTTATTTACGGGCTTTTCTCACTGGATTATTTTGTTTTTGTTCTCTGCTCATCCCACTACACAGAATCTGTTAGAAAATATAAAGAATAAAGGATATCAGAGCTAGAAGAACATTTACATTCATCTAGTCAAAAGCCCACATTTTAGTAAAAGAAATTACTATCCAAGAAGCAAATGATTTGTACAAGATCACAGGGCTTTTCAACAGTAAGGCTAAAAGGTTAAGAAAATTCTGATTATCTTAAGAGTTGCTATTAATTAAAGCCAACTTAAACCAACTTTAAATGTAGAGGGGGATCCTGGACTTCACATTAACCCTGTGTCCCCTTTTTCTCCACTCTCCCCGTATCCCCTATCCCACCCCAACCCCCACACAGATGCTCACCACCCAATATTATTGTTCTCTGTAAACGGAAACAACCTGTTGTCTAAAGAGTTTTAACTATGGGCTCACGGGTGAGCTAAACAGGTTTCCCATCTTTTTCTGGACCCAGGATCTTAGTGGGGATTTTCACTCTGTTCACTATTTTGTTGCCCTTCAAACCAGTAAGCATTTATGAGGACTCACACTATGCCAGATACATAGGTGGCAGGATTCTTCACTCCAGATATAATCTATCTGAAGCTATGAGAAATTTTCCACATGACATAAGTATATGGTCAAGTTCAGGTTCTTTATGACTATACTATATACAGTCATATCAAGCTCTCTTGGCGGTTGGTGACATCTGAAAATCTCAAGTATTGTCAGCAGAGCTGAGAAGACAGCAGAGAGCTACTCCCGAGCCACAAGATGCCCTCTGGGCTTCCGTGACCTTGGCTCTAGAATAAAAAGCTTTGGCTTGTGATCTCTAAGAAGGCAAATGAGACCCCAAACAGCAAAATTACGTGCCCCCAATCCTACAGAGGCAGACTAACCCAGGGGCTAAGCCAGTGGCCTCTGTAGTCAGACTGCCAAGCTTGAAACCTGTCTTACCCTCAGCTTTCTCGTCTGGGTATTGGGCTGAATGACAGTAGTCATTTCATGAGTTGTTGGGAGGATTCTATGAGGCATCCACGGCCAGCATCTAGCACATACTATGCACTCAGTAAACATCAAACTCTTAGTTACTCTTTCAGCAGTCCTTTGTCAGAGAGAGTTTATTTGATCAAATCCTAATAAAATTGGTTCACCGGAGTCTCTGTCTATAGCAGATTAGTTTCAGCAAACTAGAAGCTGAAAAGGTAAAGCTAATTGCTGGTGCTTGGAGAATAGAAAGAAATGACTGCTTGGGAAAAGCCAGAACAGTATAGAAATAGCCCAGCGATCAAGACACCCCCACCCCCGCCCCATATAGGGACATATGTCTGTGCTACAACAGAGCTCAGTAACATAATCATAACAAGGACAGCGAATCATCGAGAAAATGTTCTAGTTCATCCCATATGTGCAATTCAAAAGGCATTGATTAAGAACTGCAGTCATGCTGCTGGGTTTAACCTCCAGCTTCATTACTGCTACTTGGCTCTGACCAAATTATTGAAGCTCTGTGCCTTAGTTTTCTTAACTGTAGAGTGGAGGTTTTAAAAAAACCCAAATACAAACTTACTCAATATGCCTGTGGTGGAGAGGGAATGATAACAAGTGTAGAGCCTTTTGGGCACCCACCCTCGGGGGACTGTTTAAGCAGGGAAATATAAAGTGTGCTTTTGAAAGAGTTCAAAAATAGGTAACAAATAAATTAATATAAAATTTTATAGAAAATAGATAGCATAAATACAACTTTGGTTTTTCGAAAGATAGATAGCCTTGTATTCACTGGTAATCCACTTGTGCAGAACCCCCGGAGGCTGCCGGACCAACACTGTATTTCTGTTTGTGGCAATTGCTGGTTCTTACTTTCACCATGCAGAGCTGAGGCTTTGCCATGTTCTGTTTGTCTGTCATTAGGGTATTGGAGGATGTGAAGACATACTCACCCCCAGAGGGCAATGTGGGCTAGCGGAGCAGGCTCGGAGTCACACACGCTGTGCTGCTGACTTGCTGTGTGACCTCGGCAAGATACTTCCACTGCCCAAGCTTCCATTTCCTCATCTGTTAAATGACGTGCTAGACCTGGGGCAGCTTCCACCCTAAATACTACATGATTCTATGGCCAAGTTAGTTTGAAAAATATAGGCTAGATGGGAAACAAGGTGAGGATTCACAGGCTGAAACAAGGAAGCACAGCTTTGCAGTGTGCGTTACTCCACTTTTGTGTTTCTGGTCCAGAGGTGTGTTCTAGTAACCACTCAGGACAGGGGGGTTCAGCCCAAGGATTCACAAGAAAGTGGGGACCCATGGGAAATTCTTCAGCATTTAAATGAAATGTTGTTCTGGATACAATAATGACAACAAGCTAGCAGCTTATCATGCTGTGACTTAGTTGCTTGGTGTCTGCTACTCTTTCTACTTTGTCCCTCTCAGTTTGCATGGCTCTTGTTCTCTTTTTATTATTAAGTACATTCGGACACCCCATAGGAAATGAACTTTTGATCACTTTGTCACTCTAGACTCCATGCCCATATTGGAGGGTGTTTCGTGCCATCCCTCCTTTTTGGGGCCTTTTTGTCTTTAAACAGCTGCCCCATGTCTAGTCACTGCACCTATGTTCCAAGCATTGCTTTGCTGTCTCCTTGCTCACACCATTTCTGGACCATATTTTCAGAGCATCGTCAACAGGATGGGGAGAATGTTAATTATTCACTTTGGGTGCAAGGGCCAACTACATGAGCACAGTGAGCAGAAACCCTGCCATACAGCAGCTGTTGTGAAAATCCCTGGGGCCTGAGTTGACTCCTGGTCAATATCAGTCAACAGTGAGACGGGCTGTAAAAAGAGCAAATGAATCTTTTATTTTTAAAAACAAATGTCTAGGCCAAGTGCGGTGGCTCATGCCTATAATCCCAGCACTTTGGGAAGCCAAGGCGAGTGGATAACTTGAGGTCAGGAGTTTGAGACCAACCTGGCCAGCATGGTGAAACCCCATCTCTACTAAAAATACACAAAATTAGCTGGATGTGGTGGTGCGCCCCTATAGTCCCAGCTACTCAGGAGGCTGAAGTGGGAGAATCTCTTGAACCCAGGAGATGGAGGTTGCAGTGAACCAAGATTGGGCCATTGCACTCCAACCTGGGTGACAGCAAGCTGTGTCTCAAAACCAAACCAAACAAACAAAATGTCTAATTATAAAACCAACACATGCTCATTGTATAAAATTGGGAAAAACAGAAAAAAGGAAAAACTTAGGTACATTCTCACAGTATCAAAACAATGTCTTTTAAAACATGATGTTTCAATCCTGACTTTTCCCATGCACTTTTCGATTAATTGTTCTCATGCATATACCATTCTGTAGGCGGCTTCTTTTTTTTTTTTTTTTAGCTAAAGATTATAGTGTAGACATTTTCCTATATTATTAAAAAATTCTTTATAAGTGTAGTTCTTTATTATTTTTATTGAGGAAGAACACACTTAGTGGTACAGCTTGGTGAGTTTTGATATGCACACATGCATGTAACTACCACTCCGGATCAAGATGATAAGGAACATCCCTATCACTTCAGAAGGTGCCTTTTGCTCCACCCAGAGGTAAGGGCCACTCTGTCTTCATAGAGATTAAATAAGCCTGTCTTTAACTTCTATAAATGGATTAAAGATACTGTCCTCTTTCCTGTCTGGCTTCATTCATTCAACAAAATAGCCTTAACTATATTTAACAGAGCTCCGTCATTGACAGTCGGGCTCTTCCCGTTGTTCAGTAGACAGTCGGGCTCTTCTCGGTTGTTCAGTCATGTGAGCAGTGTCACACTGATTGTCACCATCAGTGCTCTGACATCCCTGTCAAGAAGTACACTCTTCCTGTCCCTAGAGCCACCTTTAGCAGGAGAGCCAGGGAGTCCCCCTGATCCTCACAGAAATAGGAAGAATCTACCCCCATCCAGTGCCACGCTTTGTTACCCATGTGCCTCAACAATGACACTTGAGTCTTATGACACCCACCAGGTGACAGCCTCTTTACCTTCTGCCTCAGACACCTATCATCGTGGGTGGGTTGGGAACTCACCATGCTGTTGTCTCCATCCCTGCCTCTGTCCTGTAGACCTTTCCCAGGGTAACCCACTTCCCAGCCCATGAACCACATCCCCCATAGGGATTTGTGCAATTCATCAAACCAAGTGGACATGTGCAGGCTGTCTACCTCATGGATTCATTAGATAGGCTCAAACCTGGTGGGAGCCCCTTAGCTCAGCTGAGAAGTCTTCTCTATGCATTTAGGGGATTTCTTTCAGATCGGTGTCTAGGCGTGAGGCTAGTGCCATGTAGGTACAGTAACAGATGTCTAAGCTAACAGTTCAACAATACAATAGACTCACTGTGATCTTAAGTGAGTCAGATCATACCTGGAGCTCTATACTCAGCTCTGCACATAACACGAGATTATGTAGGGCTTTTCTGGTTGTCCCAGAACTAGCAACTATGGCCTAAGGCTGAAGGCAAAGAAGTGTTATGCACTCACAGTTCCAAAGAAAACCACTGACACCTGGGCTCAGACACCTCTCCCAGGGCTTACTAGAAGATGACAGCACCAGCCCTGTATCCACACCCATCACATCAACTCCTCTCACTCCAGTCTGTATACGGAGGCAATTAGGATAATGAATGGATTGTAGAAGTGGGCAGGATTGGTGGGGAAGCGAGTGAGGGCATCTCTCCTCAAAGCCAAAGAAAGGGGCTCTGAAGAAACCATATGAGGAATGGGGACTTGCAAAAGGAGAGGCCAGCATGGGTGGGGCCCCCACTGGGCAGCAGACAAGCTGAGCAGGGGGAGTGGGGATTGGAGAGAGTTAATAGGGGTAGAGATAGGGTGTGTAAGTGAGGCTGCAAGGATCAAGAGTGCCCCTGGGTCAAGTGGCTACCACAGGAGGGAACTGGGCAGGAACTGTCACATTGGGTCCTACTTTCTGGGTGAGATGAGCCCAGCACCCAGAAAATGGTGGGTTGGAAGAAGTCAAATCAAAGAGAGATCTCACATATCTAGATCCATTTGGAGCCCCCACCATATCTAGGCCCTTGGATGTGACCACACAGTGTGCCTGCCACTCTGGGGCATCTTGACCAACACAGAGTGGACTGTGGCAGTGGCCAGTTAGCTAAAGAGGTTCAGGCACACCTTGGTGAGATTGTGAGTTCAGCTTCAGACCACCACAGTAAAGCAAATATCTCAAAAATAACCTTTTTGGTTTCCCAGTGCATATAAAAGTTGTGTTTATCCTATACTGTAGTCTATTAAGTATGCAATAGTATTATGTCAGAAAAACCAATGTGCATACCTTAATTAAAAATATTGTATTGCTAAAAATGCTAACCATCATCTGAGCCTTCAGCAAGTCATAGTGTTTTTGCTGAAGAGGATGGCGGTCTTGTTTTGATGTTGATGGCTGCTTACTGATCAGGGTGGTGGTTGCTAAAGCTGGGGGTGGCTGTGGCAATTTCTTAAAATAAGATGACAATGCAATTTGCCACCTTGGTCGACTCTTCCCTTCACAAAAGATTTCTCCATACCATGTGATGCTATTTGATAGCATTTTACCCACTTCTTTCAAAATTGGAGTCAATCCTCTCAAACCCTGCCACTGCTTTATTAACTAAATTTATGTAATATTCTAAATCGATTGTTGTCATTTTAACCGTGTTCACAGCATCTTCACCAGGAGGAGATTCCATCTCAAGAGACCACTTTCACTGCTCATATGTAAGAAGCAACTCTTCATCTGTTCAAGTTTGATCATGAGAGTGCGGCAATTCAGTCACAACTTCAGGCTCCACTTCTAGTTCTAGTTCTCTTGCTGTTTCCACCACATCTACAGCGACTTCCTCCACTGAAGACGTGAACCCCTGAAAGTCATCTATGGGGGTTGGAATCAATGTCTTTCACACTCCTGTTAATGTTGGTATTTTGACCTCCTCCCATGAATTACAAATGTTCCTAATGGCATCTAGAATAATGACTACTTTCCAGAAGCTTTTCAATTTGCTTTGCTCAGATCCATCAATGGAATCACTATCAATGGTAGCTATATAAACTATATAAGGCTATATATATATATATAGCTATTTCTTAATAGCCTTATGAAATATATTTCTTAATAAGACTTGAAAGTCTTGGTCCATGGACTGCAGAATGGATGTTTGTGTTAGCAGGGATGAAAACAACATGAATATTCTCGTACATCTCCAACACAGCTCTTGATCGACATGGTGCAGAGCAGTAATATTTTGAAAGGAATCTTTTTTTCTGAGCAATAGTTCTCAATAGTGGGCTTGAAATATTCAGTAAACCATGCTGTAAACAGATGTGTTGTCATCCAGGCTTTATTGTTCCATTTATGGAGCACAGATAGAGTAGATTTCGCATAATTCTTAATGACACCAGGATTTACAAAATAGTAAATGAACATTTACTTCAACTTAAAGTCATCAGCTGCATTCACCTCTAAAAAGAGAGTCAGCCTGTCCTGTGGAGCTTTGCAGCTTGCCTTGACATCTCCTCTCTAGCTGTGAAAGTCCTGGATGGCATCTTCTTCCAACATAAGACTGTTTTGTCTACACTGAAAATCTGTTGTTTCGTGTAGACACTTTCATCAATTATCTTATCTAGATTTTCTGGATAACTTGCCACAGCTTCTCCCTTTGCACTTGCTGCTTCATCTTGCATTTTTATGTTATGGAGATGTTGTCTTTCATTAAACCTCACAAACCAACCTCCGCTAGCTTCAAACTTTTCTTCTGCAGCTTCCTCACCTCTCTCCGCCTTCATAGCATTGAAGAGAGTTAGAGTCTTGCTCTGGATTAGGCTTTGACTTAAGGAAATGTTGTGGCTGGTTGGATCTTTTCTCCAGACCACTCAAACTTTCTCCATATTAGCAATATGGCTGCTTTGTTTTCTCTTCATTTGCATGTTCCCTGGAGTAGAGCTTAAATATCCTTCAAGAACTTTTCCTGTGAAGTCGCAATTTGGCTAACTGGTGCAGAGGTGAGCTTTTGGCCTTGACTTTCAATATGTCCTCCTTACTAAGCTTAATCATTTCTAGATTTTGATTTAAAGTGAGAGACGTGGGACTTTTCCCTTCACTTGAACACTTAGAGGCCATTGTAGGGTTATTAATTGGCTTAATTTCAATATTATTGTGTCTTGGGCTGGGCACAGTGGCTCATGCCTGTAATCCCAGCCCTTTGGGAAGCTGAGGCAGGTGGATTGTTTGAGTCTAGGAGTTTAAGGCCAGCCTGGGCAACATGGCAAAACCCTGTCTCTCCTAAAAATACAAAAAAAAAATTAGCCGGGTGTGATGGTGCACACCTGTAGTCCCAGCTTGGGAGGCTGAAGTGGGAGAATCACCTGAGCCTGGGGAGGCAGAGGTTGCAGTGAGCTGAAATCACATCATTGCACTCCAGCCTGGGCAATCAGAGTGCGACTCTGCCTCAAAAAAAAAATATATATATATATATATATAATTGTTATAAATATATATATATATAATTGTTATATATACATTATTGTGTCTCAGGAACAGGCAGTCCATGGAGCAGTCAGAACACACACAACATTTATTGATTGTTTGCCATCTTACATGGGTGCACTTCATGGTGCCCCAAAACAACTACAATAGTGACATCAAAGATCACTGATCACAGATTACCATAACAGATATAGAAATAATGACAAAGTTTGAAATATTGGGAGAATTACCAAAATGTGACACAGAGATGTAAAACAAGCACATGCTGTTGGAAAAACAGCACCAATAGACTTGCTCGAGGCAGGGTTGCCACAAACCTTCAATTTGTAAACAACAACAACAACAACAAAAACAATATCTGTAAAGCACAATAAGACAAGGTATGTCTATATTTGCCCTTTTTCCTAACACTCCTCTCCCACTTCTCAATGCTAGTCCATGCCTAGAAGAGGGAGGTACAAGAATTCCCCACAAGGTAGACCACTAGGCACGTGCTGTGGAGGATGGAGCAGGAGGGGACATAGGGACAGAATGCACCCCCTCCTCTAGGCAGGGCCCTCCAGAATCCAGTCAACCCTAAGGCCCCATTGAAACAATGACTGGAGAGAAATGAAATAATTTCATATTGTGAGCTGATTACATTAGGATGTGTTATAAGGGATAGTATGAAATAAGATGTTAGTCCATGCCCTTACCCTTGCTTGCTGAGCTGCTGGGCCTGCAGAGCCTTTCAGGTGCTGGGAGGGAGAGGTTTTTCCCAGCATAACCCTCGGCTCACATCTCACTGTGGCTCCAGGCTGGGGCTGCCAAGGCCGGACCTTGCATTACAGGACTCTGTTTACACACACACACACACACACACACACACACACACACACACACACACAGAGTGCCGAAGTGGCAATGTCTGAAGAAATTTCCAGCCTCATTCCTCCCATGCCTGGAACCAATCTCTTCTCCTCAATTCATGCACTGTCTTCCAGAGGTCAGCTCACCAGCCCATACTCCTTCTGTCACAGTGTGGCCCCTCTGGGTGGCCCTTGGTGGTTTTTCCTGTGGGCTAATCTCACCTGAAGCCTTTTCAATTTGTCAGGGAAGTTTTCATAATGAGCAAAAACAAAAGAGGAAGGAAGGATGGGCTCTTGAAGGTTTACTTTCTGGAGGCTTCGGGGCCTCTTTGCAAAATGCTCCAACCTCCCCAGCTGCTGGGGATATCACAGATCAAGGGAGGTGGCATGGGGTGGGCTATGCCAAGACCCTTCCTTACCAAAAAGTCTTCAGACACTCATCCCTCAGAATGATGATGAGGGATCATCATCTTCCACCTGCTTAACTCGAACAGCCTACTCAAATGTCCCCAGAATAAACGAGACTTGAGGATTCCACTTTAGAAAGAGAGATGGTTGGCATTTTTTTTTTTTTTGAGATGGAGTCTGGCTCTGTTGCCCAGGCTGGAGTGCAGTGGCCCGATCTCGGCTCACTGCAAGCTCCGCCTCCTGGATTCATGCCATTCTCCTGCCTCAGCCTCCCGGATGGCTGGCAATTTTTAAATGGCAGTTTCTTTGGCAGCAATAAAATCCTGCTGTGGCTGTTATTCCTATGATGCAAGACTGTCATTGCATTAGTCACTCTGTCCTCCAGGCTCTCAGCACTTTTCACAGATGCCTCTGTTCCTGCTCTGCACAGCGCACTGTGACTGTGCACAGGACCTTCTCTACCCCTCCCACTCCACAGCTGGCCCTGGACTTGGAGGTGTAAAGGACACTGGCATTAACATCTGTCTTTCTGTTTCCAACCCAGTCTGGCATAGGTAGACCCTCCGGGATGCTTGTCATATTGAATTCCATGATTGAAAATAAATGGATAGTTTTCCAGATTCTATATATGAAGTCACTATATACCACATGTCTTAATCGGTTTTTGTGCTTCTTAACAAACAACCCCTAAAACTCAGTGGCTTATCACAGCAAACACAGACTTCTTGCTCATGTTATATGTGGCTGCAGCTCCCTGTGTCTTCTCATTCACCAGGGCGCACGGGCTGACGGGTGTGATCTGGAATGGGCCTTCCTGTGGCTGAGCAAGAGGCTCCGCTTGGATGAGGCAGATGTCACTTCTGCTCACATTCCAGCAGCAGAGCCAGTGGTGGAGGGCGTGGGGTGTGTGGCCTGTAGGGCGCACTGCAAGTCACACCACAAGGGCAGGTGTGTGTAATCACACAGGGGAAGAAGTGAAAAGTTGTGAACACAACACAATCTTCCACACCACAGTGTAAAAAAACAGCCAGTTGTTTTTAAATCTTTTATCAACATAGTTATAGCATTGATTTATTTTCCAAATCATAGTTGTTAAAAACAGTATTTACATTTCATCACCATCAACTTAACATTTTATGCATTCATTAGGATCATACAAATATATGAAGGTGAAAGTTCTGCTCTGTCCCCACTTCTTTCTGAAACCTTCTTTAGCCATGTGGCCTGAAAGTAGAGCCATAGTCCAGCTTGGGAGTCTAGTTCCCAAGTTGCCTGGTTCTAGAAGCCCAGTGTTTCTTGCTTGCATCAGATCAGAAACACACTGGGCAACATAAGAACATTCTTAACTTGGCTCGACTAAGAGGAAAGTCTTTGCTTACTTCAGGGAGCTTCTCCACCTTCCATTCTTTACCAATAGGGTTTAAAAGCTTTGATTAGAAGCCAACTTGATTTAGGAGTTCCCACTGGCAAAATAGGGAACAATATGAGCATCAAGGACATCTGCGAAGCACTGAAACACTCGAATGTGATTAAACGCATGACTTCATAATGATACAAAACAAAACACAAAAGGCTTTTGGCAGCAAGCCTGAGAGAATGGAGATCCAGCTGAGATGACAGCGATGGAGCGTATACTGTGATTCAAACGACATCATTACTTAGATGCTGCATGCACATAGGCTAATGTGCCCACAGATCACACACTTCCAACTCCTGCCAATCAACAACTATTGGGTTGACTCAGCAGTCTCCCAAACATACCACCTGCTCAAAATTCTTAAGCTCAAAGCTAGAATTATCTCTGTGACTAATACAGCATTTTCACGTTTGACATGATAGTAACTCAAACTAACTCTTTACCACATTTACAAGTTGCAGTTTTCAGCTTTAATTTTA
Source organism: Homo sapiens (assembly GCF_000001405.40). Lineage (NCBI taxonomy): Eukaryota > Metazoa > Chordata > Mammalia > Primates > Hominidae > Homo > Homo sapiens. Next base: position 46,360,075 of record NC_000003.12, on the reverse strand, counting down.
TTTTTACTATTTAAAAAAAGTCTGAACTCTATGCCTGTATTCAAAAATGAGGAACTGGAAGGTAGTTTGGAAAATACTGTTTTCCAACCCAGCTGGAGTCTCTCTCCTCTCAGCCTTCCTGCCTGGTAACGTAGACACCAAGATTCACACTGTGAATCACACATCTGTGAAGCCAGACGTGTGATTTCCAAAGCAGAGATCTGTCATTTCTGTCTCTAGGCTCCTTCTTTGTCCTGAAGACTGGCTTCAGGGGCTCTGCCAATTGACTTTCCTTTTCCACGACCATCGAGGAGTCCTTGTGTAGTCACTTTCACATTCTTTCCTGGTCTCACTCCTGGACCTCCACACACTGGTTTTTGGAGTGGGGCAATCCTACAGCCAAGAGCTATGTGAAAAAGGCTGTGGGGAAAAGAGAAGAGTGAGGGGAGTGGCAAGGCAGGGAAAAGCAAGCACAAAACAAACCAGCTCAGATCCAGACAAGAAGCTTTACTGGGTTCTGATGCAGCCTTCCTGGCTCTCTCCACTTAGTTGATTTCGGAAATAGTTCTGCAGTGGTTCCACACGATCCCCGTCCTTTGCTCCTGGTGAAGGAACTCATCATTCTCCACCCCCTTCTCATAATCACTACCTCCTGGAGAGATCAAGCAAGAGCCTATATATATTGCATATACATATATTAGCATATCATAGATAATGCATCTTTTATAAACAAAAATTTTCTGAATTTTTAGACAGGGGGATGTGGCCTAAGAAGCATCTGAACAATGGAGCATGATATTTCATAGATTTCAAATGTAAGGTGCATGGGTGCCATAGATAAACTGTAATAAAGCAAAAATATGTCATGCACTTATGCAAAAGAGAATCATCGGACTCCACCAAAACTCCCAGGTTATTGCAGTTCCCAAACTCTCCCTGACCTGGTGAACCCTTCAAGGTTAAATACACGTGGCAGATGGGGCTAAGGACCAGTATCATCTCCTGGCTGAATGCGTGAGCCCTTTGCTCACCTTTGTCTTTGTCCAGGCTCAGCCATGCTCATGTCTCCCTCCTTCTCCTCTCAGCCCTGACCCCACTATCCCTCACTCCCATTCATCTGTGCCTGTCACATTCTCTTCTTCACCTCCAGCTGGCCCTTGATTTCAAGACATTGACAGAATCAGAGATTGAGTGAAGAAATTATGAAGACTAGAAAAAGAGGATTAGCACAAGGTAATGAGGCATTTTTCAGGAGCTGAGATGAGCTTTCTGGAGAGTCAAAGTCTCTACCCACAGTTTTTCTGGATTATTCCCTGAGCACATGTTGGATATGCATTGGGTGACATAGTCTGTATTAGTACACACAGCCCTGAGGTTCCTGGGCACCTGCTTTACAGGTTTCTATTGTTCAACAAACCCTTGAAGTTTGTTGTTATATACAGATTGTTATCTCCCTTTATAAACAACAATCAAACTGCTCCTCGTTTTATAAACCAGCCGAGACTTCCTGCTCCCCAGTGGAAGGCGTGTTTGTTGAAGTCACTCCATCCACTGTCTCCCTGTAGAAAACTGGACATTGTTTGCAGAAGCGCTTGGTGATGTGCTTTCGGAAGAACACCGAGAGATACCTTCTGAACTTCTCCCCAACGAAGGCATAGATGATGGGATTGATGCAGCAGTGAGTCATCCCAAGAGTCTCTGTCACCTGCGTGGCTTGGTCCAGTTGACTGGTGCTTTCACAGTTACTCAGGCCGAAGAATTCCTGGAAGGTGTTCAGGAGAATGACAATATTATAGGGAGTCCAGAAGAGAAAGTAAACAATCATGATGGTGAAGATGACTCTCACTGCCCTATGCCTCTTCTTCTCGTTTCGACACCGAAGCAGGGTTTTCAGGATTCCCGAGTAGCAGATGACCATGATGAGCAGCGGCAGGACCAGCCCCAAAATGTTCCTCATTATTGTGTGGAAATTATTCCATCCTCGTGGAAAATAAGGGCCACAGACATAAACAGAATCTTCTTTCTGGCATTTAGTAAAGATGATTCCTGGGACAGAAGCAAACACAGCCACCAACCAGGTGATCACACTTGTCACCACCCCAAAGGTGACCGTCCTGGCTTTTAAAGCAAACACAGCATGGACAATAGCCAGGTATCTATCGATTGTCAGGAGGATGATGAAGAAGATTCCGCCAAAATAACCGATGTGATACAGCCCTGTGAATAATTTGCACATTGCATTCCCAAAGACCCACTCATTTGCAGCAGAGTGAGCCCACAATGGGAGAGTAATAAGAAAAAGCAGATCAGAGATGGCCAGGTTGAGCAGGTAAATGTCAGTCAAGCACTTCAGCTTTTTGCAGTTTATTAAGATGAGGACGACCAGCATGTTGCCCACAAAACCAAAGATGAACACCAGCGAGTAGAGCGGAGGCAGGAGTTGGGCCCCAATTTGCTTCACGTCAAATTTATGACAGGGAGCACCGTAATCATAATCAAAAAAGGTGGTGACTTCTTCACCGCTCTCGTTGGTATTTCTGATAAACCGAGAACGAGATGTGGACAGCATGTTGTGGATGTACTGGGGAAATGCGTCCTTGTTCAATCCACTTTCTCTGTTCTGTAAACAAAGAACAAAATGATGACCACACAACACAAACACCGCAATCCATGATCTTCCAAATAGTCTGGCACCACATAAGCAACTTCCCAGTCTTTGCCCTCTCCCTTGCAGCCATCTCCCTGAAAGCATGTGTGCCAGTTCCTGATTTGCCTTTCATTCCTAGTGGCAGACATCAATGATTTACCCAACAGCCATTTTCCGACACCCTTTATCTTCCCCAGCAAACCAGATTCTCATTTTCAGGCTAAAAGCGCTGGGCGTTTGTTTTCTCTGGCTCCTTTGCAGGTGGTGCATAGGTCTGTGACTCATTGCTGGACCATAATATGAAAAGGGAGTCTGCTGGGGGCTTCTGAGAAAGCTCTTCTTCCCTGATAAGACAGACACAAGAGAACCCTCCACCTGCCCCTCCTGCTCTGGCAGCATGCCTAGTGAGGGCATGGTGCCATGAATGGAAGACCTAGAGAACCATGAGAAGCCAGGCAGAATCCTATTATCACTGAGTCCTAAACCCACCCTTGAACTATTCACCTTCTGCCTTCTTTTTTTTTTTTTTTTGGAGACGGAGTCTCGCTGTGTCTCCAGGCTATAGTGCAGTGGCCATGATCTCAGCTCACTGCAACCTCCACCTCCTGGGTTCAAGTGATTCTCCTGCCTCAGCCTCCTGAGTAGATGGGACTATAGGCGTGCACCACCATGCCCCGCTAATTTTTGTATTTTTAGTAGAGATGGGGATTCACCATGTTGGCCAGGATGGTCTCGGTCTCTTGACCTCCTGATGCACCCGCCTTGGCCTCTCAAATTGCTGGGAGAAAAACAAGCCCCTGTTTTAAAGCCATTATGAACTGCATTTTCTGTTCTCTGAAGTCAAAAACGTTCTAACTGATGATTCTCTCAGCTTTCTGCCTCCATCATCCTGCCAAAACTTCTCTTGTTAAGATTGCAGTGACAACCCAATTTTTCAAATGCCCTGGTTTTATTCCAATTCCACCCTCTTCAAGTATTTGATCCTTCTGCTAACTTCCTCCATTTACAATTCTTTTTGGCTTCCAGATGGGAGGGGCTGTGCTACCGCTTTTTATTCATGTTCTTTGCTGGCATCTCCTCCCCGTGCCCACACCTTAAGATTCCCCAGGCACCACACTTAGCTCTCACCTCTTTAATTTTTTGCCTCTTTATCCTTGCTACAAAGTTCTTCCTGAATTGTATTGTCTAAACTCATGGTTCCTACTCCCTTCTATGCTACTGTTTTCTAAAGCTCTGTCTTCAAGCTCCAGCTTTCCCCTAAGCCTTAGAGTTGAATTTCCCATTGCCTGATGCATATCTCCCCATGCATGTATTCACTGCATCAACACTTATTGAACACCTACTATGAACCATACTCAGTTTTAGGCACTGAAGTGAGCAAAGTGGGTATCATGCAGGGACCTCAAATTCAACCCACCCCAAATGGGGCACTGCTGAAAACTCCTTCCGATTGTGGATTCCTCCATTGCCTAAGAAGCAAAATTGGGCATTGCCCTGGGTTGCTTCTCCTTCTGAAAATTAGGAGCCAGTTTTTGGAGCCAAACAAACCTGGATTTGAATCCTTATAGGCAGTGTAATCTGGGGCCAATTACTCCTTCAAGTGCCGATTTCTTTATGCATAAAATATTAACTATGCTGAGTTGCTGTGAAGATCAATGGAGTAAGGACTTAGGACAGCATCTGACACAGAGAAATGCCCTGTATTATTATCATGTCATTTGAGTTCCACCTCATAGATGCCTCTCAGATTCATCCCCTCTGCACTGCTTTCAACTGTCACTTTCTTGCTTCACACACTCCTCACTCCTGGCTTTGTTGTAGTCTTTCCTTTGCTCATGGCTCATCTCAAGCCATGTTCCCTCTCAACCTATCTTCTCTTAAGTTGAAATTGAATAGTCACTCTTAGCTTAAAACCTCCAGTAGCCCTATGACTTATATGTGGTGGGCTTCAAAGATAATGTCCAGACTGCCCAGCACAACATCTTTTCTGAGTTTGCCTCTTTTCAGCCTCACCTCCAGTCCCTTCTCCAATCCCAAATCCTGTGCTTCAGTCACAGCCATCTTCTCTTCATTTTCCCTAAACTCACCATTTCCTTCATGCTTCAGTGGTTTTGCAGGTCCTTGCCCCTCTGCCCAAAATGATTGGTGAGCTTCTATTCACCCTTCAATACCTCCTGCTCAAATCCCCCTTCTCTGTGAAGCCTAATCTGTATCCTCTGTCATATTACTCTTATCACATAACACTGCATGCATCTAGATAAGCACTTATTATGTTATCTGCTACACACAGCATGTTCCTCAAGATCAAGGACTGGATTATGCTTCTATTTTCAGCTCTTATGATAGTACCTGGCTAAAGGAGGCACCAATAAATGTTCACTGAATGAGTACATAAAACTCTTTATAATAAGAACTATAAGCCCTAACATCATCAGGACTTGATTCTCAAGAATTTTTTTTCTGGCAGTGACTGTGAATTTCTTTTCCACCCACCTGTATACTTTATCCTTCCATTTCTCTTGCAATTGACACTTTTCACAAGTCTTGTATTTCATATCACTGAGCCAGATTCTTGAAATCTGGAGAAGCTAAATAAGACCTCTGATCAAAGTTGGAAAAAAATGCATCTGCCTAAAGAATCACAACTGTGGTCATTAATTGAGTGCTCCTGAAGCTCAGATGCTATGTTAAATGCTGTGCACACATTACTTAATTTCATTTTTACAACTGGCTAGCATGTAGCTTCTACTACAGTGAACAATGAGCAAGATGCCTGAAATGTGCTGTCCTAGGTGTCATTTCAAGTGTCAGAACATGTCACCCAGAACTGATAGAAATCTATCTTTCAGAAAATAAATTCCTTACTTCTGCCTCTGTGGATCTCCTGAGTTGAGGCAAGGGACACATTTTGGTTCAGAGCTTGGATGGTCCTATATTTAGACTAACAGTTCCAGCTCTTTAACGTCCTTGGGTGCTCAGAGGGGCAGAGTGAGCCCCTGGGTGTGTGGACTGGTGACTGAGCAGAGTGGCTGTCCTGGCCTCGCTTGCTGCCCACTCTCCCCCATCACCTGCTGCACGCTGCTCTTCCTCAGGGTTTCTCTAACATCTCCTGGTGCACATGCCATCCCCACCCCTGCCTCTCATCTTGATCATTCCCCCCAAGTGTGCAGGCTTTGCAGTTCCCCAGGGTGTACCCAGACCCGGCATTTCCAGCTTTGAGGTGCGTTGAGCCTATGAATCAGAAAGTAATGGAAAAAATGCCTACAACTCACCAGCTTGTGGCTTGTCTCAGGCAGTCCTGGTATGTCAGGCTTCTCAGCAACTGAACCAAACAGATCTAGAGGTAGAAACTTGGCATGCAGAAGTAGGAAATAAAGTTTCCTGCAGAAAGTGAAGGCGGAGATACAGGGCAACTAATGGTAAAGATTTGAAAAAAAAAATCAGAAAAATATAGTTCTTCTTTTCCAGTCAGGAACATTGTACATTGGGTTGAGGTCTCCAGAATAGGATTAATTTTGAAATCTTGCTTATGCAACCTTGAGTGTGAGTCAGGCAAACCCTGTACATCTGCTCCTGTTTCTAACGACTCTGAGCTTCTTTATCTTGTGGGTCTTTATACCTGGAACATTTCCACTCTCTGCTCTCCTACTAGTGATAATTTGCATGATATGAGCACAACAGAATGTTTCATGTTCCAGAGAATAAAGGGTATTGGTGATAGTGGAGGAAGTATAATGAGGTTTTACTGCGATCATGTGTGCTGGTTTCAGTGGTATCATGGATTCAGAATCTGGTTAGAAATTTCATTTAGATAAGACTTTAAAATTTTTTTTTATTTAATTCACATAATAATTGTATATATTTATGGGACACAATGTGATGTTTTGCTACATGTATACATTGTGCAATGATCAAATCAGGGTAATTACATATCCATCCTCTGAAACATTTATCATTTCTTTTGAAATAATAATGATATTGAAAACCCTCTCTTCTAGCTATTTATATATACAGAATTCATTATTAACTACCGTCACCCTACTTGGAGCAGAGCACCAGCACTTGTTTCTCCTATCTCATGGTAACTTTGTACCCGTTGATCAACTGCTGCCCATTCTCACCTCCTCTCTTTCCTCCCCAGTCTCTGGTAACCACTGCTCTACTGTCTTTTTCTAAGATAGCAACTTTTTTTTTTTTTTTAAATTGGGTTTCATTCTGTCACCCAGACCGGAGTGCACTGGCACAGTCTCAGCTCACTGCTACCTCCACCTTCTGAGTTCAAGCCATCCTCCCACCTCAGCCTCCTGAGTAGCTAGGATTACAGGTGTGTGCCATCATGCCCGGCTAAGCAACTTATTTAAAAAAAAATTCCACATAAGAGTGAGATCACGTGGTATTTGTCTATCTGTGTGTGGCTTATTTCACTTAACATCCTCTAGGTTCATCCACATTATCACAAATTACAGGATTTCAAACTTTTTAATGAAAAGGAAATGCTAAATTATCTCTTGTGTCAGGAACGTCCTTAGCAAGAAGAACCTCAGTTATTTTAAATGCCCCTCCTTGGAAAGACGTTTTGTTAAAAGATAATGTAAATTTTGCAATGGGGACATCAGACTAGGAGCATTCCTAAGATTGTGCAGAGAACATGGTGTCATCTAAGTTGGCCCCTGGCACTTTCTGGAATCCAGCAGACACCGGAGGCAGGATCTCATGCTGTGGACTTGGCAAGTTTCTAAGTTTCCATTTCCCAAATATGAAATATGAATAACAAGACTGGGGGTCTATGAGGGTAAATGGACCTAAAGCAGCTAGAGCAGGGTCTGGCAGGCACTCCACAGGTAACAAACAGAACAGAACAGTCTGAGCCCTGCAGAGTGCCAGAGGTTGAAGGATGCATCCACTGCTAGAGCCAACAACAATCAAATGCTCAGGGCAGTCCAGGTGTCCTTTCCAGATTTCAAGAAGTTGGCTTTTTTGCTGTTGTTGTTGTTGTTGTTGTTGTTGTGTTATGTTGTGTTTTTGCTTTCTTTTGCGACAAGATCTTGCTCTGTTGCCTAGGCTGGAGTGCGGTGGCATGATCATGCTTCACTGCAGTCTCAACCTCAAGCAATCCTCTCATCTCAGCCTCCCAAGTAGCTGAGACTACAGGTGCATGCCACCATGCCTGACTATTTTTTGTAGAGATGGGGTTTTGTCATGTTGCCCGGGCTGGTCTCGAACTCCTGGGCTCAGGCAATCTGCCTGCCTCAGCCTCCTGAAGGGCTGGGATTACAGGTGTGAGCTCCTACACCCAGCCCAGATTTCAGTCAGTTGTAACCATGTGTCCTGTGTAAGACCTGGTATATGTGCTAAGTAAGACCTGAGACTTGAAGGGTCTCAGGTTTTTTCTTGGAAGACAGCTCATTGCCTGTTCAGGAACATAGCAAGTTCCCCAGTTGTCTCTCAATGTGTCTCTGGGCCGGAATTGGAGCATATCTCTGAGATTTCAATAATAAGACAGGTCATCCCTGACCTGGTAACACTGAGCTTGCTGCCACTTCTGGAATCTCCTGACCCTGGCATCTTGCCACCTGTTCCTATGATTCAACCCAGGATGGGGAAGAGCAAGAGCCAGAAATTTTGCTCTGGCTGATTAGGACCGCTCTCCAATTTTGTCTTCACATTGTGATCTTTGTCTCCAGCCCTGTAATTTCATAAACAAGGAGAGGCACAGAGGTAGATAGTTGCAGAGCCAGGATTCAAACCTTTGGCTTATACTGACACAGAGGGCAGGATAACAGAGGGCACCCTCCGCTGAGATTTTGAAGAGACAGTATAGAATGAAAATATTTTTGGAGGGGTGAGCAGGCTTAAAAGAAGCAACAGGGATGGTGAGGTGGTCTGTCATCCCTATGCTTTGTGGGAGACCAGAATTTGACACCCTAAAATGTACCTCTTTTGCATAAGGATTGTTGAGCTGAAGGCAATTAAGAAGCAGATGAAGGAAAGCTCTTTTCCCTCCCTTTATTTGTCTAAAAGCAGGATATAGACTTACAAAGACAAAACGGATCTGCACCCCCCTCCACACCTTCTGCCAGGGTGAACAAAGGTTCACCACTGAAGACAAATTTAAATCCTTGTGGACCTGGAGATGGCACCAGAGGAATCTTCATTAACAAGTATTACTAACCAGCCTTTACCTCCATTTATTCCTTTTGCCTTCCTACAAGTCACTGTCCCTAGAGGCTCAAAGTTCATTTTCTTTGTCTTGTCATATCTCTAAAATGTTACTGAACTTTGTTGAAGATGCTATATGAGCTGGAATTCAAAGTCACCTTTTTAAGAATTATTCATTCCCTGGATAGCTCCTATGTACGTATAAAATATGTACGTTAATAAACTTTTCTCGTGTTAATCTGTCTTTTGTTACAGGGGTCCATTCCAAGAACTTATGAGCATTGAGGAAAAAATTATTTTTTTCTTCCTTAACAGCTAGAAGGATCAAAAGAATAAACAATACCACTTGAGTGCTACAGACAGCTGGAATTGAGAGCTGCAGGTTGATGGCTCAGCCACTGCTAGAAGTTCAGCAAAGCAGTAGGACAGCAGGGGCAGAAAGTATCCTAACCTCCTTCTCCCACTCTGACCTCCTACCAGTGCTTCCCAGTGACTGAACCAGATGGGAAGAGGGAATAATGGACAGTCTAGGCAATGTAGCCCCTAAAATCAGCATCCTGGGACTCAGAGTGGATCTGGGGGAGTGTGGCAAATAACCACACAACCGTCAAGTCAAACAAATTTTTTTCTTGCAACTTTCTTCTTACCTCGTCCATATATTAATAGATAGTTAGAAAATTGGGAATCTTGATCAGTACATCTTAGAATTCTTTATGCACACGGAGAGAGTTAAAAAGGATGTTTTTTCATGAGTTTGAGAATTCTGTATCTACCCATTGGCACTGGGTTCATGGTTTCTAAGGTTCCCAGTCTCAATGATGAGTATGGCCCTTCGAGCAGGCTTGAAGGAAAGTATGTCACAAGCCACTGAGCTCTGATGTGCCTGCTGACCAAGCAGGATTACATAGAAGGCAGGGCTGTGGTCACCTCAAGGTGACATGGGGCAAGGAAGAGGAGAAGCTCAATTTTTCTGCAAGCCAATGATATGAGAATAGTTTATGCTCCCCAAATAACAAAAGAAGACCCAGAATGCTGGCCCTAAGATGTTTAAGATCTTGTTTATTTTTACACTCAAGGTCAGCAGTTGAGTTGGGGATTAGGCCATTGAAACTGAAAGTTAGAGTTGTACTCAGAACCTCTCTGCCACTCCATGGATGGCAAGAACATGTGAGAGAAAGCATAGCTAGAGAGAATTGGTGGTGGGGCAAGAAGACAGAAAAGGTTTTTCAACAGCCTGAAGTACTTTAACGATGCCCTTAGCAATTTCCTAAGTAATGGGCAATAGATTTGTTCAGTTAGTGCCTTTAGAAAATAGAGAAATTCTTGCCTCTTGTCAACACAGATGCTTTTGGTTCATTGCGGTTTTTATGGTTTGCATGCTTCCTGTGACCTACTAAAATAGATTAGTGAGTTCTAGGATTTTACATCTTCAATTCTGGTTAAACATGATCTGGACCAATATGATGCCCACAGAAAAAGCAGTAATTATGTTCCTACCTATCCTGGTCAAGTCTTCATAATAAAAATGAAGCAAACTATTACCACTGTTTTTGTCACAAATGAAAAAGTAACACAACAGGGCATAGAGTCACAGCAAGAAAGCCCAGCAACTGCAAATGATTCTTGGAAAGGAAGTGTCAACTAGCAGAGGGCAGATAAGAATTTCTCCTCCATCTTCTAAGTTCAACTTTGTCTCCAGATGAACCAGGAGTAGACAAGAATGTATGATTAGAAATAGAAATTAAAAGAACAAAATGGTAATTTTGACTTAGAGTGTAAATGCAGCAGATTAGATGTCATACCTTTAGGCCAAACAAACTGTAGGAGAAAAAAGGGGAAATCAGAATCTTTAATACATGTACTTGCTAAAAAGCTGTCTCAAGTGACGGAAAGAAATTCATTTGAACCCTATAGTAGGAATTCTTTTGTAGCCTAGATGTTTTAAATGTCTCTGTGATTAAGATCTCAGTATAGATGCCTCAGAGGTAGCCTGCTCTAGGGAGGAATCTGTGGCTGGGGATAGGCCAAGACAGGTATTTAGAAGGCATTTATAGATGTCCCCAAGACTTGGCAACAGCAGGTTGGGAGCCGAGTCTGGGAGTGAGAAGCTAAGATTCATACTCCCCACCAGCATATTCCCTGACACTAAGCTTGGTGAGTAGAAGGAGCAATAGAGGGAGTACTTGCAGGAAGAAGTTTAATGAATATCATTGTGGCTTCTGAGGTGTCCCAGGGAGGGGCACCATGCTATAGAAAACATCAGGAAACCCAGACTGTGCTCATTGTTGGTACAGATGGCATGAGAGGAAACCCACAGAGCTGATGTGGCAGAGGTTCTGATTGGTGAACATGATTAGACTTACCCTGGGTGGGCATGAGTGATGGAGACAATGAGATGGACCCTGACCTACCATGACTGATTGGAGTTGAGCCCAACTGATGGTGACTTTTGCGGGGACCATAAACCTCTGATGGTGGGAAAGAATAAGTGTGTGGAGGACAACTCCTTTGTAATGCAACTTAGGTGTATATATTTCTATTTAAAAAGTAATGCATGCTGAAAGCAAAAGTTGACTCTTTAAAAGATCAACAAAGTTGACAAACCTTTAGCTATGCTAAGACAGAAGAAGAAGACAAAAAGAATACAGAGAAGACACAAATAACTAAGATCAGGTAAGGTGGGGACATTATCAACTTTACAAAAATTAAAAGATTATAAGATAATACTATGAAAAAATGCACACCAATAAATTAAATAACCTAGATTAAATGAACAAATTTCTAAAATACATAAATTGCTAAAAAGTTACTCAAGAAGAAATAGAAAATCTGAAAAGATCTGTAAAAATTAAAGAGATCAAATTGGTAATCAGAAACCTCCCAACACAGAAAAATGTTAAGAACCAGACGGCTTCACTGGTAAGTTCTACCAAACATTTAAAGAAAAATTAATATCACTCCTTCTCAAACGTTTAAAAAATGAAAGAGGAGAAAACACTCCCTCATTCATTCTAAGAAGACAGCATTACCATTATAGCAAAGCCAGACAAATAAACCACAAAAAACCTGTGGACTGATATTGCTTATGAATATAGATGCAAAAACTCTAAACAAAATACTAGCAAACTAAATCCAATGGCATATTAAAAGGGTTATACACCATGACCAAGTGAAATTTATATAAAGAATGCAAATGTAGTACAACATAAAAAATCAACCAATGTAACATCAACACTAATAGAATGAAGGAAAAAAAATCTCACATGATAATCTCAACTGACACAGAAAAAGCATTTGACAAATTAAATACCCTTTATATCAAAAACACTCCAAGAAGTAGGAGTAGGAAGGAACTTCCTCAACATGATAAAAGATATTTGTAAAAAACCCACAGCTAACATTATACTCAATGGTTAAAGACTGAAAAATTTCTCTCTAACATCAGGAAAAAGACAAGAATGCCCATTTCACCATGGTTATTCAACATCATACTGGAAGTTCTAGCCAGGGAAATTAGGCAAGAAAAGGAAATAAAAGGCATCCAAATGAGAAAGAAAGAAGCAAAACTATCTTTATTCACAGATGACATGATATGTAGAAAATCCCAAATAATCCTCAAAAAAACTATCAAAGTTAACAAGCAAATTCAGCAAAATTGCAAGGTATAAGATTGTTGGGAACAGGCCCCCCAAAATCTGGCCATAAACTGGCCCCAAAACTGGCCATAAAAACCGCTGCAGCACCGTGACATGTTCATGATGGCCATAATGCCCACGCTGGAAGGTTGTGGGCTTACCGGAATGAGGGCAAGGAACACCTGTCCCACACAGGGCAGAAAACCGCTTAAAGGCATTCTTAAACCACAAACAATAGCATGAGTGATCTATGACTTAAGGACATGCTCCTGCTGCAGATAACTAGCCCAACCCATCCCTTTATTTCAGCCCTTCCCTTCGTTTCCCATAAGGGATACTTTTAGTTAATCTAATATCTATAGAAACAATGCTAATGACTGGCTTGCTGTTAATAAATATGTGGGTAAATCTCTGTTTGAAGCTCTCAGCTCTGAAGGCTGTGAGACGCCTGATTTCCCACTTTACACCTCTATATTTCTGTGTTTGTGTCTTTAATTCCTCTAGTGCTTCTAGGTTAGGGTCTCCCCAACTGAGCTGGTCTCAGCATAAGATCAACACAAAGAATCAGTTGAGTTTCTATACACCTGCAATGAACATCCAACAGGAAATTGAGAAAATAATTTTATTTACAATAGCATAAAAAAATGCAATACCTAGGAATAAATTTCACCAAAATTTAAAGGTGAAAGACTTGTACCCCAAAACTACAAAACACTGCTGAAAGAAATTAAAGAAGACCTAAATAAAGAGAAAGAAAGCTCATATTCATGTATTAGAATACTTAAAATTGTTGAGATGGCAATGTTACTGAAAGCTACCTACAGTGTCAATGCAATCTCTAACAAAATTTTAATTTTGTAGAATAGAAAAGTCAATCCTCATATCCCTATTAAATTGCAAGAGGCCCTGACAATCTTTAAAAAAGAAAAAGAAGAATATTGCAGTACTCACACTTTCTAGTTTCAAAACTTACTACAAATCTACAGTAATCAAGATAGTGTGATACTGATACAAGGATAGACATGTAGATCAATGGAATAGAATTTAGATTCCAGAAATAAACTCATACATTTATTATCAATTGACTTTCAACAAAGGTGTCAATACTATTATTAAATGAGGAGATGATAGACTCTTCACAAATGGTGCTGGCACAGCTGAATATCCACATGCAAATGAGTAAAGTTGGACCTCTTCCTCACATCATATGCAAAAATTAACTAAAAATGAATCAGCGACCTAAGTAAATGAGTCAAAACTATAAAACTCTTAGAAGAAAATAGAGGGGTAAACCTTCATTACCTCTGATTTGGTTATAAATTCTTAGAGGTGACATCAAAAGCATGAGCAATAAAAGAAATAAATTGATAAATATGCTTCATCAAAATAAACAACTTTTGGGCATCAAAGGACATTATCAATAAAGTGAAAAGACAGCCAGTAAAATGAGAAAAAACATTTGCAAATCATATATCTGATAAGGGCCTAGTATGCAGAATATTTAAAGAATGCATGCATGTCAACAACAAAGACAATCTAGTTTTAAAATGGGCAAAACATACACGAAGAGGCATTTCTCCAAAGATGATATATAAATGACCAAAAAGTACATGAAAAGGTACTCAACATCAATGTTCATAAGGAAAATGCAAAGAAAACCACAATGATATATCACTTTACACTCATTAGAATGGCTATAACAAAAATAGAAAATAACAAGTGTTGTTGAGGATATGGAGAAATTGGAACTTGCTTACATTGCTAGTAGGAATATAAAATGGGGCATCAGATTTGGAAAACAGTTTAATGGTTCCTAAAAAAAAATGCTAAACATAGGATTAGCATATAACCCTGCAATTTCATCTTAGATATATACATAAAAGAATTGAAAATAGGTAACCAAATTCTTGTACACAAATATACATAGCAGCACTATTCACAATAGTTGAGAGATGGAAACAACCCAAATGTCCATAAACCAAAAAATGGATAACAAATTGTGGTCTGTATACAGTTATTCATAAAAAGAAATGAAGTACTGATACATGCTGCAATGTGGATTAGCCTCAAAAACATGCTTGGTGAAAGAAGCCAGACATAAAAGGTACATATTGTGCCTCCATTTTTATGGAATATCCAGAATAAATAAATCCCTAGAGACAGAAAGCAGGTTGGTGGTTGCTAGGAGCTAAGAGAGGAAATAATGGGGAGTAACTGCTTAATGGGTACAAGGTTTTATTTTGGAGTGATGAAAATGTTTTGGAAGTAGAGCTAGTGGTTGTACAATATTGTGAATATAATAAATGCCACTAAATTTTTCATTTCATGTTATGTGAATTCCACCTCAATAAAAATGCATTTACCATAGAAAAATCAAACATAGAAAGTAAAAATTAAGGGGTGCATAATCATTTATAATTTCATGACCCCAAAACAACATGTTAGTATTTTAGGTTACTTCTATCTGCCCCATCTTCCCCCAATTTATAGGTTTGTTTTTGCTGTTAGTATTGTTTATATGGCATTGTAGGCTTATTATATATATCCTTTTGTACCTTTTTGTTTTTCTACTAGCAACCCCAAATTTTTCCATGCTGTAAATTATTCATAAACATAATTTTAATGGCTGCTGCATACTGGTCAAATGGTTCATAGATTTGTCATTCAACAAATGAGTACTCAGGAGTCTATACCATTTTACATCCATTGTTTGTCCAGAAGACATGACAATGGGTATAAAAAGGTGAATAAAACATACCCAGCTGATATGGTTTGACTGTGTCCCCACCCAAATTTCATCTTGAATTGTAGTTCCCATAATTACCACATGTCATGGGAGGAATCTGGTGGGAGGTAATTGAATCATGGAGGCAGATTTTTCCCGTGCTGTTCTTTTGATAGTGAATAAGTATCACAAGATCTGATGGTTTTATAAAGGGCAGTTCCCCTGCACACGTTCTCTTGCCTACCACCATGTAAGACGTGCCTTTGCTCCTCCTTTGCCTCCCTCATGATTGTGAGGCCTCCAGCCATGTGGAATTGTGAGTCCATTAAACCTCTTTTCTCTTTATAAATTACCCAGTCTCAGGTATGTCTTTACTAGCAGCATGAAAACAGACTAATACGCCAGCCTTGGCCCCAAGAAACTTTTGTGTTCCAAGGTGTTAGTCCAAACTACACCATTTTGTAAGCCCCCTGCTATTTCGCAGACCCTGGTCAAAGTGAAACATTCCATGGGGGTTCAGGCTGTGAGAAACATCCTGTCTAACTACCTGATTCCAAGGCACAGGAACATCCTTATCATACCCTGCCAGGCAAAGGCCCACCTGAAGGAACATCCCTACCACATTCTGCTGGGAAAAAGTGCAAGAAGCATCACACTCTATGGAAGCAAGGACCAAACTGCCTCATCATGGGAACGTCTTATCAACATCTTCTTGGGCAGCAAGCCATACTGCTCAGACCCCACCCACCCAGGCCTATAAGTACCCCCAGACCTATAAGTACCCCAGCCTATAAGCAGTGGGGGGCTCTGGCATTAAGCTGGTCCCCACCTTTGCAGGTTTTTCTAATATACCTGTATTGCTGTAGAACCGCTCTCTCTCTCTCTCTGTCTCTCTTTCTCTCTCTATGTCTCTCTTTAACCCTTACCTTCTCTTTAAAAAACTTAACACAATGTAGGAGAGAGATGTTAAACAAACAAAACACATTAAATATAGAACTACAAATTTTTATAAGTATTTGGACAAAATGATAGGATCTTATTAAATCAAATTTGTACTGAAGAATCAGAGTAGACATCTTTGAAAAAATATTTTAACAGGTATCTAAAATACGAAGAACAAATATGAATTGACTAGACAAAGGGAGTTAATGATGATGGTGGTGGTGATGATGATGATGGTGACAGTGATGGTAATGTAGTGGATGGTGACATGACATGCCATGATAATGATGAATTTGGTAATGCAGACACTTATAAATACTATAGGCACTGTTAGATTGCTTTACATATATAGGTCACATTTAATGCTTATGAAAACTTTATGAGCTCAAAACTATTATATCATATTTTCTCTTGGGATTAAGAGATTAAGTTATTCTCCCTAAATCAACTCAGTGCTGGGATCCAAGCTCAAGCAGTCTTGCTCTACACCTTTGCTCTTAATTACTGCATAAAGAATTCCAGGTAAAGTTAACAGTGCATGCGAAGGCCAGGAAATAGAAAAAACTAATCTTAAAAATTATGTGTGTATTTTATTTTTTTAATGGACAACTTAAATCTACAGAAATATTCAAAGGATAATGATAGAATATCTGTGTACCTGCTGCCCAACTTTAACAAATCTTATTTTGCCATATTCGCTTCATTGTGTAAAAAGTAAAAATTTGGAGCTGCAACTAAAATTTCCTTGTGTACCCGCTCCCACTCCCCATTTCTCCTTCTTTCTCTCTCTTTCCCTCTCCACTGTCAACACTTGTTCTAAATTGGGTGTTTATTATTCACATGTTTTATTTATTTATTTTTTACTATATGTGTAATATTGTTAATGTGCTTTAAATAAAAATAAGACATACTGCTTGTACCATTTACAACTTACTTTATGATTCAAAGATTTATCCCAGTAGTATAATTGTCCCTTTTGGGCAAATTCCTAAAAGTAGGAGTACTAGGTCAAAGAACATGTTCACTTAAAATTTTTATGCATAATAGAGAAGCCCAGTGATAAGACTACTTTTGAAATAGTCCTAGTGAAAAATGTTTTCATCTGGTGAGATGGAGCATACTTTATGCAATATTCCATTTCATGAATAAACCAAAACTTTTAAAAAGCCATCTTCTGCTGCTGGTAGACATAGTAATTGATTCCAATTTTCCAGTACCTAACAATGCAACAATGGCCTCTCTTTAGATATTTATGCAGAATTTCTCTAGGGCATACTCCTAGGAGTAGAAATGTTGGGCTATAGGGTAGGTGCTATAGTTTGAAAATGTCTCCCAAAAAGTATGTATTAGAAACTTAATTACCATTGCAATAGTATTAAGAGGTGTGACCTTTTAGAGGTGATTAGGCCATGAGGGTCTTGCCCTCATTAATAGAGTAATGCTGATTATAAAAGGGATTGATGCTGTGAATTTGCTTTTGCTCTCTCTTGCCCTCTCTTTGCCCTTCTGCCATGGCATGACACAGCAAGAAGGCTCTCTGCAGAGGCTGGCCCTTCAATCTTGGACTTCTCAGCCTCTAGAACCATTAGAAATACATTTCTATTATTTATAAATTACCTAGTCTCAGGTATTCTTTGGTAGCAGCACAGAACAGATGAAAATGGAAGGTGTATCACTAACTTTTACTAGATACTGACTAATTTCTCTCCAAAGTGATGACCAACTAACTGTCCCATTAGCAGTTTCTATTACTCCAACTCAGTACTAGGTATTATCAGACTTGAATGGATTTTAGTCTAATGAGTGGAAAGTAGTATTTTACTTTGATTTTAATTTGCAGTTCCCTGACTACTAATGAAATTTGTTGGAGAAGATTATTAATTCTGGATGCTACCTTTAAAAAAATATTCATGGTAGGCCAGGCACGGTGGCTCATGCCTGTAATCCCAGCACTTTGGGAGGCTGAGGAAGGTGGATCACGAGGTCAGGGGTTTGAGCTCAGCCTGACCAACATGGTGAAACCCCGTGTCTACTAAAAATACAAAAATTAGCCAGGCATGGTGGCACACACCTGTAATCCCAGCTACTCAGGAGGCTGAGGCAGGAGAATTGCTTGAACCTGGGAGGTGAAGTTTGCAGTAAGCCGAGATTGCACCACTGCACTCCAGCCTGGGTGACAGAGCAAGACTCCATCTCAAAAAAAAAGAAAAAATTCATGGCAAATATATTCTCATTGTGGCCTATTTTAACTTTATTCATGGTGTCTTTGATGGATAGTTTTTTATTTTAATGCACCTTATTAAAATCTCTCTTTATTTTTATTTATTTATTTTTTTGAGGTGGAGTCTCTCTCTGTCACCCAGGCTGGAGTGCAGTGGCACAATCTCAGCTCACTGCAACCTCTGCCTCCTGGGTTCGAGCGATTTCCAGCTAATTTTTGTATTTTTAGTAGAGACATGTTTCACCCTATTGGCCAGGCTTGTCTTGAACTCCTGACCTCAAGTGATCCACCTGCCTCAGCTTCCCAAAGTACTAGGATTACAGGTGTGAGCCACCATGCTTGGCCTAAAATATCTCTTTATGATTAGTGTTTTTGCATCCTGTTTTTAAAAATCATTTTCTAACTTAAGGTCATAAAAATTGTCTTCTAAAATATTAAAATTTTGCTTTTCATATTTGGTCTATAATTCACCTGGAATTTATTGTTATGTTATAGTGTGAGGTAAGGATCTAATTTTTAAAATATGATATTCAATTAACTGTGTCATTATTGAATAGTCCATCCTTTCACTATTGATTTCAGCAGTTTTTAAAAATTAATTAATTTCAATAGGTTTTTGAGAAACAGGTGGTATTTGGTTATGTAAATAAGTTCTTTAGTGGTGATTTCTGAGATTTTGGTGCAGCCATCACTTGAACAGTGTACACTGTACCCAATGGGTAGCCTTTTATTCCTCACCCCTCTCTCACCCTTTCCCTGAGTTCCCAAAGTCCATTATATCATTCTTATGCCTTTGCATCCTCATAGCTTAGCTCCCACTTATGAGTGAGAATGTATGATATTCGGTTTTCCATTACTGAGTTATTTCACTTAGAATAATGGTCTCCAATTCCATCCAGGTTGCTGAGAATGCCATTGTTTTATTCCCTTTTATGGCTGAGTAGTATTCCATGGTGTGTGTGTGTGTGTGTATATATATATATATATATATATATATATATATATATATATATATATATATATATATATACCACAGTTCCTTTATCCACTCATTGATGGGCATTTGGACTGGTTCCATATTTTTGCAATTGCAAATTGTGCATTTTTTGCAGTTTTATTGAGATATAATTCACATACCATAAGATTCACCCATTTAAAATGGAAATGGAAAATTCAATATATTTTTAGGATATTCAAGAGTTATACAACTATAACCACAATCTAATTTTATAATATTTTCATCACCCCAAAAAGAAACCCTGTACCTATCACTCCATTGCCTCTTTTACTCACACCCTCCTGTCACGTCCAGCACTAGGCAAGCACCAATCTATTTTATGTCTCTATAGATTTATCTATTGTGGACATTTCATATAAATGGGATTGATATGGTTTGGAGTTGTGTCCCTACCCAAATCTCATGTCAAATCATAATCCCCAATGTTGGAGGAGGAGCCTGGTAGGAGGTGATTGGATCATGGAGGCAGACCTCTCCCTTGCTGTTCTCATGATAGTGAGTGAGTTCTCACAAGATCTGGTTGTTTAAAAGTGTGTAACACCTCCCCCTTCACTCTCTTCCTCCTACTCCAGCCACGTAAGACGTGCCTTCTTTCTCTTCGCCTTCCTCCATGATTGTAAGTTTCCTGTGGCCTTCTGAACCATGCTTCCTATACAGCTTGTGGAACTGTGAGTCAATTAAACCTCTTTTCTTTATAAATTACCCAGTCTCAGGTAGTTCTTTACAGGAGTGCGAGAAGAGACTAATACAGAAAATTGGTATCAGGAATGGAGCATTGCTATAAAGATACCGAAAATGTGGAAGCAGCTTTGGAACCCGGGTAATGGGCAGAGGTTGGAGCAGTTTGGAGGGCTCAGAAGAAGATAGGAAGATAAGGGAAAGTTTGGAACTTCTTAGAGACTTGTTAAATTATTGTGATGAAAATGCTGATACTGATATGGACAATGAAGTCCAGGCTAAGGAGACCTCAGATGAAGATGGGGAACTTATTGGGAACTGGAGCAAAGGTCAATTTTCTTATGCATTAGCAAAGGTCTTGGAGGCATTGTGCCCTTGCCCTAGAGATATGTAGAATTTTGAACCTGATAGCAATGATTTAGGGTATCTGGTGGAAGCAGTTTCTAAGCAGCAAAACATTCAAGATGTGGCCTGGCTGATTCTACAAATATATGCTTATATTTGTGATCAAAGAAATGACCTGCAACTGGAACTTACATTTCAAAGGGAAGCGTAAAAGTTTGGAAAATTTGTGACCTGACCATGTAGTAGAAAAGAAAACCCCATTTTTTTGGAAAGGAATTAATCAGGCTGTAGAAATTTGCATAAGTAAAGAGGAGCCAAATATTAATAGCCAAGACAATGAGGAATATGCCTCAAACACATTCTAGAGACCGTCGAGGCAGACCCTCCCATCACAGGTCTGGAGGCCTAGGAGGAAAGAAGGTTTCATGGGCCAGGCCCATGGCCCCGCTGCCCTGTGCCACTTCAGGACACTGTTCCCTGCATCCCAGCCATGGCCAAAAGGGCCCAGATATGTCTCAGACTACTGCTTCATAGGGTGCAAGCCATAAGCATTGGTGGTTTCCATGTGGTATTAAGCCTGCGGATGTGCAGAGGGCAAGAGTTAAGGCTTGGGAGCCCCTACCTAGATTTTAGAGGATGTATGAAAACACCTGGATGTCCAGGTAGAAGTATGCTACAGGAATGGAGCCCTCATGGAGAACCTCTATTGGGCAGTGCAGAGGAGAAATGTGGGGTTGCAGCCCCCATACAGATTCCCCACTGGGGCACTGTCTACTGGAGCTATGAGAAGAGGGCCACAATCTTCCAGACCCTAGAATGGTAGATCCACTAACAGCTTGCACTGTGTACCTGGAAAAGCTGGAGGCACTCAATGCCAGCCTGTGAAAGCAGCCATGGGGGCTATACCCTGTAGAGCAACAGGGTAGAGCTGCCCAAGGCCTTGGGAGCACACTCCTTGCATTGGTGTGGCCTGGATGTGAGACATGGAGTCAAAGGATATCATTTTGAAGCTTTAAGATTTAATGATTTCCCTGCTTGATTTTGGACTTGCGTGGGGCCTGTGGCCCCTTTGTTTTGGCTAATTTTTCCCTTTTGGAATGGATATATTTGCCCAATGCCTGTACCTCCATTGTATCTTGGAAGTAACTAACTTCTTTTTGATCTTATAGGCTCATAGGTGGAAGGGACTTGTCTTGTCTCAGATGAGACTTTGGATTTTTGAGTTAATACTGAAATGAAACTGTTGAGAAGGGATGATTGTATCTTCCAATGTGAGAAGGACACAGGATTTGGGAGGGGCTGGGGCAGAATGATATTGTTTGGATTAGTGTCCCCACCCAAATCTCATGTGGAATTGTAATCCCCAATATTGGAGTTGGGGCCTGGCTGGGGCTGACTGGATCATGGGGGTGGACTTCTCCCTTGCTGTTCTCATGATAGTGAGTGACTTCTCACAAGATCTGGTGGTTTAAAAGTATGTAGCACCTCCTCCTTCACTCTCTTCCTTCCATCATAACTGTGTTTCCTGAGGTCTCCTGGGCCATGATCCCTGTGCAGCCTGTGGAACTGTGACTCAATTAAGCCTTTTTCTTTATAAGTTACCCAGTCTCAGGTAGTTCTTTATAGCAATACAAGAGCTGACTAATACAGAGATCATAGTGCTTCCAAGGTTCATTTGTGTTATGACATGTATCAGTACTTCCTTTTATGGCCAAATAATATGTATAGATACACCATATTTTAATTAGTTGATGGGTATTTGGGTTGTTTCTACTTTTTGGCTATTATTATAAGGCTAATATGAAGATTCATATGTAAGTTTTTGTGTCAGTATATGTTTTCAACTTTCTTGGGTACATATCTAGGAGATGGATTGCTGGCTTATATGGTACCCTATGTTTAACTCTCTTCTTTTTGGTAGAAAAGAGGTCTCACTGTGTTACTCAGGCTGGTCTCCAACTCCTGGGCTCAAGCAATCCTCTCACCTCAGCTCCCTAAAGCACTGGGATTGTAGGCATGAGCCACCATGCCCAGGCTTTTTGAGAAACTGCTAAACTGTTTTCCAAACCTGCTGCAAATTTTATATTCCTACCAGCAATGTATGAAGGTTACAATTTCCCCAAATCCTTGCCAATACTTGTTATCTGTCTTTTTGATAACAGCCATCCTGGTGAGTGTAAATTGATATCTTGTGTTTTATATTTTGTGTTTTAATTTGTATTTTCCTAATAGATATTGATATTGAGCATCTTTTCATGTGCATATTGACCATTTTTGTATCTTCTTTAGAGAAATGTTTATTCATATCCTTGGCCCATTTTTAAATTGGGCTGTCTTTTTGGTATTGAGTTGTAGGTATTTATGTATTCTGGATGTCAGCCTATTATTAAATATATTATGTGCAAAAATGTTCTCCCATTTTGTGACTTGTCTTTTCACTTTCTTAATAGTATTGCTTGCAGGACAAAAGTTCTCTTAATTTGGAGGAAGTCCAATTTATCCATTTTTTTCTTTTGTCCTTGATGCTTTTGGTGTCATATCTAAAAAACAATTGCCAACTCTCATGTCATTAAGATTTGCTCCTATGCTTTCTTCTAACAGTTTTGTAGTTTTAGCTCTTACATTTAGTTCTATTAGGGTGGTGCAAAAGTAACTGCATTTTTGCCATTAAAAGTAATGGTAGGCCAGGCGTGGTGGCTCATGCCTGTAATCCCAGCACTTTGGGAGGCTGAGGTGGGCAGATCACGAGGTCAAGAGATTGAGACCATCCTGGCTAACATGGTGAAACTCCATCTCCACTAAAAATACAAAAAAATTACCCAGATGCCTGTAGTCCCAGCTACTCAGGAGGCTGAGGAAGGAGAATGGCGTGAACTCAGGAAGTGGAGCTTGCAGTGAGCTGAGATCATGCCACTGCACTCTGGTCTGGGTGACAGAGCAAGACTCTGTCTCAAAAAAAAAAACCAAAAAAAAAAAACAAGTAATGGTGGTAAACTGCAATTACTGTTGCACTGACCTAATATAGTCCATTTGAGTTAATTTTTGTATATGGTAGCCATTCAAACTCATTATTTTGCATATAAATACTTAGTTGTCTCAGCAAAATTTCTTGAAAAGACTATTATTTCCTCCATTGATTGGTCTTGGCACCCTTGTTGGTATTGTTGTTATTGAGTTGAAGGTGTTCTTTATGTATTCTGGATGACAGAATACATAAAGAAATAAATTGACCATATATATAAGGTTTTATTTCTAGACTGTCAATTCTACTCCATTCATCCATTGTCTATATTGATCAATATGTCTATCATTATGTCAGTAACACATTGTCTTGATTATTATAGCTTTGTAAAAAGCCTTAAAATCAACAAGTGTAAGTCCTCCAACTTTCTTCTTTTCAAAGTTTTGACTATTCTGTGTCTCTTGCATTTTCATATAAATTTTATGATCAGCATATCAAATTCTGCAAAAACATAGCTGAAATTTAATAGAGATGAAGTTCAACCTATAGACCAATTGGGGGAATTTTTCCATCTTAATACTGAGGTTTATTATTTTTTTCTTTATGAGTCCTTCTGTTTTTTCTTTCCCACCACCTCTAGTATAAGGCTTCTATCCTCAAGGTCACTTGGTGGTCTAAAATGACTCTTGCCCTCATGCCCATATTCAGACAGCAGAAAAGAGCAAGTGAGGAAGAAAAAATGTCAATGTATCCCCTTGCAGGGTTTAACCTGTCTTTCCAGTTATTGATATCAGGTTAGAATTTTCCCTTGTCAGAATTTTCCCTAAACCTTTTTCACTCTGATATCCCGTGTTCTTCAACATTTAAAATCCTGGGTTATCAAAGTCTCATTTGTAAGCCTCATATCCCATGCTGTAAGTAAGTCTTGACCCCATAAATTGATGGCTACATTTGCCACATAAGGCTGGAAAGTCCAGAGTGAGCTTAAGGTTGTAAAAATTCTTTAATAAATAAACAGAGTAACCTTAGCTCTCTGAGTGCTAGTGAACTCAGATCGAGTGATTGAATTATGTGGTCTCTACTAGACTGCAGCTTTTCCATGTTTACCAGACCCATCAGTAAACAGTGTTAAAGCATTAGGTATGGGGGAGTGCAATACCGCTTTGAATTGCCTTTTACTTAAAGGAATCCTGATGATATCACAGTCATAACTGAGCAATTGACTGCATTAATTATCAATATGGAAAGCTGAAATAAGTAACAAGAAGTTTAAAAAGAAAATCTGAAAGCATATCTAGAAGGAGAGACTTAAATAATATACTTTAACCATGTGCTTAAAGCCACAGGCAGAATAGCTTAGATCTTGTAATTGAGTTTTCGGGCTGACCAAGTTTATGGACTTCAATCTGGCAAACAGTCTTGAAAACAGTGACTCACTAGCTGAGGAACTCAATTTAGGACTCTTTTAGCAAGTACAAATCAAAGACTATCTAATCAGTGGGTTAAGACAGTGATTCATGCTTATGTTTTCACTACACTTACATACAACTCTTTTTCACTTTCTGAGAAGGGCACTGCCAAGACCAGCGTGGTTGTGGAGACCATAACCCAGAGGCGCTAGAGGAATTCAAGACACACACACAGAAATAAAGGGTGGGAAGTGGGAAATCAGGGGGCTTATGGCTTTCTGAGCTGAAAGCCCTGAACAGAGTTTTACTCCCATATTTATTGACAGCAAGCCAGTGATAAGCATCGTTTCTATAGATCATAGATTAACTGAAAGCATTCCTTATGGGAAACAAAGGGATGGGCCAAAACAAAGGGATGGGCTCTGGCTAGCTGTCTGCAGCAGGAACATGTCCTTAAGGCACAGATTGCTCATGCTATCATTAGTGGTTTGGGAATGCCTTTAAGGAATTTTCTGCCCTGGGTGGGCCAGGTGTTCCTTGCCCTCATTCCAGTAAACCAACAACCTTCAAGGTGGGCATCATGGCCATCACAAACATGTCATGGTGCTGCAGAGATTTTGTTTATGGCCTGTTTTGGGGCCAGTTTATGGCCAGATTTGGGGGCCTGTTCCCAACAGGGCACAACATTTTTACCTTCTAATTTAACAAATATCATTTAATTAGGTTTAAATTTCTTCTTTAAAGCGTAATGTGTGGTTTTACATGCCTAGCTTTTAATTACTCTTCAACTAATTCATGGGCCCTCTGTAATCTCTTTCCCTTCAAAGGTTACTGTTTTACTTAAATTGAATTTGGAAAGCTACATCAGGGATAGGAGAGAGATGACAATAGTGGCCATTATTAGAAAAGATGCTTTTCAAATTCTTACATTTTACTTACATCTTAGCAGAGAATCATAGCCTGAGATGTAACACATGAAATTTTGCAATGGGCTGCCCACAGAGCCAGAGGGCAGTGGTGCAGGTCCTGGGAGGTGGCCACATTGTACTTGTTTAGGCTTTGCCTGTGTCTGTGCTGCTCCCTTGCTCCTTTGCCAGAGGGATGCTGCCGTCCTGGGCAGACCTTGTTGGCTTTGTCGCTGTGAGCTTTTCTGCCTCTGAGCATTTTCTCCTGCCCACTGCCTGCTTGGCCACGTGGTTTTGGCTTCTAATGCCTTTTTCTTATCTTTTTATAAACATACACCTGATTGCCTTGCCGATTTTGCATTACTGAGCAGGTTAAGAGCTCTCCTTCTTCTTCTTTTTTTAGATGGAGTCTTGCTCTGTTGCCCAGGCTGTAGTGCAGTGGTGCAATCTCAGGTCACTGAAAGCTCCAAGCTCCACCTCCTGGGTTCATGCCATTCTCCTGCCTCAGCCTCCCAAGTAGCTGGGGCTACAGGTGCCCACCAACATGCCTGGCTAATTTTTTGTATTTTTAGTGGAGACGGGGTTTCACCATGTTAGCTAGGATGGTCTGGATCTCCTGACCTCATGATCTGCCTGCCTCGGCCTCCCAAAGTGCTGGGATTATAGGCATGAGCCACTGCACCCGGCTAAGAGCTCTCCTTCTAATGCTGCCTGCTTAAGACAGGGACTGATAGCTGTAGCGTATCCTCTGTCCTTCTTCCTATCTATTGGAGGAGGAAGCTTAGGTAAGACCTCCATTTCCTCTTTGTTATTTTGGCCCAGTGATATTGGCACTGAGGGAAGGGGAGGTGATAAGGCAGGTGACATTTCCTCCTCCTTTCCCTTTTTAGGCTCTTTTGTGTGTAACAACCAGGGCTGCTCTACTCAAAGCCCCTAACATAAAAGATTTTACTGGGACCTGATGCCTTTGTGCCTGGTGTTGTTTAAGATTTCTCCCCACTTGCTCCCAAAGTTCTATGTCTAGCATTCCTTCCTCCAGGAACCATTGGCTTTGTACTCCATTATTGACCACACTAGTTTTTAATTCCTTCAACAACTTAAATTCTAGTGGAGAGTGTTCATGAATAAACTGCTGTGGATTATTTGGATCAGGCCTTACAGAAATAGGAAAAGCACAAGGTCCTAAGGGCTCTCCAGCTATGACAGCAGAGCATAAAATTCTTTGTACTGGGATCTCTATTTCTGCCACTGAAGGAGATGGTACAGATGTTTCTGCATCTGGAGGAGGCGGTATAGGCCAATTTTTATCCTCCCTCTCCTGTTTTTTATATTCAATTGGAGCTGTGAGTAGGACAACAAATTCTTTCCAATTTTTAGATTCAGCCTGCTGTTCCGCAGAATAATAAGGAGATAATGGCAGAAGTACAGTATGAACTAAACTCCAAGTGGAGAAAACTGAAGAATCAACTTTAAGACCTTTTTGATGAGCTTGTTTTAATCCTGCTCTATCCCAATTTTCCACATCAAGAGTGCCTGCCTGTGGAAACCATGGTTTATGTGTAATAACCTTTTGTGGCTTCTGCAGGAGGTTAGTGTCAGGCCTCTGAGCCCAAGCTAAGCCATCATATATCCCCGTAACCTTCACGTGTACATCCAGATGGCCTGAAGAAACTGAAGAACCACAAAAGAAGTGAAATAGTGAGTTCCTGCCTTAACTGATGACATTCCACCATGCGATTTGTTCCTGCCCCACCCCAACTGATCAATCGACCTTGTGACACTCCTTCCCTGGATGATAAGTCTCAGGATTTCCCCACCCAGCACCTTGTGACCCCCACCTCTGCCCTCAAGAGATAACCACCTCTAACTGTAACTTTCCACTACCTACCCAAATCTTATAAAACTGACCCACCCCTATCTCTCTTTGCTGACTCCTTTTTCAGACTCAGCCCACCTGCACCAAGGTGATTAAAAAGCTTTATTGATAACACAAAGCCTGTTGGTGGACTCTCTTCACATGGATGCACATGACATTTGGTGCTGAAGATCCAGGACTCGGGAACTCCTTCTGGAGACCAGTCCCCTGTCCTCACCCTCATTCCGTGAGGAGATCCACCTACAACCTTGGGTCCTCAGATCAGCCCAAGGAACATCTCACCAATTTTAAATTGAGTAAGTGGCCTCTTTTTATTCTCTTTTCCAACTCTCTTGCTATCTCTCCACCCTTCAATCTCTCCCTTCCTTAATTTCAGTTCCTTTCCCTTTCTGGTAGAGACAGAGGAGATGTGTTTTATCTGTGAACTCAAAACTCCAGCACCGGTCACGGACTCGGGAAGACAGTCTCCCCTTGGTGTCTAATCACTGCAGGGACACCTGCCTGATTATTCACCCACATTTCAGAGGTGTCTGATCACCGTGGGGATGACTGCCTTGATCCATCACCTTGGTGGCAAGTACCACCTCCCCTGGCTGATGAGTACCACCACCCCCTCTCTCTGTGTCTCTATCCTCTCTTTTCTCTAAACTTACCTTTTTATTATGGGCAGCCTTCCACCCTCCATTCCTCCTTCTTCTGCCTTAGCCTGTGTTCTAAAAAACCTAAAACCTCTTCAACTCTCACCTGACCTAAAACCTAAGCATCTTATTTTCTTCTGCAACACCATTTGGCCCCAATACAAACTCGATAATTGTTCCAAATGGCCAGAAAATGGCACTTTTGATTTCTCCACCCTACAAGACTTAGATAATTTTTGTCATAAAATGGGCAAATGGTCTGAGGTGCCTGATGTCCAGGCATTCTTTACACATCACTCCCTTCCTAGTCTCTGCTCCCAATGCGACTTGTCCCAAATCTTTCTTCTTTCTCTCCTGTCTGTTCCTTCAGTCTCCTCACCAAGCTCCGAGTCCTTTGAATCCTTCTTTTCTACGAACCCATCTAACCTCTCTCCTCCTCCCCAGGCTGCTCCTCACCAGGCCACTCCTCACCAGGCTGAGCCAGGTCCCAATTCTTCCTCAGCCTCTACTCCCCTACGCTGTAATCCTTCTATCACCTCCCCTCCTCACACCCAGTCCAGCTTATGGTTTCATTCCACGACTAGCACTCCTCCACTTGCCCAACAATTTCCTCTTAGAGAGGTGGCAAGAGCTGAAGGCATAGTCAAGATTAATGTTCCTTTTACTTTATCTGACCTCTCCCAAATTAGTTAGCATTTAGGCTCTTTTTTTTTCATCAAATATGAAAACGCAGCCCAGTCCATGGTCCCTTTGGCAACAACTCTTAGACATTTTACTGCCCTAGGTTCAGAGGGGCCAGAAGGCTGTCTTACTCTCAATATGCATTTTATTACCCAATCCACTCCCAACATTAAAAAAGCTTCAAAAATTAGATTATGGCCCTCAAACCCCACAACAGGACTTAATTAACCTCACCTTCAAGGTGTACAATAATAGAGAAGAGACAGCCAAGTGGCAATGTATTTCTGAGTTGCAATTACTTGCCTCTGCTGTGAGAAAAACCTCAGCCACATCTCCAGCACACAAGAACTTCAAAACACCTAAACCACTGTGGTCAGGCATTCCTCCAGGATCTTGCTTCAAGTGCTAGAAATCTGGCCACTGGGCCAAGGAATGCCTACAGCCCAGGATTCCTCCTAAACTGTATCCCATCTGTGTGGGACCGCATTGGAAATCGGACTGTCCAACTTGCCCGTCAGCCACTCCCAGAGCCCCTGGAACTCTGGCCCAGGGCTCTCTGACTGACTCCTTCCCAGATCTTCTCAGCTTAGCAGCTGAAGACTGACACTGCCTGATCACCTCAGAAGCCTCCTGGATCATCACAGACACTTTGGGTAACTCTTACAGTGGAGGGTAAGTCTGTCCCTTTCTTAATCAATATGGAGGCTACCCACTCCATATTACTTTCCTTTCAAGGGCCTGTTTCCCTTGCCTCCATAACTGTTGTGGTTATTGATGGTCAGGCTGCTAAACCTCTTAAAACTCCCCAACTCTGGTGCCAACTTGGACAACATTCTTTTATGCACTCCTTTTTAGTTATTCCCACCTGCCCAGCTCCCTTATTAAATTGAGACATTTTAACTAAATTATCTGCTTCCCTGACTATTCCTGGGCTACAGCCACACCTCATTGCCACCCTTTTCCCCAGTTCAAAGCCTCCTTCACAACCTCCCCTCCTGACTCCCTATCTTAACCCACAAGTATGGGATACCTCTACTCCCTCCTTGGTGACCGATCACGCAACCCTACCATCCCATTAAAACCTAATTACCCTTATCCTGCTCAATGCCAGTATCCCATCCCACAACAGGCTTTGAAGGGACTAAAGCCTGTCCAGGATCTTCAGCTTATCAACCAAATTGTCTTGCCTATCCACTCTGTGGTGCCAAACCCATATACTCTCCTATCCTCAATACCTCCCTCCACAACCCATTATTCTGTTCTGGATCTTGAAGATGCTTTCTTTACTATTCCTTTGCACTCTTCACCCCAGCCTCTCTTCACTTACACTTGGACTGACCCTGACACCCATCAGTCTCAGCAACTTACCTGGGCTGTACTGCCACAAGGCTTCAGGGACAGCCTCCATTACTTCAGTCAAGCCCTTTCTCATAATTTACTTTTCTGTCCATCTGCTTGTCACCTTATTCAATATTTTGATGGCCTTCTACTTTATAGCCCCTCCTATGAATCTTCCCAACAGGACACCCTCCTGCTCCTCCAACATCTATTCTCAAGGGAATATCGTGTATCCCCCTCCAAAGCCCAAATTTCTTCCTCATCCGTTACCTATCGGCATAATTCTTCATAAAAATACAAGTGCTCTCCCTCCTGATCTGTGTCCGGCTAATCTCCCAAACCCCAATCCCTTCTACAAAGCAACAAATCCTTTCCTTCCTAGACATGGTTGGGTACTTTCACCTTTGGATACCTGGTTTTGCCATCCTGACTAAACCATTACATAAACTCACAAAAGGAAACCTAGCTGACCCCATAGATCCTAAATCCTTTCCCCACTCCTCTTTATGTTCCTTAAAAACAGCCCTAGAAGCTACTCCCACACTAGCTCTCCCTAACTCATCCCAACCCTTTTCATTACACACAGCCAAAGTACAAGGCTGTGCGGTCAGAATCCTTACACAAGAGCTTGGACAGTGCCCTGCAGCCTTTCTGTCTAAACAGATTGACCTTACTGTTTTAGGCTGGCTCTCATGTCTGTGTGTGGCAGCTGCCACTGCTTTAATACTTTTAAAGGCCCTCAAAATCACAAACTATGATCAACTCACTCTCTACAGTTCTCATAACTTTCAAAATGTATTTTCTTCCTCACACCTGATGCATATACTTTCTGCCGCTCTCCCCCTCCCCCGGCTCCTTCAGTTGAACTCACTCTTTGTTGAGTCTCCCACAATTACCATTGTTCCTGGCCTGGACTTCAATCTGGCCTCCCACATTATTCCTGATACCACACCTGATCCCCATGACTGTATCTCTCTGATCCACCTAGCATTCACTCCATTTTCCCATATTTCCTTCTTTCCTGTTCCTCACTCTGATCACACTTGGTTTATTGATGGCAGTTCCACTAGGCCTAATCACCACTCACCAGCAAAGGCAGGCTACGCTATAGTATCTTTCACATCTATCATTGAGGCTACCACTCTGCCCCACTCCACTCCCTCTCAGCAAGCCGAACTCATTGCCTTAACTCGAGCCCTCACTCTTGCAAAAGGATTGTGTGTCAGTATTTATACTGACTCTAAATATGCCTTCCATATTCTCCACCTCCATTCTGTTATATGGCCTGAAAGAGGTTTCCTCACTATACGAGGGTCCTCCATTATTAATGCCTTCTTCATAAAAACTCTTCTTAAAGCTGCTCTACTTCCAAGGAAGCTAGGGTCATTCACTGCAAGCGCCATCAAAAGGCATCAGATCCCATCACTCAGGGCAAAGCTTATGCTGATAAGGTAGCTAAAGGAGCAGCTAGCATTCCAACTTCTGTCCCTTATGGCCAGTTTTTCTCCTTCTCATCAGTCACTCCCGCCTACCCTCCCACTGAAACTTCCACCTATCAAACTCTTCCCACACAAGGCAAATGGTTCTTGGACCAAGGAAAATTCCTCCTTCCAGCCTCACAGGCTCATTCCATTCTATCATCCTTTCGTAACCTCTTCCATGTGGGTTACAAGCCACTAGCCCTCCTCTTAGAACCTCTCATTTCCTTTAAGACATTTGCCCTACATTTCACTCCATCCTTGGCTACCTTCCCCTTGTTCTTCAGACTCTCCTCCTAGCCCCCCCTTCTTGTTTACTTATACCCAATCCTATGAATAGCAATGAAAGGTTGCTTGTAGACACTATGCGCTTTCTCATACACCATAAAAGTTGAACCTCCCCCTCTACCCAGTAGCCCCATTAATCCCCATTACAACCTCTAACAGCTGCTGCTCTCACTAGATCCCTGAGTCTGGGTGCAAGACACCTCTTTTGGTGCTCCCTCTCATCTTTTCCCTTTACATTTCCAGTTTTGCCTTACAAAGTTCTCTTCTTCCTCTGTGGCTCCTCCATCTACATGTGTCTACTTATTAATTGGACAGGCAAAGGTACACTAGTTTTCTTTACCCCCCCAAAATCAATTTGCAAATAGGACCGAACTGCTTCCTGTTCCCCTCATGACACCAACACTTCACCTCTATTTTGCTTTATTTTACTTATTAATATAAGAAGACAGGAATAGGTCTCAACTTACTCACTGCTAAAAAAGGAGGACTCTGTATATTTTAAATGAAGAGTGTTGTTTTTACCTAAATCAATCTGGCCTGGTATATGACAACCTAATAGAGCCCCAAAACTCATTGTCCAGGCAAATAATTACACTGGACCCCCTTGGGCACTCTCTAATTGGATGTCCTGTGTCCTCCCAATTCTTAATCCTTTAATGCCTGTTTTTCTCCTTCTCTTATTTGGACCTTGTGTCTTCCGTTTAGTTTCTCAATTCATACAAAACCACATCCAGGCCATCATCATTCTATATGACAAATGCTCCTTCTAACAACCCCAGAATATCACCCCTTTCCCCAAAATTTTTCTTCAGCTTAATCTCTCCCACTCTAGATTCCCACACCACCGTGATCGTGCTTGAAGCAGCCCTGAGAAACATTGCCCCTTATCTCTACATACCACCCCAAAAAATTTTTGCTGCCCCAACACTTAACCACTATTTTGTTTTGTTTTTCTTATTAATATAAAAAGATAGGAATGTCAGGTCTCTGAGCCCAACCTAAGCCATCATATCCCCTGTGAGCTGCACTATACATCCAGATGGCCCGAAACAACTGAAGAACCACAAAAGAAGTGAAATAGTCAGTTCCTGCCTTAAGTGATGACATTCCACCATTGCGATTTGTTCCTGCCCCACCCCAACTGATCAATTGACCTTGTGACACTCCTGTCCCAGAAAAAGAGTCTCATGATTTCCCCACCCAGCACCTTGTGACCCCTGCCTCTGCCCACAAGAGATAACCACTTTTAACTGTAACTTTCCACTACCTACCCAAATCCTATAAAACTGCCCCACCTCTATCTCCCTTTGCTGACTCCTTTTTTGGACTCAGCCCACCTGCACCAAGGTGATTAAAAAGCTTTATTGCCCACACAAAGCCTGTTGGTGGACTCTCTTCACACGGACGCATGTGATAGTTAGTGTCTGCAAATTAACCTAAGCTCCAGACTGTTCCAATACAACTTTAAGCAACTGCACATAATGTTTTTCTTTAATAGACAAATTCTTCCCCTTGTTACCCTGATTCAGAAAATTTCCCATTCCCAGTACTTCTTTAAAGCACTGCTCCCAGTATCTCTTTAGGGCACTGATCAGTACCTCTTTAGGTAACTGACCTTATATCCGCTGCTGGCAGACTCGTCCCAGGGTCCCTGTTCACCTTGTCAATTTCTGTTCCTCTGCTCCAGCAGACCTTCTTCGTTCATGTCCTCAAAGTCCCATGTTCGGATGACACTTGTTGAGAGCCTGATTCTGTTGCTGCTCAGGGCACCAGTATATAACCCGCACGGACCTAGTGGAACTGAACAAAGGGGGCAAATGTGAGAATAAAAGACAAGAGACAAAAGAGTATATTTGGAAGAAGGGGTCAGGGGGCAACTTGCCTCTAGTGGACAAGGGCCCTGAGCTTTACACAGCCCTCTGTATTTATTAGGCAAAAAAAGATAGTGAGAAGGGGGATGGAATAAGGTGCCAGCTGCCCTGTCCAGAGTAGGCTTGCAAGACTGCATTCTCTAGATGTTGCAGTAGATTACCTCAGGCACCAGGGAGTGATTGCCTCCAACAAACCTTCTGTTGGCAGGACCAGTTGTGAGTTTGCTCACATCCTGCATTCGTGATAAACAGTTTGCTGTTTGATCATATAGCCTCCAGTGGAATGCTGAGTTGGTCATGTCCCATGGGACTTTGGCTCCCTACACCTTATGGCTTGGTGCTGTCCTCATGAAAGTAAGTGAGTTCTCAAGAGATCTGGCTGTGGTAACTTGTGGCACCTCACCCTGCACTCTCTCTCTAGCTTCCTTTCTCACCATGTGATGTGCCAGCTCTCCCTTAACCTTCTGCCTTGAGCAAATCTTCTTGGGGCCTCTCCAGAAGCTGAGCAGATGCCAGCACCATGCTTCCTGTGAAGCCTGCAGAATTATGAGCCAATTAAACTTCTTTTCTTTATAAATTACCCAATCTCAGGTATTTCTCTATAGCAATGCAAGAACCACCTAACACATACCATTTGATTTCTTCATGAATCATGGAATTTTGGATTGTATTTTCATTTTGAATAAAATAGTATTTTTGGTCTTTCTCTCCCCACTTAGCTATTTTGTGGTTTCTTCATCTAGCCCACTTGCCCAGACTAGTCCTTGTGTGAGTGGTTCAAAACACTTGTCCTGAGAGGATATTGGGGGTATAACAGATGGCCTGTTTTAGTGCTTGGTTTCCAAACGATGTCCGGGTCCTCCTGCCTCTTTAGGTCTCCTGCTCTGTAAAAGATATAGCCCTGGTAAGGAGCCAGCAGCAACTCCTTCTTTCAGGAGTGTTAGAGCCTCATCCTAGCTTTTGAGTTTAAGCACTGAGGCTGACTCCAATCCCCTTCTCTCAAGCATGTACTTTTAATAACTGCTATCATTGGAATATTTGTCTCATCAAAAACTCATGCTGAAATTTAATCCCCCATGTGGCAGTATTGAGAGGTGGAGTCTTTAAGAGGTGTTTGGGTCAGGAAGGCTCTGCCCTCATGAATGAATTAATCCATTCATGGATTAATTGGCTAATCAGTTAATGGATTAATGGGTTATCATAAGAGTGGGACTGATAGCTTTATAAAAGGAGGAAGAAAGACCTGACCTAGTATGCTCAGTCCCCTCACTGAGAGTGGTATGCCCGATACCACCTCAAGACTCTTCAGAGTATCCCCACCAGCAAGAAGGCACTTGTCAATTGCAGCCCTCAACTTTTGACTTCTCAGTTTCCCTAACTGCAAGACATAAATTCCTTTTCTTTATAAAGCACCCAGTTTCAGATATTCTGTTATAAGCAACAGAAAGTAAATGAAAACAGTACCTATTACCCATCAGAAACCACATTCCTACCTGCCATTGTCTTCTTCCAAACCTGGGCTCAACAGGCATGTGGTTTAGCCCTGCTTACCACCTTAATTTTCTATTCCACTTCTGGTTCCTTAAGGTATTGTTTTAGAGCCTGAATTTGTCTTTTTGGAGAAAATTTGTCTTTTGGAGCTCAGAAGATGGCTCAATGACTTTATTCTCTGTTGTGCTATTTCTGATTTCTGGTGTGCAGTGGTTAATATATATCTATATCTTCACAGCACCAAGGGCACAACAAAGGTTGAAGTTACTGAGTCATCTTGACCAGAAATCAATGTGTTCAAAGAACTAAAAGAAGGTCAGTGTTCCCAGAGCAGAATTAGCTGGGGGGAATGTAGTGTGAAGGTGTGTGGAGCTGGAAAAGACCAGACCACATAATGCCTTGTTTAAAAGAATTTAAATGTAAGGTAAGCTCATAAAGGCTTTTGAGGAGGAGCATGCAGAAGGGAATCAAGAAACTCTGTCTCCCAGAATCCTTCTCCTTGTATATATTTTATTTGACTTCCCCTTTCTGTATTAGGGATCACCAAAGAGAAAAATTTGCCTATGATTCAGAAGGCAGACGGGAAGAAAGGCCATTATTCTCAGAAGATTGTGGCAGCTAGACACAAGGGAATTTAGCCTTCTCTCTCAGGTCTTGCTTCACTGTCAATAGAACCCGGAGTTTTATTGTTCATAAAGTATTATCTCAGGGCCTCATTTCATTACCTGGGGCTCTGTGGGATGTGAGACTACCTAGGAGATTTTTATTATATTTTTACCATCTTTTCCTCTCTGATTCATTAACTTGGCCAATCAAAATCAGGTGGATGAGTGTGGATGAGTTTACAGAGATAAATCAGTCATGTGTAATGACTAGCCCTTGGAATATTTCATTAAATTATCCTCTATAGCTTCACATTGACCATAATAAGATGTTTGTCCTTAAGAGGATGACAAATGTGTAAAGCTGGAGAAATTTTAATACAAAACAACGTAAGATAATAGCCACAAACGCAGACATCTGTGCTTTGGAGAGCTGAGAGGAGGGAAAACCTCTCGATGGGGATTTCATGAAAGGCTTCATGAAGGAAAGGGCATTTGAGATGAGCCCTGTAGGATTTTTAAATCTACAGAGATGGCGAAGGAGGACATCGCAGGTAGAAGAAATGGAAATGCATGAACAAAGACATGGAGAAAGAAAGTGGAAAGCATGAAGTATGTGGTGGAGGCATGTCACTTAGGACAGGCTAAAACGTTAGACTGGTCCATGAAGGTCATGGAAGACCTTGAATCATAAGTTTAGGAGTTTTAGGCAATGAGGAGGAACAGAAGATTTTTAATTCTAACCCTGCCTTAAGAAATTGGTGCTTTGGTAAGGCAAATCTGGTGGAGATAAGAAGTCTAGATTAAAGCCAAAGAAACCAACTGGGCGGATGAGTTAGGAGGCGGTTATGTGTTACCTGGTTTGAGCTAACTGGAGAGAAGGCAGTGGCAGAGGAAGAAAGGATAAATGTAGATTAAAAGCTAAAAGGGAAACGAATGGGACTGTGTGTATGCTATGGATTAGGAATATCAGTGAAGATATTGGAGTCAGAATTTCAGTTCGTATTCATTTGCCACATATGCCTGATTAGCCTTGCAAATTAGGGTGTCCAGAGCTTCACCACTCAAAGGGTTGTCCACACACTGGTGGCATCAGCATCACTTGGGACCTTATTAGAAATGCACTTTCATGGGTCCCCACCCCAGCCTACAGAATCAGAAACTCTTGGGGTGGGACAATCTGTGTTTTAACAAGCTTTCCAGGTGATTCCAATGCACACCAAGATTTGAAAACCATTGGTCTAAAGAGAAGGGGTTTTCTTAGTAGAAAGTATTAGATGTACAGTCAAGAGCACTGGGTAGGAGTCAGTGCTGCCCCTCTGTGATCTGGATGACCAAGTAGAACCCACAAAGCCTCCCTGGGCAGGCAAGCCCAGAAGCCAGACAGCCTACATTCTAAGCACAGCTATGCCGAGCTTACCTGGTGGTCCTGGGAGGGCAACTTGTTCTCTCTGAGACTCAGCTTCTACCTGACAGGATTGTATATAAGGACGTAGAAGATGGGAGTTCTTAGTATTATTATTTCCTCATCAATTACACAATTGACCTAGCACTCCATGCTTCTAAGAATGATCTGAAAGGACACTCTAGTTGTCACCATTTTATCGAGAAGTGACGTGCCTTGGGGAAGCTATGCTGGTTTATAAGGCAGAAGACTCAATTGCAGTTTTGATCCTGCCCTCTCTGGACCTGCCACCCCAACAATCATTTACTCTCTTTTGAACCTATCTTTGAACCCATAAAACAGGTGTTTCAATATCTGACTTTCTAGCCTCACAGAGATTTTGAGAAGACTACCCTCAAATTTAACAAGAGCATAAAGCTCTTTTGTAAATTGTGAAATACATGTTAGTTATTATTCATGCTATTATAATGAAGAAAAGGAATATTATTTCTTTGATCAGTGGATCTCAAACCTTAGTGCACCAGAATTCCCTGGTGGGCTTGTTAGGACTGGCCTGCATTTCCAGAGTTTCTGATTGCATAGATCTGGGGTGGGGCTGAGGAGGGGCACTTCTGATGAGTTTCCAGGTAATGTTGCTGCTGATTGGGTACTTTCTCTGAGACCCACAGACTGAGATGTAAACCTGGTACTGAGGAAAGCTCAAGGAGAGTTGCTAATCCAATGTAATAAATACATCATGTTGATATGGGGGGTCCAGAAAAAAAGAGCCCTGGAGAGATGTCAGAAAATGACTTTGTAGCTTTGTCTCTGATCCTATTAGCTCGGTGACCCTGGGGGAGCTCCAGAGGTCTCTTATCCTGTGTTCCTCTCTAAGATGGGAGGGATGAACACAGACAATTTTAAGAAAAACCCTTTCAGATCTAACACACCTTTAGTCAAGAAATTACCCAGCTCTCTAGTTCAAGTTGTCTGAATTCTCAACCAGAAGAATGCAGAGATCTATTTTTCTCAAAACTTTCCCATTGACTATTTTTCCCCTTTTTTGATGGAGTAGTAAGGGAAGAGGGGGCAGTTCTGGATTTTCTCTGTAAGACAAT
The DNA here is from genome assembly GCF_000001405.40 of Homo sapiens. Taxonomy (NCBI): domain Eukaryota; kingdom Metazoa; phylum Chordata; class Mammalia; order Primates; family Hominidae; genus Homo; species Homo sapiens. The sequence goes on along the minus strand of NC_000003.12, from coordinate 46,321,685 downwards.
TTAATTTCCATTCCTCTTTTCTTTGTAACTAGAATTTTACCTTCCTCTTTTGGTTTCTTACTTCTGAGTCTTGCCTTCTCTGAAATGTTTCAGTTCCCTCTCATGTATTTTTAGACCAACTTTCTATCTTTCAACAGATGTGGCAAGCATACTTTTTGCCTAGCTCTTTAGGGGACAGGACCCCAGAAGAAGACCCCCTTCTGGGAATAGACATGAGAAGGGTCCCCAAACTCCATCCTTTCAAGGCTTCTGGTTTTAAGTGCTGGTTTTGGGTTAATCTTATAAACGAGGATGGAATCTTCTTGTGAAGTCGTTAATTGGAGTAAAGGAAAAACCATTTCATTCCGTAATGTTCAGTCAATTTTGATTAAGATTTTTGGCCTCTTCTGGGACCTTGCTTTATTTTTCATTCTTTCCTTTGCCATTTTTTTTTTCTTTTGAGACGGAGTCTCTCTCTGTCGCCCAGGCTGGAGTGCAGTGGCGTGATCTCGGCTCACTGCAAGCTCCACCTTCCAGGTTCACACCATTCTCCTGCCTCAGCCTCCCGAGTAGCTGGGACTACAGGTGTCCACCACCACGCCCAGCGAGTTTTTTGTATTTTTAGTAGAGATAGGGTTTCACTGTTTTAGCCAGGATGGTCTCGATCTCCTGACCTCATGATCTGCCCGCCTCGGCCTCCCAAAGTGCTGGGATTACAGGCGTGAGCCACCACGCCCGGCCTCCTTTGCCATTTTTTAACACCTATACAAAACTAAAAGTATATTCAGCACACTCAATATATTATACCTGCCAGATACTTCTTATCCTCTATCTTTTCATTCTAATCTCTCAGAATTGCTGCCAACTAAGTTAATAAAATGGTCTCTTGCTTAGAAAACTTCTGAAGTTCTTTAACCTTGAGAACATATTACAAAGTCTTTCAGGCCGTGAAAGACTGAAAGCTTTGGCTCTAAGATTGGAACAAGACAAGGATGTCTACTTTCACCACTTCTATTCAACATGGTAGTGGAAGTCTTAGCCAGAACAATTAGGCAAGAAAAAGACATAAAAGGCATTGCAACGGGAAGGGGTGGAGTAAAATTATCTCTGTTTGTAGGTGACATGATCTTTTATGTAGAAAACCCTAATGATTCATAGAATAAGTCTGTTAGAACTAACATGAATTTGTTAAAGCTGCAGGATACAAAATCAACACACAAAAAATGAGTTGCATTTTTATGTACTAACAATGCACAATCCCCGCTACCACCAAATTAAGAAAACGATTCAATGTGCAATAGCATCAAAAAGTAGAAAATACTTAGAAGTATACCTAACCAGGTAGCAAAAACTTATACACTGAAAACTACAAAAGTAGCTCAAAGAAACAGAAAAAATAAATAAAAATAGCCTAGTTCATTGATTGGAAGATTTAATGTTGTTAAATGTCAATACTACCCAAAACAATCTACAGATTTAATGCAATCTGTTTAAAAATTTCAATGATTTTTTTTTTTTTTTTTTTTTTTTTTGCAGAAATAGAAAAATCCATCCTGAAATTCATATGGACTATCAAGGGACCTTGAATAATCAAAACAACCTTGAAAATGAACAAAGCTGGAGGTCTTACGATTCCTGACTTCAAAACTTACTACAAAGTTATGATGAGCAAAATGGTGGTACTAGAATAAAGAAAGACATAGGGACCAATAGAATAGAATAGAATAGAATAGAATAGAATAGAATAGAATAGAATAGAATAGAATAGAATAGAATAGAATAGAGAGCCCAGAAATAAACCCTCACATATATGGTCAAATTATGTTTTACAAGGGTGCCAAGACCATTCGATAGGAAAAGGACAGTCTTTTCAATGAATGGTGGTGGGGAAATTGGATATCCACATACAAAAAGTAAAATAAAATAAAAATTGGATTCTTATTTTATACGATGTACAAAAATTAACTCAAAATAGTCAAATACCTAAATACAAGAGCTGTAACTACAAAACTCTTAGAAGGAAGCATGGGAAAAAGCTTTATGACATTGGATTTGGCAACAGTTTCTTGGATAGGACACCAAAAGCACAGGCAACAAAAGAAACAAAAATAGATTAATTGGGCTTCATTCAAATTAAAAATTATTTTGTATCAAAGAACACTATCAACAGAGTAAAAAGGGCAATCCATGGAAAAGAAGAAAATATTTATAAATCATATCTGATAAGGGATTAGTATACAAGAGGTATAAAGAACACTTTCAAATCAAAAAGAATAACAAAAAGCAACTGGATTAAAAAATGAGCAAAGGACTTGCATAGACATTTCTCCAAAGAAGAAAATGGCCAATAAGCACTTGAAAGATGCTCAATATCACTGATCATTAGGGAAATATAAATCAAAACCACAATGAAATACCACTTCATACCCACTAGGATGACTATTATCTAAAAAGCAAAAAATGGCCTGGGTGCAGTGGTTCATACCTGTAATCCCAGCACTTTGGGAGGCTGAGGCGGGTGGATCACTTGAGGTCAGGAGTTCAAGACCAGCCTGACCAACATGGTGAAACCTCATCACTACTAAAAAAAATGCAAAAATTACCTGGGCGTGGTGGTGGGCACCTGTAATTCCATTTACTTGGGAGGCTGAGGGAGGAGAATCACTTGAACATGGGAGGCAGAGGTTGCAGTGAGCTGAGATCACCCTGCTGCACTCCAGCCTAGGTGACAGAGTGAGACTCTGTCTCAGAATAAATAAACAAATAAATAAGAAACAGAAAATAAAAAATGTTGGTAAGAATGTGGAGAAATTGGAACCTTTGTGCATTGCTGATGGAAATGTAAAATGATGTACACTGTGGAAAACAATGTAGCAGTTCCAAAAAAATTAAACATAAAATTACCATATGATCCATATAAACAATGAATTGAAAGCAGTACTCAACCAGATGTCTGTACACTCAGGTTCATAGCAGCATTTTTCACAATAGTCAAAAGATGGGAGGAACTCAACAGTCTGTTGATGGACAAATGAATAAAGATGTTATTTACAGATACAACAGAATATTATTCAGCCTTAAAAACAAAGAAAATTCTGACACATGCTAAAATGTGGTTGAGCCTTAGGAGGTTGTGCTAAGTCAACTAAACCAGTCATAATAGGGCAAATGCTGTGATTCCACTTATATAAGTTACCTAGAGTAGTCAAATTCATAGCGACAGAAAGTAGAATGGTGATTGCCAGGGCCTAGAAGGAGGGGGGGAGAGGAATAGTTAGTGACTAATGACAACAGAGGTTCAGTTTTGCAAGATGAAGAGTTCTGGAAGTAGACGGTAGTGATGGTTGCACAACAATGTGAATGTAGTTAATGCTACAGAATTGTACATTTAAAGTGGCTAAAATGGTGAATTTTATGTCATATATATTGTACTACGATTTAAAAAATCAGACCAAATTTGACCATGTTGTAAGTGGGTAGAGCTGGAAGGGATCTTTCTGGTTATGTGGTGCAACCCACCCATATTACAGCTGAAGAGACTGAATGAGGTCCTGAGACTGGCATGACTTGAGCAAGATGATGTAGCCACTAGCGACAGAGCCAAACCAGTCTTCTAATACACTACACTAAACTCTCATGTGGTTTCTTCAACTAGCCTTCTTGCATCTGACTCCATCACACCTCCTTGGTAAAAATACAAATGCCTAGACCCTATCTTATTTCAGAGAACCTGGGCATCCAGATGATTCTGATCAACACCAGCGTTCAAGAACCATTGCACTAATGGGTAACTTCAGATGCTTTAGGGGATGAGCTCTAGGCTGTAGGAACACGGCCAAGCAACTCATCCACTGGTCAGAAGCAAGGAGGTTCATTTTCATCCATTCCTTCAGTCATTCAACAAACATTGAGTGTTTACTATGTGCTAGGTGTGATTTTGAATACTGGTGGCATGAGTTTACAGAGATAAATCAGTCATAGGTTCTTCCCTCAAGAATTTCACAGTTTAATGGTGAAGAAAGATACTAAATTGATAATTGGAATAACGTGATCAGTACCTGAAGCTCACACTTTCAAAGAAATAAGACATCCACATTTATAATCCACCAAATCTTCAGGGAACAGCTATTCTGGGTCAGGTGGTAAGGTTACAGAAATGAATAGGACAGAGTCCCTGTCCCCTGGAAACTTCGAGGCTAGTGAATGAAAAGGAAATGTGAACAGGTTGGCTAATTATGGTTCCTTGGAGTCCTGGATGATAACTAAGAGAAGATAGGACTTTTCTGATTCATGGATGCTTGGAATTGATGCCTGGTGAATCACCATGGAAACAGGATTGATTCTCATTCATGAAGATAGTTCTAACAAATATTTTTAAGCACCTAATTAATATTTTTTCCAGCTCTGTCCCAGTTATGCTCTGTCCATGGTCATAATCCACATCCCACAGAAAATCAGATAGTCTGTTTTCACGTTGCTGATAAAGACATATTTGAGACTGAGCAATTTACAAAAGGAAGAGGTTTAATGAACTTAAAAGTTCCACATGGTTGGGGAGGCCTCACAATCATGGCGGAAGGTGAAAGGCATGTCTCACATGGTGGCAGACAAGAGAAGAGAGCTTGTGCAGGGAAGCTCCCCTTTATAAAACCATCAGATCTTGTGAGACTTATTCAGTATCGTGAAAACAGCATGGGAAAGACCTGCCCCCATGATTCAATTACCTCCCACTGGGTGCCTCCCACAACACATGGGAGTTCAAGATGAGATTTGGATGGGGACACAGCCAAACCATATCACCAGAGGAGGGGAGAGTTTTGATGTTTAATGATTTTAACAGGGTTCCATGTTCTTTTGACATTCCATGGCCTATAACACTACTGGTGTTGTCCCCAACCACTCCAGCTCCAATGTCATAATATTTCAAATCCATATGGGTCCTAAGTCCTGAATTACAAAGGCTTTATGCTCCACAGGAGGGAAATGTGCATCTTGCCTTTCCTAGAAGCCTGCAGCTCACTTCAAGTGGAAAGGAGTCATTCCTCTGACTTCTGTCTGCTTTAATGGTAAGGCCCAGAACTACATGGCCAAAATCTGGGTTGTGACAAAAGTTAGGTAGGACTCTGGGGTCTTCAGCTGTAAGTGCTGTTGTGATGAGCTTAGTAGTAAGGTCATCCACCTGAAGTAGCATGTGTTTCAATCTCAGCCTTTGATTTGTTTCAGCAAACATAACCAAATGAAAAGAGGAAGGTATTATTTCTAACTTCAGGAATGAGGAACCAGTGTATAACACACATTCAATAAAGCATTACCACCAAGCATTAGACATTTGTCATTTTTTATTTTTAAAAACAATGAAATCATTGTATTTGTGAGCACTAAGGATACTATTTCACACACTTTTCTTTTTACATCTGTAATTTTCCCTTGGCCCTATTCTGTACCAAATCCACAAGAATTTCCTCCTTCTTCTCCTATATAAAAATCCATTTTTTCTCTTGCATTTGCTCTAAAGTAATTCATGAAATTATCCAATGTGGTATCGGTTGTGGTGATGAGCTGGTAAGTGCTGAAGACTGAGGGAGGTGCTGTGAGGACTGACATATTGAGGCTCCCTGTCCTTAAGAAGGATGCTCTCTGGGGAAGGAGGTGAATTTAACAGACCTGGAGGGGCAACCAACAATCCTACATTACCTTATCTGTAGAACAATGAAGCTCTGATTTATGCATAAGACTGCATTGTACTTCATTTATGTTCATGAAGGATACTGATCTGTTGTTTTCCTACACTGTCTCTGTATGATTTTGGTATCAGGGTAATGCTAGTTTCATAGAATGAGTTGGAGAGTATCTCCTCCGCATCAATTTTATGAAAGACATTGTGGAGAATTATTACTGTTTCCTGTTTGATTGTCCAGTAGAATTTACCATTGAAGCCATCTGGGTCTAGAGTTTGCTTTGTGGGAAGACTTTTAACTATAATTTCAATTTTTTTTTTTTTTTTTTTTTTTGAGACGGAGTCTTGTTCTGTTGCCCAGGCTGAAGTGCAGTGGCGCGATCTCGGCTCACCACAACTTTGCCTCCCAGGTTCAAGCAATTCTCCTGCCTCAGTCTCCTGAGTAGATGGGATTACAGGCACGCACCACCAAGCCTGGCTAATTTTTGTACTTTTAGTAGAGACAGGGTTTCACCATGTTAGTCAGGCTGGTCTCAAACTCCTGACCTCGTGATCCGCCTTCCTAGCCCTCCCAAAGTGCTGGGATTAAAGGCTTGAGCCACTGCGCCTGGCCTCAATTTTGTAATAGCTATAAGACTATTCAATTTGTGAGTATTTTAGGTGAGCTTTGGTTGTTTGTGTCTTTCAAGAAATTTGTTTTATCTAAGTTGCCTAATTTATAGTCATAAAATTATTCAAAGTATGCCCTTATACTTTTTATATCTGTAGGATCTGTAGTGATATTGCCTCTCTCATTCTTAATACTGGTAATTTGTGTCTTCTCTCTTTTTTACTTGATCAATCTGGCTAGAGTTTTATCAATTTTATAGATCTGCTTAAAGAATCAGCTGTTTGGTTTGATTTTTTTCTTTTGTTTTCTATTCATTGATTTCTGCTCTTATCTTTATAATTTCCTTTCTTCTGTTTACTTTGGCTTTAGCTTATCCTGCTTTTTCTATTTTCTTAAAGTAAAAGCTGAGGTCATTGATTTGAAACCTTTTTCATTTTTTAAGATAGGAATTTGGTGCTATCAATTTTCCTATAAGCATTTCTTTAGTCTTATCCCACAAATAGATTTCAATTTGGAGTGAAGTAAAAGCAAAACAAATGCAGAAATATATTATCTTGGAAAATCCTTAGGACAAAAATGGGAGATAGATCATCTGCCATTAAGTACAACACAGTCATTCAGGACCTTTGAAGTTGGTTATGTGGTTGGGTTGCTAGTAGGGACTAGGGTACAGTCAAACCTCTGGTCACAAAGCTGAATGGTAACTGTGGTTTCTGAGAAAGGGCACCTTTTCATAATTTGCCTGAAAGGATCCTACAGCTGCTCTGTCAATGTTTGTTTTCATTATTGGAAAAGATCACTTCTGTTTTGTTTTTTGTTCAGCTTAAGAAGTGATTGGCTCACTTTGAGGAACCTTATAAGAAAAAAAACAGATATCTTTATGTTGAAGTTTTCTTATCAGATGAGGCTGGATAATAATCTGTGGCCTGTCAAATGTTGTAAATATTTTCTTGTAATCTACCTTGCTTAACAAGTTGCCTATATATTTTTTTCTAGGAAAGGTGAAAAAAAAACAAAGAAAGATTGCTTATATTTTTAACTTATTTTTATCATATTTGTCTTCATTTATTCATTTATTACTTCTGTGTTTTGCTTAGTAAGACCTTTTCTATTTCAAAGGAATAAAAATATTCTTCTTTTTTTTCTAGTAGTTTTAGAATTTTATTTTTTACATTTAAATATTTCATCTGTCTGGAATCTATTTTTTGCATATGATACAAAGTAGGAGTTTCACTTTATTTCTCACCAATGTATAACCAATTTTACCCAACACCATTTATTGAATAACCCATCTTTTCCCAACTGATTTGAAGGACCATCTTCATTATACGCAAAGCACCTATAAATATATGAGTTTCCTGTGACTATCTGTCTTATTTTGTTCACTTGCTTGCTCATTTCTGCCCTCATGTTAATTACTATTGCTTTATAATACATTGTGGTATCTGGAAGGATGAGATTTTATTCTCTTTCTTTTTCAAATATTGTTTGGTCCCTCACATTTTATTTTCCACGTAAACTTGGAATCACTTTGTCTAGTTTTTTAAAATCCTGTTGAATTGCATTGAGTTTATAATTTAACCTGAGGAGAATGAATATCTTTACGATAGCAGTCTTTCTATCCAGGAACATGGTAGGATGCTACATTTATTCAAGTCCTTTTTTATGTGATTCTGTTATTTAACTAATTAGATTTCATTCCCAACTTTGTGCTAATTGCCATTTCAATAAGGCACATCTTTAGCATCCTTATTCAAGTAACTTATAAATCATTGACTGGAAAATAGTTTGATATAATGCATTACAGCTTACTACTAAAGACTGTCTTTGAGAGTAAAATTAACTCATTAGTCAACTATCCTTGGATACTGCTGTTAAACTAGTCTTCATTTCTAATTTAGCCTAGCCATCCCACAGGATTCAATCCAATCCTATCCAGCCCAATTCAATCCAATTAAATGGACCTCTCATTACTTGAGTTCCACATGCTAAGGTATGTATAGGCAGCAGAGAGTCTGCCAAATATCTTGTTGTCAATCAGCTTCATCAGGCATTCCTGGAATTATCTATCAAGTAATTTTGTTGACAAAGGGAAATGTGGTTGGTGTGGCATGAACTGTTTTTAGTGGATATGTGCTGTCCTATAATGTAAGAATTGGTTGCTCTGCTGGAGGAGTATGGTGGCACTAGGCCAAGGGATTAAGCAACAACAAAACTAGGGATGGGCAAGTGTAGTAAAACTGGGAAGTTGTTGCCTAAGCATGCATGAGAAGAAGTTAACCAGAAGCTCATTGGCATTGTAGACAGACAGCAGGGAGATTCAGTCAGTGACTGGGGGTGGAAATGAACAAGCAATATTCAAGAAGTTCACAAACTTTGGACATTGAGTTTAGTAGAATGTGTAAGTGTTTGTTTCGTAAGTCTCTTACGGTCTAGCCAGAGGAAAAGGACATAAAAAATAAACAGGAACTTCCAGGAAGATAGAGTAGAAGTATTTTTCCATATTTCTCCTATTAAATATGACTAAATCCCTGATCTAAAACAAATAAGAAAACTCCAAAAGGTGGAGCAGATTAGCTAGAGACGTTGGGACCCAAGAAACCATACGGTAGTAACATCACTGGATTTTCTCTGTGTCTCACACATCCCAGACTGTGCTGGAGAAGCTAGGAACCTGGAAATACAACAGGTAAACACAAAAAAATACTTCCAACAAAAGTCTGCTCTTTCTAACCAAAGGGCTAGAAAGACAGAAAACTTTTGGACCTCAAATACTCCACTCTAGCCAAGCAGTACAGAGACAGCTATGGCCCCACACCCACCCATGCTGCTAAAGGCCCATTGGGAGCAAGACTTCCACCCTCGACAGGCTATATTGAGGCCTTCAAATCTCTCTTCACTCCTGTAGCAGGCTGGTATCAGCGAAGGCCAGGTAGGGAGCTGGGGCTTTCATCCCTATCAGGCAGTAATGTGGCCCGCTTCCTCCTCCCTGTAGCATCAGTGGGACAATGTGGCAAGTCTGGACTTCAGCTCCCACCTACCAGTAACAAAGCTTCCTTCCCACTCCCTACTCGGGTTGTTTTAGAGCAGGAGGGCTAGTGGAGAGGCAGGACATTTGCCACCACCCAAAAGTAATGTAGTATCAGTGGAGGCTTCATGGGAATAGTAGCAAGCCACCAGGACAGTATTAGCAGAAACTTAGTGGGGGGACTCCCACCCTCACCAGCAGTAACAGGAGCCTCTCCCCACTTTGGGTATCAATGGAGACCAAGTGGATAATGGACTTCTACCCCTACCTGGCAGTAATGAGGCAGTGCCACCCCTTTCCCTGCCAGAGCAGTGTCAAAGGAAACGAGCTAAAATAGAGGTTTTAAATAAGAAATAGAAAATATAAAGAACTACATGGAAATTATAGAAAATACATTTAAAAACTTGCCGAATGGTCCTTTAAGCCAGAAGTTACTATGGGTCACGAACAATCTTGAGACTTTATTCCCTCTTTTTGAGACTTTATTCCCTCAAAGTTGCCCCCAAAGTTAAAGCCACAGCTACCCCCATAGGAGTGGCTCCACATCATCAGGACCTTGAGATCATCAAATTTCCAAATGGTTTTATGATTTCTCCTTTGGAAAACTATGCCCTGCATCAAGAATTGGTTTGTTCATTAAAGCAGGCAGTAGCTATGAGGACTCCAACAATTTAGTAACTTCTCATTTGCTGTGTCTTGCATCCAGTTTGACTACGAAAGGAGCTTCATTTTTCAAGATAGCCCATGACATTGAAGCAGCTGGTGGTAAATTAAGTGTAATTGCAACAAGAGAAAACATAGCTTACATCATGGAATGTCTGCAGAGTGATATTGATATTCTAATGGAGTTCCTGCTCAGTGTCGCCACAGCACCAGGATTTGGTCATTGGGAAGTAGATGCCTTCAGTCTCAGCTAAGGATAGACAGATCTGTGAATTTTCAGAATCCACAGGCACATGTCATTGAAAATTTGCATACTGAAGCTTATTGGGATGCCTTGGCTAATTCCTTGTATTGTCCTGGCTATAGGATTGGAAAAGTGACATGGGAAGAGTTACATTACTATGTTTAGAACCACTTCACAAGTGCAAGAATGGCTTGGTTGGACTTGGTGTGAGTCACCCTGTTCTAAAGCAAGTTGCTGAATAGTTTCTCAACAGGAGGGGTGGGTTTCTTTTGTCTGGTACAAAAGCCAAATACTCTGGAGGTGAAATTCAGGAACAAAATGGAGACAGTCTTGTCCATGCTTGCTCTTGTAGCAGAAAGTGCTGCCACAAGAAGGGCACAGCAAATGCATTTAGTGTTTTTCAGCATATCAAGAGGGACACCATATGTCAAGGGGCACAGTGATGCCACCAGCTATCTATAGCAGGCTATTGCCAAGGCAATTCACCAGCCACTTGCTATTTCTGTTTTTAATGCTAGTTACTCCAATTTTGGACTCTTCAGGATGTACATTGTCTTCCAGGCTGCAGCTGCTGGAGATGTTATCAAGGCTACCTATAACCAAGTGGAAATAATTGCTCAAGAAAAGCTTTTCAATGTCCAGGCTGCCAAGAACAAACTGAAAGCTGGATACCAAATATAAGTGAAGTCTTCCGAGGGTTTCATAGAAGAAGTCAGGCCCCAGGCTGTAGTTACTGGTTCTTACAAGCCAATATCACCAGTCCTTCAGTAGATTAGTTGGTTGGCTAGTGCTGTCATCATCAATTCTGCAAAGAAGTTTGCTTCTGGCTAGAAACAAACTTCTACTTGTTAATGGCAACAATTGGAACATACACCTTTGGTTGATGAGTTGTAATACAGAAGCACATATTATAGGAAAGGGCTGAACATTCTCTCAGCCCAGAGCCTCAAACACATGAAAGCCAGAAGTATCTAACATTTATCTTTGTGTGTTTTGTTTTTTTTTTTTTTTACAATGAGGTAAAATGCCTTAAAGCATAAATGTAGGCAATTATTCCCAGCTTACCTAAAGTCAATAAAACATTTTGCTTAAATGTTAGAAGAAAACTGACTGGATGGGTTCAAGAGCAGAATGGAGGAGACAGAGAAAAGAATCAGTGAACTGGAAGAATGAACAATAGAAATGACCTAATCTGAACAACAGACAGAAAATTTAAAAAAAAAATTATGGCCAGGCGTGGTGGCCCGCGCCTGTAATCCCAGCACTTTGGGAGGCCAAGGCGGGCAGATCACTCAGGGCCAGGAATTTGAGACCAGCCTGACCAACGTGGTGAAACCCATCTCTACTAAAAACACAAAAATTAGCCAGGCATGGTGGTGTGTGCCTGTATTCCCAGCTACTCAGGAGGCTGAAGCAGGAGAATCACTTGAACCCAGGAAGTGGAGGTTGCAGTGAGCCTAGATCGTGCCACTGCATTCCAGCCTGGGCGACAGAACAAGACTCTGTTTCAAAAATAACTAACTAACTAACTAAATAAATAATAAAAAAAATGAACAGAGCCTCAGGAGCCTGTGGAATTACAACAAAAGATCTAAAATTTATGTTATGAGTCCCACAAGGAGAAAAAAAAGAAAATGAGGCTAAAAAGATATTTAGAGTAATAATGGGTAAAAACTTTATAAATTTGGCAAAAGACATAAGCTTACAAATTAAAGAAGCTGAGTGTATCCCAAACAAGATAAACCCAAAGAAATCCACACCAAGACATATTATAATCAAACCTCTGAAAACTAAAGATAGAGAACAAAAAAATATTGAAAGCCAGAGAGAAACACAGTAGAGGACAAGCAGCTTAAATGACAGTGAATTTTTCATTGGAAATCATAAGGCCCAAAGTTAGTGGCACAACATTTTTTAATTGCTGCAAGAAAAGAACCATCAATCTAGAATCCTATATCCAGTGAAAATATCCTTCAAGAATGCAAGGAAAATCAAGACATTATCAGATGAAGAGAAAGAAAGGATTTGTCACTAGCAAATAAGACTATCATAAGAGAATGTCTAAAGGGAGTTCTCTGAACCAAAGGGAAGTGACAAAACATGAAGAAGGAGGCAAGAACAGCAAAAAGACTAAAATTATAGGTAAGTGCAGTACATTTTCTTCCAGCTCATGAGCTTTCTAAATTGTATTTGCTGGTTGAAACAAAAATTGTAACACTGATAGTCTGAAATGTGTGTAGAGGAAATATTGAAGACAGTATATAGGCTAGAAGGATAGGGAGATAAGGCTTCTGTACATCCTTTGAATGGGTGAAAGTTGGTACCAGTAGACTGTGATAATTAATGTATTTGTCACATAATACCCAGAGCAACAACTTAAAAGGTAAAAAAACATGGATAAATCAAAATGGAATTCTAAAAAAATGCTCTAATATCCGACAGAAAGGCAGAAGAAAAACAGAAATGAAAAACAGAGAGAACAAACAGGAATTAAAAATAAATGGCAGACATAAGCCCTAATATGTCAATAATTACTTTAAATGTAAATGATCTAAGTGCACCTATTTAAAAACAAAGATTGGTAGTATGGATTTTAAAATGTGACTCAGCTATATGCTGTCTACAAGAATCTCACTTCAAAATAATGATATATGTAGATCAAAAATAAAAGGATGGAAAAAGATATATCATGCAAATATTACTCAAAAAATAGGTGTGGGGGCATTAAAGAAAAAAAAAACAAAAGAAATAGTGGTGCCTGTCTCAATATCACATAAAGAAGACTTCAGAGCAAAGAAAAATAACAGGGGCAGAGAGGGACATTACAAATGGATAAAAATGTCACTCTCCCAAGAAGACATAGAAATCTTAAATGTGTGTGCACCAAACATTAAAGTTGTGAAATATGTGAAGAAAACATGGAAAAAAAATAAAAGGAGTAAGAGATAAATCAACAACTATAGCTGGAGACTTCAAAATCCTTCTCTCAACTACTGATAAAACAATTAGATAAAAAAATTATAAGATTATAGAACTTAATAACATCATCAACCAACAGGATCTCATTGACGTTTAAAGAACATTTCAGCAAAATGACAGTAGAATACATATTCTTTATAAGCATCCACAGGTTATTTACCCAGGTTGATTATGTTCTAGGCAATAAAACAAGCCTCAACTCTTTGAAAGAGTTAAAATAACACAGGGTGTGTTCTCAGATAACAATGGAATCAAAATAAAAATCAATAATAAAAAGATAACAGTTTGGACACAGTGGCTCACACCTGTAATCCCAGCACTCTGGGAGGCCGAGACAGGTAGATCACTTGAGGTCAGGAGTTCAAGACCAGCCTGACTAACATGGTGAAAACCCCATCTCTGCCAAAACCCACAAAAATCAGCCGGGCATGGTGGTGCGTGCCTGTAGTCCCAGCTACTTAGGAAGCTGAAGCAGGAGAATCACTTGAATCCAGGAGGTGGAGGTTGCAGTAAGCCAAGATTGTGCCACTGCACTCCAGCCTGGGTGACAGAATGAGACTCTGTCCCCCTCCCTCCACCCAAAAAAGAAAACAGAAATATCAACAAACATTTGGAAACTACACGGTACACTTATAAATAATCTATGCACCAAAAAGAAAGTCTTAAGGGAAATTTAAAAATACAATGAACTGAATTAAAAAGAAAATATGGCTGGGTGCAGTGGCTCACGCCTGTAATCCCAGCACTTTGGGAGGCCAAGGAGGGTGGATCACGAGGTCAGGAGATCAAACCATCCTGGCTAACATGGTGAAACCCCATCTCTACTAAAAAATACAAAAAATTAGCCGGGCGTGGTGGCGGGCACCTGTAGTCCCAGCTACTCGGGAGGCTGAGGCAGGAGAATGGCGTGAACCTGGGAGGAGGAGCTTGCAGTGAACTGAGATCATGCCACTGCAGCCTGGGTGACAGAGTGAGATTCCGTCTCAAAAAAAAAAAAAAAAAAAAAAAAAGAAAATACAACATACCCAAATCTGTGAGACACTGCTAAAGCAATGCTGAGAGAGAAATTTATAGCACTAAATGTGTATATTGGGAAAGAGGAAAAAATCTCCTATCAGTTATTTTGCTCCCTCAAGAAGCTGGGAAAAGAAGAGCTAAATAAACTCAAAGCAAGAAAAACAAGAAAATAATAAAAATAAGAGCAGAAATCAATGAAGCTGAAAAGAGAAAAATGACGAAGAAAATCAGGAAAATACGAGCTTGTTCTTCTAAAAGATTACTAACATTGACAGCCTCTAGTAAGACTGACAAAGAGAAAAAGCAAGAAGACACAAATTACCAATATCAGGAATTAAACAAGGGGTATCATTACAGACCCCAAAGAAATCAAAAGGAAAATAAGGGAACACTATGGACAACTCTACACATATAAATTTCACAACTTCAATGAAATGGACCAATTCTTTGAAAAACACAAACTACCTTAACTCACCCCGTGTGACACAGAAAATTTTAATATTCTCTCTAACTATTAAGGAAATGGAATCCATAATTCTTGAAATTCCCAAAAAAGGAATCTCCAGGTCTATATGGTTTCACTGGGGGAAACCAGTGCTATGTAATCTCTCCAAGAAAATAGAAAAGGAAGGAATACTTGTAATTTTTTATATCTAGAATTACCTTGACACCAAAACCAGAGAAAGTCAGTACAATAATAGAGAACTATAGACAAGCAAATAAAGATCAGTTATGGCTGGGCACCATGGCTCATACTTATAAACCCAGGACTTTGGGAGTCTGAGGCAGGTGGATCACTTGAGGCCAGGAGTTCGAGACCAGCCTGGCCAACATGGCAAAACCCCATCTCTACTAAAACTGTAAAAATTAGCTGGGCTTGGTGGCATGTGCCTGTAATCTCAGCTACTGGGGAGGCTGACACACAAGAATCACTTGAACTGGGGAGAGGGAGGCTGCAGTGAGCCAAGATCGTGCCACTGTACTCCAGCTTGGGCGAGACTTTGTCTCAAAAAAATTGTTTTTTAAAAGATCAGGTGTGCTTCTATATACTAGCAGCGAACATATAGACACCCCAATTTAAAATATACCACCTCTCTGCAGCTGTAGAGGGCAGACAAAATTCTAAACCATAAAGGTAATTAAAAAGTCAATTCCAATAATGTATTAAGCAGAGAACATTCACAAGAATATTGGTCCTACATTTTTGTCTGGTAAAGACTGGATGAGAAAATTTTGCTAATTGTGACCACCTTTTTCTTTTATCATAAAAAATCATTCTTGCAGTGTGTTTTTAACAGAGATTTTCAAGATACCTAGACTTTAGATATAACTATAATTACTATGAAATATCACTTTAAGTATCAAAAGTCTGATTTGCTAAATTGGTTCTGTTACTTTATAATTTATTGTACTTGGTACTAAAATTTAAATTTTTTTTTTTATTTCTGAAGGTATAGACACTTGTAATTAAAAGGGCATTATGATTTATTAGCTATAGGATATAAATAAGCAACGCATGTAGATTTCTTATCTTAAAATATTGCTTATGATTGATTATTGTCTTATTATCTTAACTCAGGATGTTTTGTTATGTGAAACAATAACTCCCCTTTTTGTTTAATCTATTAATTTTGGTTAGCTTTTGTGATAGTTGTGTCCAGAATCATCCTGATTCAGATTTACTCCAGATGAAATTAATGATGAATTAATTGAAAAAAGACTTTAAAATTACTGTATTTTGTTATTCTGGAGAAACAAATGAAGGAATTACTTGATACTAAAATAGAGCAATGACTACAAAATAATATGGGAAGAAATGACACAAAAAGAAGGAGTATATGAAAAAGAACAAATCAAAAATAGTAAAATCTTAGAAATTAAGATTATTGTCATCAAAATGGAAAATAATGCTCTCCAAACTACACACAAAGAAAATCCATGAATTGGAAATTAATATGGAGAAACCCACCCAGGACATAGCTCAAAGGAGCAAAGATATTTTATGTGGGAGAACTAATAAGAGACTAGAGAATAGATTGAGAGACTGACATTTGCGTGGTGTTTCAAAAAATAAGAGAGAAGGGGATCAGTGAAAACTAACATCGGAAAAATTAATAACTAATAATTATTCTAGAATTGGAGGACATGAATGTTCTATTCAACATATGCCTAGATATATTATTGTGAAATTGTAGCACATTAATGATGTAGAGAATCCCTTGAAAGACATCATCGAGAAAAGATTGGTTTTATGCCAGATGACAAGGTGTTCAAGGAAAATGACTATCAACATAGAATTTTACACCCTGCTAAATTGTTATTCAAGAGTGAAGACAAATGAAAGACATCTTAAGACATACAAGGATTAAGGGATTTTACTCTTTACAGGCACTCATTAAAAGAACTATTTTTAAAATGTGCTTCCACAAGAAGAAAAGTGAACCTAGAAGAAAATCATGACATACAAGAAATGGCTGTAAGGACAGAAACTGATAAAAATAGATTGGTAAATTTAACTGCTGATGGAAGAAAACTTACGTTGTTTAGAAATGTAAAAGAAAACCACCTAAACAAAATCCCCTAAACCTCAGGGCAGCAATGACTAGATAGTAGGGAGGTAATGCTCATTGAGCAAAGTGTGCAAAAATTTATGTCGCGTTGAGAAGAAAAATAGAAATATTGAAAAACTTTAGAATCTGTTAGAAAAACCTGTAATTCAAGATGGATGTTTTTTAAAACAAAGAAAAATAAGAGTAACTTCAAAGAGAATTGACTACACTGTATAAATTCCAGGGGGAAAAGCAGACTAAAGACAAGGGAAGAGATTTAAGAAAGGAAAAAGTTGGTCAACAGAAAACAAAACAGATTAGCTAAAGCGAGTCTGATTATATCCGTAATCAAAAAAAAGTTAAAAAGTAATGGAATAACATAATTTCTTAAGGATGTAGACTTTCAGACACTGCTTATACAAGAGCTCCTATAACAAAAGCACATAGGAAGACTGAAAATAAAGGGATGGAGAGGTATTCTAGAAAAAAAATTCACCAAAATCATGCTGAAGAGTAACATCAAATAGAATTTAAGGCAAAAGGTTTAATTTGAGAAAGAGAAAAACTACATAACATTAAAGAAACAATCTGCCAAGAAGGTAATTTTCATTTTGTTAATATAACAAGAAGAAATACAAAATTCTCAGCATTATAAAATGTTAAATACTGACTTTTCAAAAATTTTACAAATAAAATATTTTCCAATTTTTACATCAGAAATGAGGTTGCTCCCACAGACATAAGGCTTTATCATATTTTACACTTAAAATTGCTAAGCACATTTCAAATCAAGATTTTTCCTGTTAATAATTTCAAATTCGTGATAATCGTGATCAATGAGAAGCTTTATTCAAATAAGTAAGTGACAAAAATGAAAGCAAAATGTTTAGAATCATTCAAAAGTTTGCAACAGTTGAAATGATATTTGAAGGATCTAATAGTTGTCTTTCATTAGAAAATATAATGTTGAAATATCTTGAAATTTGAAATACAGACAAATATCAAAGGTATCAAATGTTTCACATGTAGGGTTTTTAACATGATGCAGTGCTACTTCACAAATCATGCATATATTGTTAGAATGGTCACCCTGCAAATGGTCGGGATGCCACTAAAAGGGCACAACAGCCACAATGGAGGGAAGTGACCAAAATATGTAAAACAGAGAATGGGTGCTGCCGCCAGGAGCTATATCTTCCAGGAGCCCTGACTGAGCCTCCCTAGCCCCCAACTCTACTGGAGACCTGGGCTGTGCTCCGGGTTCCTGGACACCTGTAACATGGACAAACTCCTCCTGCGATTTGACAGACCCCTTGTTCTGGATTGGCAGTCAAGGGCTCTGTAACTGGCTGGTGATGTGGATGTCATCCCTGGGCTTAGCACATACCATAGAGCAGCAAAGGCTGAATAAGCCTCTTGTGCCTGCCACCCGGGGTGAGCTTCCTGAGCCAGGGCTGCCCTCTGAGGAACCCCAGACTATGGCGCTCATGATAAGGCATTGCCCAGCTGTCCTAGGGCTGAATAAATCAATACGCTACAACATACTCATAGCCCATTCATGGCCTGCCAGCTCAGATGTTATGAAACAGAGAAGACACAGAACTTACAGAAAAGCTGACCATGTGTACATTTATACTAGACTTATTAGCAAGTTTGCAAGTAACTGTATCATACAGACCACACTTTCTGACCAGTTTATTAGATTAAAAATCACCTTCATATAGATTGCAAAAAGCAGAAGAACATGTGTTTGGAAGCTAAAAATAAGTTTCTGGCCAGGTGTGGTGGCTCACACCTGTAATTCCAGCATTTTGGGAGGGCGAGGCAGGTGGATCACTTGAGGTCAGGAGCTGGAGACCAGCCTGGGCAACATGGTGAAACCCTGTCTCTACTAAAAATACAAAAATTAGCTGGGTGTGGTGGTGGGTGCCTGTAATCCCAGCTACTCGGGAGGCTGAGGCAGGAGAATCACTTCAACCTGGGAGGTGCAGGTTGCAGTGAGCCAAGATCACACTACCACACTCCAGCCTGGGCGACAGAGCGAGACTCCATCTCAAAAATAATAATAATAATAAAATAAAATAATAAGTAAATTTCTAAAGGACTTATGAGTTAAAATGAAAGCAGAACAAAAGTTACAAAATATTTAAAACTAAATGAAAATGAAAACATGGATCCATAGTTTGCCATTTACTCTTCTGAAATCTAAGATTCTGAAAACTGCAACTTCTTTTCATAACTCTGTGAGTAGCCTAATCTGAGGCTATTCAGTCTTAATTAACTCACCTTTAACAAGAGTGATGAAAAGAAATGAGAAAAGGTACAAATAAGTAATATTAAAGCAACAACAAAAGATAGCTAAATGGGATAGAGGGTAGGCCTCAGGAGAGAACAGAGGGAGTAACTTTACGCCAATTCATTTGGAAATTTGGATGAAATGAATAACTTTCTAGAAGATTATGCATTTCCAAAATCAACTCATGAGAAATAGAAAAACTGAATAAACTTTTAAAGAAATCGCATTATCTCAGTTTCCTCTCTTTCCCAGCAGATTTCCAGAATAGGAAATATAAATAACCAATAAACATGAAAATAAGCTCAACTTTCATTATAATCAATAAAATGTAGATTGAACCTGTGTTGGGTTCACATTTCCCACACATCTGATTAGTAAAAATTAAAATATGTGATAAAGCCAAGTATTGGAGAGAACGTGACAAAAGCTACCATCTCCCACGATGTGGGTAGAAATTTAAATTACAAACCCATTTGTAAGAAATTTGGCATATCTATAAAATGTAGAGATGCCCTGATCAGCGCTTCTATTTTTAGGTATACATCCGGCCTAGAGAAATTTCTATACATGGGCACAAAGAAACAACAAGGGTGCCGGGCTCGGTGGCTCACGCTTGTAATCCCAGCACTTTGGGAGGCTGAGGTGGGTGGATCACCTGAGGTCAGGAGTTCAAGACCAGCCTGGCCAACATGGTGAAACCTTGTCTCTACTAAAAATACAAAAATTGTCCGGGCGTGGTGGCACACGCCTGTAATTCCAGCTACTTGGGAGGCTGAGGCAGGGAGAATTGCTTGAACCCGGGAGGCAGAGGTTGCAGTGAGCCAAGATCTTGCCATTGCACTCTAGCCTGGGCAACAAGAGTGAAACTCCCTCTAAAAAAAAAAAAAAAAAAAGAAAGAGAGAAAGAAAGAAACAGCAAGAGAGCCAGGGTGTGGCTGGAGCAGAGGAAGTGAGGGGGAGTGTGGTGGTGGGACCCAAGGCAGAGCAGGGGGTTGGGAGCCAGGTCTTGTGGGGCCTAGCAGGCCATGGGAAGGGCTTTTCCCTTTACTGGGAACCAGCTGGGGAGCTAGTAGAGGGCTCTGGGTAGTGGAGGGATGGATGTTTTAACAGGATCTCTGGCTGCTGCACTGAGCATAGCCTATTACAGGAAGGGCAGAGGAGGGAAGCAAGCCCCACCTGTGATGGTGGCTTGGACGAGGACAGTAGCAGTCGCGATGGTGTTAAGTGGTCAGGTCGTAGACGTAGCCCCAGGCCACACTATTGATGCTAAGCACATGGGTGGCACCAGCCTCACTGCCACAAACAGTCTAGTTGCGAAGGTTCCAAATTTCCAAACAGCAAACAAGTCATCTCTTCTAGTTTGTACTTATTGGAAACCAGCTTCTCCTTTTCAGGCAAGTTTCTTTCCTGTTCCTTGTTGGAGAGAGGAGGACACTGCTATTTCTGCTTCTGTAATTTTGAGTGTTTGGGAAGAATTTCTAAAAGTAAAGGGTGCTTGACGGATCCTAGTCACAGCAAGCATGGAGGTATCATGAAAGGCAGTAGGAAAGCAAACCCCGAACCAGAACAGCAAAATCCCTAAGGATCCCCACCCCCACAAAAAAAGCATTTTCAGAAACAAGCAATGAAATTAAACAAAATAATAATAATTTGAGTTTGAATCTGGCTCCAGAAAAAAGGGATTATCCTGTAATTGGTGCTTCTTTGTAAGAGGGAATCTGTTCCTTCGTGTCATTCTGTGAAAGGGAGATTCTCATTTTGCTCTGTCTAGGCACCAAGCCATTGACTCTAAAGGGTTGATTGGATATCCTGAGTTTGGAAGTTTATGAAGAAAATAAGAAAATTAGTTGAAAAGACTCGAAGTCATTCTTTGAAATGTACAGGTTGCCAACAGTTAATTTGAACATACATCTATCAAAGAACAAGTATCAAAAGCAAGCCAGCTAGGTGATTCTGTCACTTATAACCTCAGCCTGTTGCTGGCCTTGGAAGATTAGGAACATTCACCACCCCGTCCCCTCGGGCTGGTCTGAGCATGGATTGATGAGCAGAGCACCAGATGGACTTAGTTCTGCACCTATCCCACTGGCAAGAGTGCCAGTGCAACTGTTTAGGGCAACCTGCACAACCAGCCATACCCACCCCTCCTCATCCACATCTTGGTAAAACCCATAGCTAAGACCAAAGAAAGATCTCTTCGTTTTGGTTCAGTCTGGTTCCTCTTTTTTAATCCTTGTAATATTCATGTTTTTTTTTTTTTTTTTTTTTGTCGTCTGCTGTCCTTTTTGCATCCCACACAGGCCATGCTAATCCACCCTGACACAGGCTAGACTTGCCACTTCCTTTTATTAAGGCTGACACACTAACTGCCAAGAGTATCTCTCTTTTTGCAGTTTTACAAAGCTCAGACTTTAAAGTAGGTGATTTTCACAACTCTGTGCAATGTTCTAGCTGTTTTTCCCTTGTTGGATACTTGGCAGATCTACTTCAATATAAGAACTTATGAGCTGTCTTTTTCTTTTGTTATGTCTCTACAAGATGTCTCCTTCCTCTCCTCTCTTTTCCTTTCTTGTTAAAGCCTTGGATGTTCTAATTTTGAGGTGGCAGTGGTTTAGGTTTACCTGGTTTGTGGTGAGTGAAAAAAGCTCTTAGTCATCATAACGATGGAATTTAAGGCTTGACCATGGATGTCGGGGATTGATAATTCGGTTTGGGATTCCACAAAATGACACTGTAGATGCTAACTCCACTGGCCAGGGCTGCATTGCTTTTAATTTTCTATGCAGGTCTTGTATGACTGCCTTTGAATCTACTTTCTCAGTTACTTTTCTCTTTGACTTAGACAAGTTCCATTTTTAAATCATGACTGCTTGAAGTTAGGGGGCCTGAGATTCAGTCCCTTCTCTGCCAGTAAATGAGACACTGGTTCTGAAATGCTATCCCTCAGGACCTTGGTTTCCCCAAAAGTAAAGAGGGAAGATCAGGCTCTATTCCAGCTCTAACAGCCTGCATAATTTGGGAAGTTGTCTTTTACTATGTGCACTGTGCACTAAGGAAAGAAAAGAAGGGGGAGCCATCACCCTGGATGTGTTTTCCTCTGATGTCTCGTTTGCCTGTTTCATTATGATTCTAAGAAAATGGAGTGAAAGACGGACGAGGCTACAGAAATGATGTGTCTCTCTCATTTAAAAGTTTTTTTTTTTTTTTTACCTCTTTCTGTGCCCTCCCTGACAGTGGTTCTCTAACTTGTCCTTGTTAAAGCAAGGATTGACAAGGCCACCAAGAGAGTTTCTGGTTTAGTAGCTCTGGGGTAGGTTGGGGCCAAGACTGCACTTCTGACATCATGTGGCTGAGACTGCTGGTCTGGGGATCACACTTTGAGAACCACTGTTCTATGGAACTAGTCTCAAAGCCACAGTCTCCTAAATTCCACAGTCTCAACTTGATCTCTTTCTCCAGCACCTGACTGGCTGGTGTTCCTAGCATAGGAGACCCCATTGAATCGGCACCTCACTTTCATCCATTTGGTTTGGGCAAGAGCACCTATACTCAGACTAAGTGTCTCAGCCTCTAAACCACATTAAGCGGCCCAGGTAGAGGCACCGAACTCCATCTGGGCCAATGAGCGGCTTCCAGGGTGACCTGGAGTGGAGACAAACAGATTTCAGCCTCTCAGATTTCACCCTTTACGATAGAAACCCTCAGCTGGTGGAAGTAAGACATAAAGAAAGCTTATTCGCAGCCACAGGAAGAGAGAGGCAGAGGTTAAAAGATAAGTTGAGATGAGAGAAGCAGAAGGAGATCCTTGTTGCCCCAGTCTCCCATCTCTGTCAGCCGCCCTTTTTTGAGGCCCTGCTGCACCTGTCTTTGAATTCCATGAAGAGCTCCTGTACCCTTAAAATAAATTCCTCTGTTGGCTTAACCCAGAGGTTTTCAGGTTTTCATGTGCCTCAGCTCCCTTCATTAATATACACTGCTGGATGCCGCACCCAGAATTTCTGATTCAGCAGGTCTGGGTTGGGGTTGGGGCCTGAGATTCTGCATTCCTAGCAGGCTCGCAGGTAATGGGATGCTGCTGATCAGGGATCTGACTTTGAGAACCAGTGGCTGCAGAAGTAGCCTTAATATTTCTGCTTGTATAATAAAAACTAGGGTGTCAACGGAGCCTCCTGCTCCTCGAAGAGTTCATGTAGTAGTTTAATATTTCCACTATTCAGTCCCCACAATGACCCCTGGGGCAGAGGGGGGTGTTGCAATTCCTGATTTACAGATAAGAAAACCATGGCTGTTGGAGGTTAAGTTACCTGCTGACATCCCTCTCTTAGAGAGGGCAGAGCTGCGAGTTGAGCACAGCACTGTCTGACTTGGAAGCTCATGTTCTTAACTTGTGCTCTGTTTCACTTCCCATTGTGGCCAAACTGGATCTGTGTTGCCATCTGGACATGGCCCATGCTGAGCCCTCTGCGCTTTTGCTTAGGCCGGTCCTGCCTGGAGTGCTGTCTGCCATGGGCTCTACCCAGCCATCCTTCAGAGGCCTGTCAAAGTCTCCCTCCCATGTGCAGCATCTCCAGATTTCCTAATCTCTCTCCACTTCCTATCAAAACATTTATAACGTCTTCCTCCTTTGAGTAGCCATCACACTTTGTATTTATCTTACTATCTGTTGTCTTGTCTCGGAGTCACGTGTTTTCCCAGTTCCATGCACTGGGCTGTGAGATTCTAGAAGGTGGGAACTGATCTTACTCATGTTTGGATCACCCATTCCCTCCACTCCCAGCACCTGGCTCAGTGCCTCAAACACACCCAGCACTCAGCAGATGCCAGTGAGGTTTAACTAGAAAAAAAGAGTGGTTTGTTCTTTGGTGCAGGCTGTGGCTTAGGGAGATCACCCTGCTGGATGCTTATCAGGAGCGCTCTAGGGCCGTGGGAGGAAGGGAAGGGGAGGAGAGGATGTGGGAAAAGAGAGGGGGAGGCCACGCAGTCTCAAAACCTCAGCCTACCCCACATGGCACTCTGGGGCTAGGATGGGCCTGCAAAATTATGCAGGGATGAGGCAATGGATGAGGGCCGCCCTTGCCCCTGGACAGGGGCATGACTTTGGGCAAGGTGACTCTTTTCAGCCAACATGATTCCCAAAGAAGGCTGAGAGCTTGGGGTATGTTAGCAGAACTCCAAGCACTGGGAAGATGAGCCCTTCAGTGCCAGAGGGGAGTCTAGGGATGCCACATAATGACCACTGCATCCCTTTAAATGACCATCTTCATCTATTTGACCCTGGTGCTCCCCTTCTGCTGCCTGTTTTCTGCACCTTATACTCAACCCAGGGATTTAGGGTGGCCTCTCTGGTGTGGCAGATTACCCAAAACCCATCTCTCCTCCTTTCTCTGGCCATGATTGTACTCAAGACAGCCTCCTTTGCAGCTAGGGGTGGCCAGGTGCACAGTCCTGGCCAATGAGACCTAAGTAGAAGTCTGCTGAGGATTCCTGGGAAATTTTCCCTTCCTGATATTGTTGTTGTCCCTTCCTCCTCCTAGTTTTTTTCTTCCTGCTTGGAATGCCATCTGGAGCCCATGTGGCAGCCACAGCATGAAAGCCTCATTTCAAAGAGATGGATGCAGCTGCTGGGGTTTGTGTGTGAGTTAGCAAGGCCATATTCAGTTGAGTTCCTGTGGCTGGGGTTCTACTGTATGTGGGGATGGCGGGTGGAAATGGGGGCTGTGACAGATGCAATATACTGGAATGCCACCCACCCCTGTTGCTATGGCTATTGGGGCATTGTTCCTATATACCTGGTTATTTAGAAGCTGGAGCTGTCAGTCATAGATTATAGGTCTTGGATTTGGGGAGTTGATGAAGAGTTTTGGAGAGTAAGGAAGGGGCACTATAGGGTGGGTGTGGAGAAGGCAAGCCAGCAAGAAACAAGCATAAGAAGAGGAAATGATTAGGTCAAATCACTGCTGTCCAATAATGGTCACTTCCTACCAATTCCCAGTGTTGTGCGCACAGCCAAGTCTTTCATGGGCCTTACTCAAGACTAGGGAGGGGGCATGGGAGAGCTTAGGCTCTGAATCTTGTATTCCTCACTGATAAGCTGTGTGAGCTTGGGCAAGGCAGTTAGCCTCTCAGTTTTCATTTGAAAAAAGATGCAATGTGACATACAAATAAGAGATATGCCATGAAAAACACTGAAAATAAATAGATGAGAAATGGAAGAAAACAAGTGGACACCAGATCCAGGCCACCAGGGGTGTGCTCCAAGGTTCAGAATTGCTGTATGCCCTACAACAACGTGGCTGTCAGCTGTCCAGCAACCAGAGCAAAGAGCAGAACACATCTATGTTCTGATTCTTTTTTATGTTGTTTGTTTGTTTGTTTTGAGGTGGAGTCTCGCTTTGTTACCAGGCTAGAGTGCAGTGGTGTGATCTCAGATCACTGCAACCTTTGCCTGCCAGGTTCAAGTGATTCTCCTGCCTCAGCCTCCCAAGTAGCTGGGACTATAGGCATGCGCCACAACTCCCAGCTAATTTTTGTATTTTTAGTAGAGGCCGGGTTTCCCCATGTTGGCTAGGATGGTCTTCATCTCTTGACCTCGTGATCTGTCTGCCTTGTCCTCCCAAAGTGCAGGCGTGAGCTCCGTGCCCGGCCATATGTTCTGATTTTTTAGACTCAGAAGATCAGGCAAGGTAGTTCCCCAGTAGATTCACAGTCATTCTTGGTACAGGATTCAAGGAGAAAAATGTCTCAGAGAAAATGGGTTTTCTTTGAGAAGACACAGAAGCGATGAAGCCTGTCCTGAAGTCTTTTACATCTTGAAAAAAGTGCTTAAATAAGCTTAGAGTCCCACACTGGTGTATCAAAGGCTCTGCAAGTCTCACATCTTCCAGAGCTTCTGGAGCACAGAAGACCATCTTTGACTTCTTCTTCCTCTTGTCCTGTTTTTCTGTAGCAGTCATTAATTAGTGTGTCCTGGAGAACAGGATGGCAACTACCAGTGCAATGTAATGAACGTCCTTTTGAAGATCCATGGAGTAAAGACAGCTTCGAAGGGCAATTTTATTTTATTTTTTATTTATTTTTTGAGACGGAGTCTCTGTTGCCCAGGCTGGAGTGCAGGGGTGCCATTTTGGCTCACTGCAACCTCCGCCTCCTGGGTTCAAGTGATTCTCCTGCCTCAGCCTCCCGAGTAGCTGGGATTACAGGCACCTGCCACCACACCTGGCTAGTTTTTGTATTTCTAGTGGAGATGGGGTTTCACCATGTTAACCAGGCTGATCTCGAACTCCTGACCTCAGGTGATCCACCCACCTCGGCCTCCCAGAGTGCTGGGATTATAGGAGTGAGCCACTGACCCTGCCTCAAAGGGCAATTTTAAAATAGAGCACTCCTCACTGGGAGTCGGTGGTGACAAGCTGAGGCACAGTCCAGTAAGCAGTGTTTCGAGTGGGGAGAGAAAGCCGGGGAGTGTCTGGCTCGGGTAGGCATTCAATCTCTCTTTCTGCACTCAGAGAGCAGTTCCTTGCTAAGGGACGAAGGCCATTCTTAGCACATGAGCTATTCCTTTCTTTCCTGATTACAGGAGTTGAAATTTCCTTTTCATGGGTTTCCTGAAAGCAAAAGTAACATCCCTGGACACCTTGCTGGAGAGGCAGTGTATTACTTGTAACCAAACACATATTCCCCCAGTAGGAAGGTCACATGAGTAAAGGAAAGAAAGGCCCTGTGTGTTGGCCCAGTCTCCACTTGTCCATGAAGCTTTCTGTAGCAGCCCCAATTTCAGCCCCTTCTCTGTTGTTTGCACATTGCCTCAGCCTCCACTTCAGGCAGTCTCTTCTGTCTGCCTTATTGCCTATATAAGCATTTCTAAAACTTTAACCTGCCTACAAATCATCTGGGAGTCTTGCTAAAAATGCAGATTCTGATCAGTAGCTCTGGGGTGGGGCTTGAGATTCAGCCTTTCTGAAAAGCTCCCAGAGGGTATGGATGCTGTTAGTCCATGAACTTCACTGTGAATAAGGAAGCCCTACATCAAACCATGGCACTGCTGTTCATTGCCTTCCAATTGTTTCACATCCTCTGTGCATGCCATAATGCTTAATTCAATACTGTGTCCATGGACGCTGGTTCTAAGTGTTTGGTGGGCACCATGGAAGCTATCAGAAAATCACAAAAACTAACCTGATTCTTCAGTTTCAGGAATTGGAGCTAGGATCATGGACAATTAAAGAGAAGAAAACCTCTGCCCCTCTCGCAGCCCCAGGATGTCTCAGTTTCAATTCCTGTGTTGAAATCCCCTTCTCCTCACCTGTTCTTTCACCTTTTTGTCTTGGCTTCTGTAGAAGGATTGAAACTAACAACCTTTGAGTTTAAGTACTTAAAGTAATTTCCTTCTTGCAGGTTTTGAGTTATCTACATGATTCATCTCCCCCTCTGCTTTTTGAGAGTCTACAACTCCCTGCCCCAGCAAGCCCCCAAGCCCACTCACTCCTGGGATGTGTCACAGTTGCTTTGCCAGTTCCCTGGGACTCCCCCTTGCTCTGTGATATCAGCCTTCTTTCTGGAATAGAGAAGACGTGGATGCCTGCCCCATCCACATCTCACTAATCCTTTCTCTGTTGTTTGCACACTGCCTCAACTGGGGATCCTGTGTGCCGTGCTTTCTGCAGAAGAGCCACACAGCCTCAAGGTCATGGAGGCTGTGAACATGGGTGGGACCAAGACGCAGCTCAGAAACAGGTGGGTGCTTATTATTCCATTGCTGCTCGCCTCACCCAAGGTCACTGAGCAACGTCTAAGGTGTCATAACTGACACATATGAATCAATAGGTGACCGGAGGAAGTAGGGACTACCCTGGGCCAGGGGCAGGGCAAATGGCTGGATGGCCAAATTGCATCTGAAGGAGTAGCTGTCACATGAAGAATCCTACACAGGGGCCGATGGTGTGTCCTGACCCAGGTTTCTGGTTCCATCTCGTAACAGCTTAATCCACTGGGTGGGGCCTGGCAGAAAAAGTACAGACACCATCTAAATCTGTGTACAAAATCCAGGTGATCTGTCCTTTTGGGCCACAATGCAGAGTGTGAGTCTAAAGAAAGCTGAGGACATCCAAGATGAGGGGAGAGGGCCTTCCACAGCTAGGCAGGATTTCAGGGCCCCCTACTGGGCCAGAGATTTAAGGATGCCAGAGTTTCTTTTCCCTCCACAACAAAGATAGCCTGACAATGTATAAAACTAAAATTTTATGGCATGTTGTTGTAGGGGGTAGAGGGGTTTGAAAGAAAGTGCATATGCTTTCCTCCTTCATATTATTATTTTTTAAAGTGTGCTGAAAGCAGTGTTGCAATCTGATTGTTTAATCTAGCACAATTTGCTTTGCTAGAAGTAACCTTTTTGAGGGAAACCTGCTATCTGTGGTATGAAATCTAGTTCCTGATCTCATCAAGGTGTGACTTTCAACATGTCTCTACTGGGTTATCTGTCTTTTTCTTCCAACTTTGTAAGAACTCTGGATATTGTAGATATCAATACTTTATTCATCATCTTAGTTGCAAATTTTTCTTTTGCAAAAATATTTTTGAACTGGCTTTGCTGTGACCTATTTTGTTCTACAAAAAGTTGAACAATTTATATACTCAAATATGTTTACCTTTTTACACAGCTTCTGGATTTCTGAGTCAATTATTGCTGAAATAGGGAAACACTATTAATTCTCGTATGGTCCAGAAGGTTTTTTTTTTCCAGATAGACTTGGTTTTTCTAGGTATATGGGCATGCAAAGTTTTACCAATATTTTTCCTTCTTGTTCTTATTGCATTTGTTAGACTCTCTAAGACAACATTAAATTTCAATGGTGATAGCAGGAATCTATGTATGATTTCTGAACTTAATTGGCTTAGTTTTAATATTTTACCATTTGGGGTGTTTTTTTGATGATTTTAAATAACAGAATTTATCACAAAAAATTCTATTTAGAATTTTTATTGGGAATAATTGCTGGATTTTATAAAATAATTTTTCAGTATCTATTAATATGATCATTTGGGGTTTTATTCTACAGTTTGTTGATTGAATGCATCGAGAGAGTAGACTTCCTAAGCTGAACCACGTTTCTATATTTGGGTAACATCACTTGACCATAGTATATATATTTTGATATATTGCTGAATTTCATTCACCAATGTTTTGACTATTACTTGTGGACTTACATGAGATTGATAAACAGTTGCCTTTTTTCATTCTATCTTTAAAATAGTCTGGCTTCATAAAGTTGAATGGGAAGTTTTCCATCTTTTTCCGTGAGGTGGAATAATTTAAATATGATAATATTATCTCTTCTTTAAAGGGTAAGTAGAACTTAGCTGTGAAAATATTTGGTTCTGGTACCCTTTTAAAAAGTAGATATTAGTTTACCTTTCTAATTTTTCTGTGTTAATTGGCCTATTTATATATTCTACTTATTTTTGGGTTTTGATAATTTACATTTTTCTGGGAGATCGCTCATTTCCTTGAGGTTCCCAGTGTGTCACCACAGAGTTGTATGTAGAATTCATCTACGCTTTCCTTATCCTTTCCATTTTTCTACGTCTCCTCTCTCATCCTGAATAAATTGACAGTTTGCAGAAAGAAAATGCTAATGGCTAACAAACATACAAACATTCTCAAGCACAGTAATTACATTAAAAATGAAATATCACTTTAGGCCCATCATATTAAATGTATTTGGAAGATGGGAATGTCTGCATAATAAATTGGCCAGTGAAGTAGGGAGAATTGAGAGGTTTTCTTATACAGTGCTTGTGAAAAAGTGAAGTAAATTATCATAATTGTTTCAGAAAATAATCTAGCAGCCTCTCTTTAATTTAAGATACATCCAACCAATCCAACTCCTGGGAATCTATACCATGGAAATAAAAGTAACATGAGTGGTATATGAGAATATTTAAGTGGGGGAAAAAAAAGCCCCAGAAAGTGATTAATTTAAAATACTTGAAGGGGTCAATAAATTTTGGCTCATCCACACCCTGGAATATTATCATGCCACTAAAAGGAAAAAAATTAGAACTACACCACCTGATTTGGAAGAATTTCTGCATGGTCTTATAGGATAAAAAGGTAATATGCAAAGAACTGTGCATTACGTATCATAAACAATGGGCAAAAAAGCTGCATGGGTGTACTAGCTCAGAGAACATGGCCATTGTGAGACTTGGGGGCACTCGAGTTGGGAGGGGGGGTTTGGAGAGGCTGGTAGGGAGAAAAAAAGAGAAACAAAAAACTGTGCTAAAAAGAAAAAGATACTCTCACATATGCAAGCGTAATATGATCCCATAAATGTAAAATTATGCATAAGAATTTGCATTTTTGCATAAAGAAATTGGGGAAAATGGAGAGTTAAGTATTATGTATTGAATAGAGGGATGTCCATGATTTGTAATAAAGTGAAAAATTAGCAAGTTAAAGAGAAATAAATACCATATGACAATATATCAGTGGAAGAAAACAAAAAAAAAAATCTCCATATGTGTGAATATGTTTGTATTTCTTTTTGTTTAAGCCAGGAAAAAGGGGGAAGGGATGCTAATGCTTCTATGCATCTTTACATATTAAGTTAGCCCTTGATACAACATACATATTTTTTTTTCTAATCTGAAAACCATCAAAAAAAGGAACGGGAGTCAGAGGACGAGGAAGCAACACAAAATTAAAAATAAAAGTAGAAGCCGGGTGCAGTGGCTCACACTTGTAATCCCAGCACTATGGGAGGCTGAGGCAGATGAATCATGAGGTCAGGAGTTCAAGAACAGCCTGGCCAACATGGTAAAAGCCCGTCTCTATTAAAAATACAAAAAATTAGCTGGGCGTAGTGGCGGGTGCCTGTAATCTCAGCTACTCGGGAGGCTGAGGCGGAGAATTGCTTGAACCCGGGAGGCGGAGGTTGCAGTGAGCCGGGATCGCGCCACTGCACTCCGACCCTGGGCGACAGAGTGAGACTCCGTCTCAAAATAAATAAATAAATAATAAAATAAAAGTAGAAAGTAAAACTAATCAGAACTTTAAAAAACATTTTTAATAATAAATGCTTCTGGTCTTTTTTTCTGTAAAAGCTTTTCAAGTCAAATTACACAGCATGGGTCAGCCCCATGGCTAGGGAGCAGTGTGGGTGCTAGGCACAAGGTCATCATCAACTGCTGCACCTAGAAATGAGTTACTGAGTCCAAAGTCATGCAAGTCCATGCTCTCCCAGCGACATCAATTTCTATTGGATTTTCATTGCGAGCTGACATTTATAATCTTCAGCCTATGAACCAAATGTCAAATTTAACCATAATCAACACAACTCATACATAATAATTAAAGAAATAAAAAGAAAAGAAGTACAGGGTGAAACAGTAGTGTTTATTTCTGCAACCGATATTTAAGATCCCTCCTCCACTACTCATTTTATGTTCCCCTTTCTTTTGGCCACCACTTCTCTGGGTGGAGTCTGTTGAGATGGCCCAATCCGTCATTTCTTAGCCATCTGAGGCATTTACAGACCTGTCTGTATAGGACTGTGGTAGTTTCTGTTAATTTCTACTTTTGGATATACTTGTACAAGGACACAAATAAAATATTCCCCTAGATTTCACCACCCATATTATATATACTCTTTCAGGATCTCTTTCTCTCTCTCCTTCTGCCTCCCTCCATCTCTGTCTCTCTCTCTTTTTCTGTTTGCAATTTCTTTGGTTGTGTAAGAAAATGATAGCACCAGGTGGCATTCTCAGTTTCCAATTAGGGAGAACTTTTTGGGTCCACTTATAGAAGTATTCTCACTTGGTCACAAAAACTTTGGACCAGCAGAGCCTAGAGATGTGAAGGCAGGGTGGAACATGTGTGGTGGATCAGCAGGTGAAGGCATGGGATGCGCCAGCCCCTCTGCTCTCCACACCCATCTCTGCCTCATGGCTCCCCAACTCATGCACTCTGGCTCTGGTTGAGAGCCTAGGTCAGCTCAACCTTCACCATCTTGTCTCAACTGGTAACTTTGCTAAATGTTTATATAATTTTTTGAAAGTCCATTGACTTTTCAGGCACAGTAAGAAAATTAAAAGCATCTCACCAATGCATCTTTAGTTTTCTTATAAGACTTCCTGTAATACCCATAGTTCTTGAATTAGCCACACAGATGTTGCTCTCTTTTTTTCTGTTTTAACTTCTTATGAGTCACAAGAGGTAAAATAGCATATACATTTTTGAAAAGTACCCAATATGAAAATATATAGGGATTCAGTGCCATTCAAAAATAAGGCTGAGGTAATATGAGGTAGGAAAAATATATAGTTAAAACAATCTAATTTTGGTTTAAGCATTGACCTTAGCCATTGGAAGGCCAAAAAGCCAGATGCCTATATCAATTTCATTTTTTAGATTCTTGAACTTCTATATGATCAATGGGCATGTGATTGTGTAGGACACTATCTTATCAATGTATGTAACACGAGCACAGGTTTTTGTTTGTTTGTTTGTTTATTTGTTTTTGAGACAAGATCTCACTCCTGTTGCCCAGGCTGGAGAGCAGTGGCATGATCATGGCTCACTGCAGCCTCAACTTCCCAGGCTCAGCTGATCCTCTCACCTCAGCCTCCCAAGTAGCTGGGACTACAGGCACATGCTGCCATGCCTGGCTAATTGGTTGTAATTTTAGAAGAGACGGGGTTTGCCATGTTGTCCAGGCTGGTCTCGAACTCCTGGACTCAAGCAATCCCCTGGCCTCGGCCTCCCAAAATGCTGGGATTATAGATGTGAGCCACCATGCCCTGCCTACAAGCACAGTTTTACTGCAAATAACGTAATGGTTAGTTCCAAATACAAGTAAGCATTTAGATGTGACTTACAGTGAAAAGTCTCCTTACATGCTTTATATGTTGATATTCTGTCAACCAATTGAAATGTAAATGTACATTGAAAATTACAAGAGTAAAATGCTGCGAAAACTAATGGCAATATAAGCTGTCAATTTTTGTGTACAAAAAATGAGATTTTCAAGTGATAAAATAAGTAGAAAAATAGATTGGCAGTTAAAACAAATATTAAGAGAAAGTGTGTGTTATTAGGTGCTACA
Organism: Homo sapiens; assembly: GCF_000001405.40. Taxonomy (NCBI): domain Eukaryota; kingdom Metazoa; phylum Chordata; class Mammalia; order Primates; family Hominidae; genus Homo; species Homo sapiens. The sequence goes on along the minus strand of NC_000003.12, from coordinate 46,288,541 downwards.
GAGAGCACATTGTGCCAGGCAGGGACCAAGAGATGTTTATAAATATATAAATAACAATAACAAATAGAATAGAGAAAAATAATTGATTATAGAGATTAAATTACACCATAATTTTAATCTTTGTTGTTTGACAGCAATCTCAGCTCACTGCAAGCTCCGCCTCCCGGGTTGACGTCATTCTCCTGCCTCAGCCTCCCAAGTAGCTGGGACTACAGGCACCTGCCACCATGCCCGGCTAGTTGGTTTTTGTTGTTGTTGTTGTTGTTTTGTATTTTTAGTAGAGATGGGGTTTCACCATGTTAGCCAGGATGGTCTTGACCTCCTGACCTCGTAATCTGCCCGCCTCGGCCTCCCAAAGTTCTGGGATTACAGGCGTGGCGTGAGCCACTGTGTCCTGCCAAATTAAAATAACCTTTAACAATTGTGACTAATTTTTAGTTTATTTAATTCAACTTCAGCTAGGAATCTTTTCAGAAAATTTTCTATTTGAGAATTCTTCCTATCATATGCTGATGAGCCAAAAGCAGAATGTCAAGATTTCACCTCAAATTTTTCCAAAAAGACTCCAGAAGAACATATAGAAATATCCACAATAAACAATCTTTGATCCAGACGTGCAAAGAAACATAAGTTATGAAGAAAAAAAGGAAGTGTTCAGAAAAAGGAGAGCTTCAGAACATATTTTATCTCATGAATCAAACTTTGAAACATGCTACTTCATATGAATATTTTACAAAGACATAAGCCTTGCTTTCGAAACTATTGAAAATACAAAGGCTAAAATGTAAACAAAAACCTTGTCACAGTGATTGCTAGAGGTTGCCACCCATCCTCAGAAGTTGAAGGATTTTGTTATCCTAGCACTTTGGGAGGCTGAGGCAGGCCCATCTCTTGAGCCCAGGAGTTTGAGACCAGCCTGGAAAATATGGCAAAACCCCTTCTCTACAAAAAATACAAAGATTAGCTGGGTGTGGTGGCATGCACCTATAGTCCCAGCCAGTTGGGAGGCTGGGGTGGAAGGATCGCTTGAGTCCAGAAGGTCGAGGCTGCAGTGAGACATGATTACAGCACTGCACTCCAGCCTGGGTGACAAAGTGAGAAGACCCTGTCTCAACAAAATAAAAAAAGAAAAGAAGTTGAAGGATTTTGAGATTCATCCAGACTATGATTTCTAGCTAGAGATCCTAGAAAACATTTGCCTGCTGTGCATTCTGCTGTGCACAGAAGGATTACAGACAATAATACTAAGTGTGCTGATATGGTGTCTGATGCCCCTTATATTTAGACGTTCAAAGACAACCAGATAGATATAAAACCAAATGATGCAAGTGCCCTTTTACCTTTTTGCTTACAACCAGCAATTCTGCTGCATTATGCAGTGTTGTAGTTACTTTCTGAAAACACAACTGAAAGGTGTGAACAAAACATTGCACGCTCATGATTCCTAAATCACTCATAGCCTCACCGTGTGCTTCCTGTTGTCTCTGACAACTACAGAATATATATTTTTATATTTTTTAGTATATATATATACACACACATATATATTTTTTCTTGAGACAGAGTCTTGCTTTTTCACCCAGGCTGGAGTGCAGTGGCACAATCTCAGCTCACTGCAACCTCCGCCTCCCGGGTTCAAGCGATTCTCCTGCCTCAGCCTCCCAAGTAGCTGCGACTGCAGGTGCGCACCACCATGCCTGGCTAATTTTTGTATTTTTAGTACAGATGGGGTTTCACCATGTTGGCCAGGCTCATCTCGAACGCCTGACCTCAGATGATCCATCTGCCCCGGCCTCCCAAAGTGCTGGGATTACAGGCGTGAGCCACCACGCCCGACCTATATATATATTTTTTAAGTTCAACAGCATAGTGGAATAACGCTGAATTCTACCATGCTTTGGCTTTACTTGGTTGTGAAGAGGTGTCCGGGTCTTATACAAAAACAACACAGTGAATGAAGGAAGAAATATTTATTGAATGGAAAATCAGCAAAGGAAAAAATTGTATAATTGTCAATGACAATGGGAAGCACATAGTGAAGCTATGAGTGATTTAGAAATCATGAGCATGCAGTGTTTTGTTCACACATTTCAGTTGTGTTTTCAGAAAGTAACTACAACATAGCATCATGTAGCAGAATTGCTGGTTGTAAGCAAAAAGGTAAAAGGGCACTTGCAGCATTTGGTTTTTAGCCAAAGGTAAACTATATGAGATACACAAAATAGTGGACCTGGCTTGATGCACATTCATCCAAAATGTTCCAGTGGCATAGGAAGCATGATGCTTTGGAACAGCCATTTGATCAAAAGAAAGTGTAATCATAAACTTTACAGAAAACAGTACTGGCATCATAGAACTTGCTAACAACCAAGAGTTGCTTGTGGAAAAATAGCTCATTTACGGGAACCAGCTGAAGAAGTCATCTTGAGAGTGCAAATATTTCCGACCCGATACTGCCGTCAAGATCCTCCTCCTCCAGAGGTGTGTGTGCAGTGGAAGCCAAGATGCAGATGGAATCTGAGATTTTTTTTTAAAAAGTATCTAATGCCAATCACATTGCTCCATGGCACATTATTAGATTCAAGGCTTCAGAACAAACTCTTCTCAAGTACTTCTATGGAATCCCATGTGCATGGAAAAATACTAGAAATTTAAAAATAAAAGTCAAGACAATAATCATAAGCCTTTGTCTTAGTTTGGGTTCCCCAGAAGGTGGAGGCTGAGATTGAGACAGTAGAGGTGAGGGACAGGGGAGTAAAGCAGGAAAGGAGAGAGGGCCAGAATGAGGATGCACATGCACCCAACCAGGGGAGCTGCTTGCTAGGCCTCTCAGGACTGCCTGACGAGCTGTGAGATGCTTCTTAGGATTATGAACCTAGGGGAAAAAAGAGATCCCTTTCCCCATCAGATCCGGTCACCCGTTGGTCAAAGCTTTGCCCCACTAGGCATGAGGTCCCCTGCATTTGCAGCTTGCACATGTGTGGGTGCTGAGTGTCAGTGGAGGAGCCCTGAGATAGGGATGAGAGGCATGGCCCAGGCCCAGGCCAGGCACATCCGGCTACAGCTGTGCAAGGCTGGCTGGAGCCCACAGCACAAGAGCCCAAGAGGATTGGAAGTGTTGCCTAAGAGGTGTCCAAATAGAGAGCTTCTGAACATACTCAGAAGACTTCTTTAAGTAGTGCACAAACAATGAAATTGTATTATCATTCATGATGGTATCTTTAATTCCAGGAGTTGAAGAGGAGAGATGCTTTTACCTTAGCTGATTGCCCAGAGAGATAAAGAAAGGAAAGCTGAAAATCTTGGTGACATCATCATGAGCACTCCCTCATACTGGCACAGTAAACACCAAACCCTGCCCTCCTACCGACCTCACTTGGAGGCCTCTGACTTGTATCTTACACTTGCCGCATAGTGACCACAGGAACGTGGAATGCTGACAGTGCTGAGAAGTGGTGGTTTCCTCACCTAGATATCAAACTTTAAAAATCAGAGCAGTCAATTTTAACAATACAGTTGCAATTATAATTACATTTTAAAATACAATTTCAGATTGTTCTTAAATCCCAACAATTTTTTCTATGATGGTGACAGTTTTGGCCTTAGCGTGGCCAGGTACTGATTTTTAGCTAACATTGGACCATTCAACATTTCCCAAAATGTGTAGTTGGTTGGCCTCTAGTTTAGTATTGCTCTAATAATCTGATAATATTCTAGCATCTATAATGGGAAGTGTTTTCTCTGTGTTTGGTTACTAAGGAGTGAATGGCCAAGTTTGTGTTTATGTCTTTCAATTGTCAGTGTCTGGTACACAGTAAGGAATTGTGTTTATAGTTTAATCATACTCTTCTATTCTTATTTTATTATATTTTTGCTCTTACTTCTTCACCTAATAACATCAAGTTTTTAAAAGTTATCAAGTTACAGGCCAGTTGAGGTGGCTCATGCCTTGTAGTCCTGCACTTTGGGAGGCCAAAGCAGGTGGATTACATGAGTCCTAGAGTTTGAGACCAGCCTGGGCAACATGGCAAAACCCTGTCTCTATAAAAAAATACAAAAATTAGCCAGACATGGTGGTGTGCGCCTGTAGTCCCAGCTACTTGGGAGTCTGAAGCAGGAGAATTGCTTGAGCCTGGGAGGTTGAGGCTGCAGTGAGCCATGATCATGACACTGCACTCCAGCCTGAGTGACAGAGCGAGACCCCGTCCAAAAAGAAAAAGTTATCAAGATGTAATAGTGCATAGTTAAGAAATTAGAAATAGCATTTCCTGCCCCATCCCCTCCCCACCCCTGCCCACTCCTATGAGGCAACCACTTTCAACTCTGTTGGCTGTTTCTCTGGTGCTGCCCTAAGTGTTAAGTAACATGCTTATATTGATTGCTACTTCATAATGTATCAATTTTAGACAGAATTTATTGATTTCCTGTTCTTGTAGGTGAGGATTTAGCTTACACTTCCTTCCCCTCCCAACATCCTCTCAATATGGTTTTTTGACAGTTTCTGGTTAAATGACTAGTCAGTGTTCATGTTATTATGACCACATAAGTATTATTCACTGTTGAGCTAATGTTTTATATTCTTGGAGTTAATAGTAGTTTCTTTTGATTTTTTCCATCTGCTTACTTTGTAAAAATACTTATCACCAATTTCCAAAATGCTCAAATTTGATCTGTCATGGGCCCAACAATAATTTTTTAAAATATTCGAAACCTACAAATTTCATGTCCTTTCTCAATACCAGTCTGGACAGGCTTCTGTGGAGGTCCTGGAGATTCCTTTGCCACTGTCCTGTGTTGAACTCATTTCTAAGATCCTAGGATCTCCTCTTTCTTGGTTACCTCTTCATTTTGCTAAAGCATATATTTTGTCTCTTCTTGAGAATGGGTAAATGGAAGGTAAATTGCAAAATCCTTCTGTGTCTAAAAATATCTATATTCAAGCCTCAGTGGATCTCATACGTTGGCTCTGTAGAGATTTCTGGGCTGAACATAATATTTTCTCAAAACTGTGATGCTGTTGCCCCACAGTCTTGTATCAGCCAATGTTGTCATTGAGAATCTGATGTCAAGTCCATTTCTATTCCTTTCTGTTACCTGTTTTTCCCCCTCTTAAAAGCTCTCAATATATTTATCCCTGTTGTTCTGAAAGTTCATAATGATGTGCTCGGAAGAGGGTCTGTGTCCATTTATCCTGGTGGGTACTTGGTACCCCCTTCATCTCACAGACCTGTGTACTTCCATTCTGGGAGTTTTTCCTGAATCACAACAGCAACAACAACAACTACTATTACTGCTACTACTGCTATTACTGCTGCTGCTACTACTACTACTGGGTATTCTACTTTGCGATGACACCCGTTTTTGCTATTCTTGAACTCCTTGAGTCAAATTTTGGATACAAGCCTGGACAGGAGCATGGCAGCAGCCCCTTGGAGGGCGAAGAAATGCTACATCCCTTTCAGCAAAAAAATAAGTCCTGGGTTGTTACTGGACTCCAGGGGACTCTGAGAGTTTGACTATGAGACACCAGCTTACCATGACACTCAGGTTGTTTATTATGAACTGACTGCCACCTGACCTACTTTGCCACAGAGAGACCCAATAACACTGCATCATAAAGGGGAAGTGGGATTATATAGGATGTAATCCACACAGGTTCGAAAGGCAGCATGGGCAGGTTATTCATGCCTATCCCATCCCTAGTCCCAACAACTGCCATCCTCTCCCTTCACCTGGACCTGTGGCCTCCCAGGAAGTTGGCTGCGATGATCTGTCTGAGGATGAAAACACTCATGCCTGTCTTATGGATAGAGGACTCTGCACTTTGCTTGCACCAACCTGAGGTAGATTGTGTTAGATTCAGCCCCTCTCAGGGGTAGCCCTAAAGGACAAGTGGAGAAGACACCTCCCAGGTGGCAGAAATCAAGGTGTTTATCATAGTGTCCTCTTTGCTTCGAAGGAGAGATCACCAAGGGTCAGAATCTACACATATTTCTAGAAAGTGTTTATTATATATGGTTAGATGTAAGGGAAGACAGAAGGAATTAAATGGAAAATTGTTATCAAGATTTGGAGGAGTATGTCAATGGATTTATTTGAATGAGACCCAAACCTAAAAATGTTCATATCTCATGTGAATTCTCACCAAAATGCCCCCCAGGATGGAAGAAACTTGGAAAATAGCACATGCTGGGTCACCCTTCCTATGGCAGCCAGATGATTTCTCAGAGGCTCATGAACAGCGTAAACAGTGGCACAGGGAAGGAGACCAGGCATGGACTCCACACACTGAGGCTATCTGCTTTCACTGGACCTCACCTCTTGCCTGAAGTTGGAGACTCTGATATTTTCTCCGGCTTTATCTTTCACTCTCTGTCAGCCGTGTGTTTTATCAAGACATTGAAGGTTTTTGTTATTCCCGTTTCCCAGGTCCTCTCAGCACAATATTAACCATGTGGACCAAAGTGATGTCCTGTCAGGTGATGCAGTCACAAGGTCCCTGCAGATTACAGTGAGGCAAATCACCTGAAAGTAGCATCACTCCCAGGCAGGATGGCAGCGTGTACTCTGCTCCTGACAGCTGGAGACAAACTGCTTCTTTGGGTGCCTCTCTGTACCAAAAGGGAGAAAACTGTATTTTCCTGATCTGAAGTTAGCAAACTCCAGTGTGTAGGTGCCTGTGTTTGAAAACTAGTTTTACTGGAACACAGCTGTGCCCATGCACTGACATGTTGTCTGTGGCTGCTTTCTTGCTACAACTTCAGAGTTGAGTAGTTGTGACAGAGACCAGCTGGCTTGAAAGCCTAAAATACTTACTATCTGGCCCTTTAGGAAAAAGCTTGCCAGCCCCTACTCTAGACTGGCATCTACATGCCAAATACCATGACTGTAATGATTTGCCTCAGCAAGGGGACCAAACTTAGAAGACAACACACACAGTGAAAGTCACCATCTGATTTAGTCGTAACATTCCATGGCTATTCCCCAAGACCCATCAATTTATTTTATTTTATTATTTTTTAAATTTTTTTACTGGCAAAACTGGAGCATTAAAAGGAGGTATGACAGGAATCAACATATCTGTGTCTTTCTTATCTGTGATGAGACTAATCTGCTATTTTCTTCATAGGATAGAGCGTTGTTTTTGATTTTCTGCTTTGTATGGGCAGGGGGCCTTCAGTGGCTTCCACTTGGGCCTTCCTCTGTTGTAGCCATTATTTACTGTCTGAAAGCCTAATGGGAATCCCATTCTTTTTTTTTTTTTTTTTTTTTTTGAGATGGAGTCTTGCTCTGTTGCCCAGGCTGGAGTGCAGTGGCGCGACCTTGGCTCACTGCAACCTCTGCCTCCCAGGTTCAAGCGATTCTTCTGCCTCAGCCTCCCGGGTAGCTGGGACTACAGGCCGGCACCATCATGCCTGGATAATTTTTGTATTTTTTTTTTTTTTTTAGTAGTTATGGGGTTTCACCATATTGGCCAGGCTGGTCTCGAACTTCTGACCTCATGATCTGCCCGCCTCGGCCTCCCAAAATGCTGAGATTACAGGCGTGAGCCATTGCGCCCGGCCTACTAAGTATGTTCATTCTAACACTGCACTGGAGACTGGTGAAAATCACAAGGTGGGTTCTGGGCCAAATTCTGCCTACGATGATACAAAGTCACATCAAAACTCTATCACCTAGCACTTTGGGAGGCCAAGTGGGTTGTTTGCTTGAGTCCAGGAGTTTGAGACCAGCCTGGACAACATGGCAAAACCCCATCTCTACAAAAAATGCAGAAATTAGCCAGGCATGGTAGCATGTGCCTGTAGTCCCAGCTACGCAAGAAGCTGAGGTGGGAGGATCACCTGAGCCTGGGGAGGTCTAGGCTCAGTGAGCCAAGATCGCACCACCAAACTCACTCTTGGGTGACAAGGTGAGACCCTGTCTCAAAGGGGCGGGGGAAGCACCTCTATCTCCTGGCCCTCATGGGTGCCTACTCTGAGGCTGACTAGAGTGATTTCCTGGGTCTTTTGGAATTACTGTAACTTAAAATTGGCAATCAATAATACCAAAGGCTGTGGGTGCTTCTTTTTCCCAGTGCATATTATTCCAGGAAAATTGGTTACAGGTTCATTTGGGAAAGCCTAGGTGTTAGAGTATCATGTATGACATATTGTAGAGCTCTTTTTTTGAGGTGTGGTTTTCTTCTCACTTAAAAGGCCCTCATTTTATGAAGTGACTCACTTCTGAGAATTTGGCGAGAGGCCACATTTTCTCACTACAACTCAAGACAGATCTGTTTTTTTGCCAGACCTGACATTTTCTTGACTTAATTCTTGGGATCTCCATAATGAATAAACATAGTCAGAGGCTTCCGGATGTCAGATCACTCCCAGAGGTGTTATCACCATCCTTTTCCTGTTGGCTTTTATAATGGCCACATCTATGTTGTTTCTTGCAGGTAAAAAGTCCACACTTAACATACTCCCTATCTGACTGAGGTCAAAGATTGCATTTCAATTACAGCCCCTCCCACTATCATTCCTAATGAGCTTCCCTCTCCGATCTTGTCTTTATGACAAGAAAAAGAGTGTCAGTGGTAGACTGACATTATGCTTGATAGAAGTATAACGTTCCTGTCTTCCTCTAGATGATTCCTAGGGATCTCTGGCCTTTTACACTCATTGAGGATGGACCAGCATTTGGTCCAGGTTTGTATTAGACCAATCAACAACTCTTAGGACCTTAACCATTGAGTGCAATATTTTCAATGAGTGTACATGTCAATTAATTCAGCCCAATCCAAATTTCTATTCTGCAATTTTTTATTAAGCACTCTTAAAAGCCAAACTCAGTTTTTCAATAATGTTCATTGACCACTTTCTATAATTCTTTACGGAATTTTTTCCCATACCTTGATTCTGCATTTTACCCTCTGGGCCAGGTTGAATTCAAATCCTGTTTATTAGGTGAGCAACAATGAAGAGCGAACTGTTACCTTTCTCATGCTAAGGGAAAACAGCTTCCTTAGAAGGAAAAGTAGAAATGACAGTGTGCCAGAGGGGATGGAGGAACAGGGTTTCCCAGGTCCTGTGCATCCTCCCAGATATCCCCATTCCCACTGATCCTCAGTCTATCTTACCAATGCCTTAACATTCATACAGGCTTTTTAGCAAATTTGCAAATACAACTCCTACTATAATTAAGACACTTCATGCTCTGAATTAATTTCCACCAGTCTTAACCTGGCAGCTGCAAGTAATAAGAGACTTTTTTTTTTCAACGTGGTCACAGAAAGGCTTTAAGTTTCACTCTAACTTGAGAATGAAAGTTTCAGCATTTGAATGGTCTTGCTTTAAGTTTCTCAGTGCCTTCAGAAGCAGCCATCCTACCCTCTAGTTCTGGCCTTCTTCATCCTCTTTAGATTGGTGGATAGCAGCACCTTCCTGCCAACCCCCACCCTCATCCCACCAGGCTTCATTCTCAATAGGCACATGGTCTGAGGTGATAACTTGACTAGTTGTTTAGCCATTCTATCACATGGGTGCCATTTTCCCATCTTGGAGTTGGAAGGGAGTCTTACTTCCTGCTAACTAATTCAAACACTCATCATCTCCCTGGAAGGCTGATGTCTGCAACCTGCTTTCTAGCACACATTTCCATATCAGTTAACCTTTTTGATTTATAAACAACCCCAGCTTCAGCCAAGAATGACTGTATGGACAGGGTTTGGATGGCTCACAGAATGGAAGAAAGAAGGACCTTTAGCCCTCAGAGAGGACAAGGGCCACTCAGAGAGGACAGAAGCCTCAGCCCTAAAAGTCCATGTAGCCTTTCCTTTTTTTTTTTTGAGACGGAGACTTGCTCAGTCCCCAGGCTGGAGTGCAATGGCACCATCTTGGCTCACTGCAACCTCCGCCTCCTGGGTTCAAGCAATTTTCCTGCCTCAGCCTTCCGAGTAGCTAGGATTACAGGTACCCACCACCATGCCAGGCTAATTTTTGTATTTTTTAGTACAGACAGAGTTTCACCATGTTGGTCAGGCTGGTCTCAACTGCTGACCTCAGGTGATCCACCCGCCTCAGCCTCCCAAAGTGCTGCAATTACAGATGTGAGCCACCACATCCAGCCCAGGTAGCCTTTCTTTTTTCTTTTTTTTTTGAGACAGAGTTTCGCTCTTGTTGCCCAGGCTGGAGTGCAATGGTGAGATCTTGGCTTACCGCAACCTCCGCCTCCCAGGTTCAAGCGATTCTCCTGCCTCAGCCTCCTGAGTAGCTGTGATTACAGGCATGCACCACCACACCAGTAGTAGAGATGGGGTTTATCCATGTTGGTCAGGCTGGTCTCAAACTCCTGACCTCAGGTGATCTGCCTGCCTTGGCATCCCAAAGTGCTGGGATTACAGTCATGTGCCACTGTGCCCAGCCCCATGTAGCCTTTCTTTAGACATAGAATCAATCAGTCTCAACCATCTCTGTATGTCTTCATTTGAGTTTTCAAATCCAATTGGCCTAGCTTAGGTCAGGCTACCATCAATTCCCCCTTGGATCAAATAAATGAAGAGGCTGTGGGAGGAACCTGGGGGTGGCCACTGTGGGGATCATTGCGAGCCAGGCAAACTCCCCAGCCTGTGTCTATAGCAGCATCACTCCCTGCTGCTGATAGGTTTCAAAGTCTTGGCATTTAAGTTTCTTAGTTCTGGCATCAAAGTGCCCTTGCTTCCAGAACTCTCTCCCACCTGCCCAATTTCTCTCTTCTAAACATTCTTTGTTCGTTCCCAACTCTGCCTTTGCTTATCCCCCTCCCACGACTCTCCTCAGGGGTGTCACTTCCTGTCTTTTAAGACCCAGTCTGGCCTCTCCTCCTATAAGAAGTCTTCCCTGAACACTCACTTGACATTTACCACAAATTTTTTAATGACCAGTTTCTTTTCCTGTGCTGTATGTGGTCACCTTGTGTCACTCAGAGTCCCAGCAGCAAACAACTGACACTCAAACAGGGCAATTTGAGGACACTTTAATAAAGGGGCTATTTACAAAGGGACTAGCAGCATAAAGTGAGAATACCATCCCATGAGATGAGTAACAGCAGGGATTTATTACCAGCCCAAGGTCTGAAGGGGAAAAGGGTGGGAGAAGGTGTGCCATACATGAGATCAATTGGGGTTTGAACAGCATCTGGATTGAACAACATAGGATGAGGAAGATGTCGGCCTCTCCATCCATCCTCACTTGTCCCAGGTCAGAGGAGTTGCTGTTCTGATCGTCAGATTTCAGAACATGGACTGGGCCACATTTACGAGCGGTTGGGGTCTCTGAGTGTTAAAAGGTCCCACACAAGCACTAGCAAGTCTACTGCTTTCCCTTCCAGGCAGTGGTGGGTTGAACCAGGCTGTGGCTCACAGGGGCAGGTGCTGCTCTCTTGCTTTTCTTTGTCCTCTTATATTCACACGTGTTTTTAGCATGCCCATTGCTGTGGGATTGGCCATGGTCTTCTGGAATATAATTTGAATTTTGGTTTAATGGGATGTAGGGGAATATGTAGATCTTGAGCCACACACAGCTTTACCAAAGCCCTCCATCCAAAGGAGCTAGGAATTCGCCCAGATAACAAGGTGTACCCTGTTTCCTATCTTCTGTTGCTTTCTTCCTGCAGTCACGGCCTTGCACAATTCCTGGGGATACAGATGGCATCCCCCACGTTTTGCAACACAGTTGGACAATATCAGATTTAGGCATTCCTGAGTTTCTTGTTGTATTATCAAACCTCACCTCCCTCCTAGCCCTCGGGCACACCCTCTACTGACTGAAGAACTGTGCAGAGCTAGCTCCTCTCTGCCACCGGCCAACACCCCCTGGTGTTCAGGTTCCCCCACTGCAACTGTCTGGGACGCTGATGCCAGCAAGTGAAGGACTCATCTGAGGTGGGGCTCATCTGACCAGGACCTGGAACTGAGCCAGGGAGAAGGTTGTCCTGTCTGAAAAAAATTGAGAGGCCTTCCTCAGTGAAAGAAAGTCTTGACTTCAAGGGGCGGCTCTTCTCGTGGGCATTGGGCAGCGCCCAGTGGACTAGTTCTTGCTTAGCTAGGAGAGGTTAACCTTGAAGTAGGCAAAATTCAAGTATACAGGATTTTAAAGACATCATTAGGTATTTTCTTATTCAAGCCCATATCCATATCCTTATTTATGTCCATATCTAAATCTATATCTATATGTATCTTTTTTTTTTGAGACAGGGTTTTGCTCTATCACCCAGGATGGAGTGCAGTGGTGGGATCTCAGCTCACTGCACTCCTAGTCTCAAGTGATCCCCTTGTCTCAGTCTCCTTAGTAGCTGGGACTACAGCCATGCACCCCCACACCCAGCTAATTTTTGTTTATTTTTCGTAGAGACCTAGGTCTTGCCATGTTGCCCAGGCTGGTCTCAGCCTCCCAAAGTGTTGGGATTACAGGCATGAGCCACCATGCCTGGCCTATGTATCTTTAATATCAAAGCCTTTTTTTAAAATTATACTTTAAGTTCTGCGATACATGTGCAGAACGTGCAGGTTTGTTACATAGGTATACACGTGCCATGGTGGTTTGCTGCACCCATCAACCCGTAATCTACATTAAATATTTCTCCTGACGCTATCCCTCCCCTAGCCCCTCCACCCCGGACAGGCCCCAGTGTGTGATGTTCCCCTCCCTGTGTCCATGTGTTCTCATTGTTCAACTCCCATTTATCAGTGAGAACATGCAGTGTTTGGTTTTCTGTTCTTGTGTTAGTTTGCTGAGAATGATGGTTTCCAGCTTCATCCATGTCCCTGCAAAGGACATGAACTCATCCGTTTTTATGACTGCGTAGCATTCCATGGTGTATATGTGCCACATTTTCTTTATCCAGTCTATCATTGATGGGCATTTGGGTTGATTCCAAGTCTTTGCTATTGTGAACAGTGTTGCAATAAACATACGTGTGCATATATCTTTATAGTAGAATGATTCATAATCTTTTGGGTATATACCCAGTAATGGGATTGCTGGGTTAAATGGTATTTCTGGTTCTAGATCCTTGAGGAATCGCCACACTGTCTTCCACAATGGTTGAACTAATTTACACTCCTACCAACAGCATAAAAGCATTCCTATTTCTCCACATCCTCTCCAGCCTGTGTTGTTTCCTGACTTTTTAATGATCACCATTCTAACTGGCATGAGATGGTGTCTTATTGTGGTTTTGATTTGCATTTCTCTAATGACCAGTGATGATGAGCTTTTCTTCATATGTTTGTTGGCAGCATAAATTTCTTCTTTTGAGAAGTGTCTGTTCATATCCTTCTCCTACTTTTTGATGGGGTTGTTTTTTTCTTGTAAATTATTAAAGTTCCTTGTAGATTCTGGATATTAGCCCTTTCTCAGGTGGATAGATTGTGAAATTTTTCTCCCATTCTGTAGGTTGTCTGTTCACTCTAATGATAGTTTCTTTTGCTGTGCAGAAGCTCTTTAGTTTAATTAGATCCGATTTGTCTATTTTGGCTTTTGTTGCCATTGCTTTTGGTGTTTTAGTCATGAAGTCTTTGCCCATGCCTATGTCCTGAATGGTATTGCCTAGGTTTTCTTCCAGGGATTTTATGGTTTTAGCTCTTATATTTATGTCTTTAATCTATCTTGAGTTAATTTTTGTATAAGGTGTAAGGAAGGGGTCCAGTTTTAGTTTTCTGCATACGGCTAGCCAGTTTTCCCAACACCATTTATTAAATAGGGAATCCTTTCCCCATTGTTTGTTTTTGTCAGGTTTGTCAAAGATCAGATGGTTATAGATGTGTGGCGTTACTTCTGAGGCCTCTATTCTGTTCCATTGGTCTATATATCTGTTTTGGTACCAGTACCATGCTGTTTTGGTTACTGTAGACTTGTAGTGTAGTTTGAATGCAGGTGGCGTGTTGCTTCCAGCTTTGTTCTTTTTGCTTAGGATTGTCTTGGCTTTAGAGGCTCTTTTGTGGTTCCATATGAAATTTAAAGTAGGTTTTTCTAACTCTGTGAAGAAAGTCAGTGGTAGCTTGGTGGAGATAGCATTGAATCTATAAATTACTTTGGGCAATATGGCCGTTTTCACAATATTGATTCTTCCTATCCATGAGCATGGAATGTTTTTCCATTTGTTTTTGTCCTCTCTCATTTCCTTGAACAGTGGTTTGTAGTTCTCTTTGAAGAGATCCTTCACATCCCTTGTAAATTGTATTCCTAGTTATTTTATTCTCTTTGCAGCAATTGTGAATGGGAGTTCACTTATGATTTGGCTCTCTGTTTGTCTATTATTGGTGTATAAGAACGCTTGTGATTTTTGCACATTGATTTTGTATCCTAAGACTTTGCTGAGATTGCTTATCAGCTTAAGGAGATTTTGGGCTGAGATGATGGGGTTTTCTAAATAGACAATTATGTCATCTGCAAACAGAGACAATTTGACTTCCTCATTTCCGAATTGAATACCCTTTATTTCTTTCTCTTGCCTGATTGTCCTGGCCAGAACTTCCAATACTATGTTGAATAGGAGTGGTGAGAGAGGGCATCCTTGTCTTGTGCCAGTTTTCAAAGGGAATGCTTCCAGCTTTTGCCTGTTCAGTATGATATTGGCTGTGGGTTTGCCATAAATAGCTCTTATTATTTTGAGACATTCCATCAATACCCAGTTTATTGAGAGTTTTTAGCATGAAGGGGTGTTGAATTTTATTGAAGGCCTTTTCTGCATCTATTGAGATAATCATGTGATTTTTGTCATTGGTTCTGTTTATGTCATGGATTACGTTTATTGATTTGTGTATGTTGAACCAGCCTTGCATCCCAGGGATGAAGCCGACTTGATCATGATGGATAAGCTTTTTGATGTGCTGCTGGATTTGGTTTGCCAGTATTTTATTGAGGATTTTTGCATTGATATTCGTCGGAGATATTGCCTGAAATTTTCTTTTTTTGTTGTGTCTCTGCCAGGTTTTGGTATCAGAATGATGCGGGCCTCATAAAATGAGTTAGGGAGAATTCCCTCTTTTTCTATTGATGGGAATAGTTCCAGAAGGAATGGTACAAGCTCCTCTTTGTACCTCTGATAGAATTCGACTGTGAATCCGTCTGGTCCTGGGCTTTTTTTGGTTGGTAGGCTATTAATTACTTCCTCAATTTCAGAACTTGTTATTGGTCTATTCAGGGATTCGACTTCTTCCTGGTTCAGTGTTGGGAGGGTGTATGAGCCTAGGAATTTATCAATTTCTTCTAGATTTTCTAGTTTATTTATGTAGAGGTGTTTGTAGTATTCTCTGATGGTAGTTTGTATTTCTGTGGGATCAGTGGTGGTCTCCCCTTTATCATTTTTTATTGTGTCTATTTGATTCTTCTCTCTTTTTTTCTTTATTAGCATGGCTAGCGGTCTATTCTGTTGATCTTTTCAAAAAACCGGCGCCTGGATTCATTGATTTTTTTGAAGGGTTTTTCATGTCTCTTTGTTCATTGAAGACCTACAGTTCAGTCCTGTCAATTCATGTGAGCCTATGTGGATCTCAGAGAGCTGAAACTTGGGGGCCTGGATTTGCCAGCAGTATGCTGAACTGGCAGAATTCATGGGATGTAAACTTTACTTTTGTTCCTCACTATCTCTTTAAACTGAATTAGAGGCTGAAGTTCTTCTATACTTGAATCCCTGAATGAAAATTCCGGCAGTCCCACGGCTTTCGTCATTATGCTTAGGTACAAAAAATCCCAGCATCATTTGAGGTCAAAAAAGGACAATTTCAATTCAAAAATTAAAAAGCTGATCCCCATATAATAATCAAAACTCCATTTGATTTGACACTGAAATCTTCCCCACTTTCCCAGCTCACCCAGCTGGCTGAGGGATAACCACTTGTGGGAGAGAGGAGCGGGGCACAACCCTGTCTATTTTTCTCTCTGTCCTGCATTTTGACACCTCCCCAGTTTGCTAAGCATGGATTCTCACCCTCTCACTGTGTGGGAGCTGGGAAGGGAAAAAGGGTTGGTGTTAGGAAAGTTTTTGTTTGACTGGTCCTGTCATAAGATGGTGTCGTCCTTTCTGGGGCTGGTGGATGTTTACAACTTAATCATTTCTCTCATGGGCTGCTTTGGTAGAGTCATTGGCGTCATTCCTCGAAATATTCAATGTAACTCCTGTTAGTTTTTAAAAAATGCATTTTCCCTGGCTTTCAACCTCCCATCATCCTGTCGTTTTGGCAGGCCACTGCATACACATATGCTGTTGGGGTCCACAGGGCAGGATTGGAAATCCTCCAGTCAGCTCTCTGGGATCTGGCCCATATAAAGAATTCTACATTCTTGGCCAAAATCATCTCTAGAAGTATAGATCCCTCCAAAAGTAATGGCAGTTCTCCTCCACCCTACCCCCAGTGCAGCTGGCTGGCCTGTTCCTTGTCTCCAGATTTCCTGGATGTGAGTCAGATGCTGATGCGTGGTGCTTCTTTAACTCTGGTGACTCCTACTGAGCTCTCAGGTGGTGCCATTGGCATCACTCTCACCAGGCTTAAGGTGAGAAGCAGGCATCCCTGAATACCAGTAGCCCTCTACAAAAAACTTTTCAAATACCTCCTTAATTTCATCAATCAATCCAATCCCTTTGTCCCCCTTATAAGTGAGGGGTCTCAAGAGTTGTGAAATCTGTTTTTACAATTCCTTTGGAAATTATCTTATAGTCTACTTTGGGATACAGTATTTAAAGGACCCTACTGCCTCAATAAAAACTTCCAATATATCTTGGTGCATACTGTTAGTGTTTTGCATTAGTGAGAAACATTTGACTAATATACAATTGAACCCTATTTTGCTTGCTTTGTACTGCATCCAGGCTCAAGGAAAAACTAACCTGGGGACTTAAGTGGCTTGATCACCTCACACTCCAAGTTTTCCCCCCGACAACCCGTTCTCTCTCCTCCTCTCCTCCTCATGGCTGAGGAGAGCCAAGTCCTGTGGATTATCAGGAGTCAGGAAACTTATTCTGTAAAGGATAGAAAAGTAAATATTTTAGGATTTATGGGCTATACAGTCTCTGTTGCAACTATTCAACTCTCATAGTAGTGCAAAAGCAGCCACAGACGATGCATAAAAAAATGAGCCTGGCTGTGTTCCAGTGACACTCTATTTACAAAACAGGCAGTGGGCCAGGTTTGTCCTGCAGGTCCTTGTCCGAGCCCTGGATTAGGTCAGAGACTAGCAAAAGAAGAATGGTGACCCTAACTACACTGGGGATTTACCTGGGAAGAAGTGGATGAAAACCTCAGTGAAGTTTTTTACAGTCCATAGGCTAGAAAGGACCAGAAACTGCTTTGTTCAGGAGATATGAAGCCTTTAGAATTTTAGCTCTAGAATCTGGAGAACATCTCAGGAACTCAAGCTGGAAAGGGACCATCTTCTGAAATAGCAGATTATGATGCTGAACAAAAGGAGGAGGAGTAAAGCAGCCAGGGAAGAAAACAGAGAGGCACATTCAAGGGCATCTGTCATTGCCCAATGTCACACTAGGCATCACCAGAGCAGGCATCTGTGGGTCACTTTTGTGCCACTGTGCCTTCCAACAAACTGACCCACCTGCCTGGATGCTACTCTCACTCCCACCATCTGCTTCATGAAAAACTGTTCTAACACTAGTTCAAATGCGTAGCAAATGCTTTATTTCTCAAGCCTTAACCAAGCATGCCCAACTGTCTTCCAACATCCAGCATCTACATCTTGTTGCCCCAGGAATGTTCTCCAAAGCTGGGAAGGCCTCCTGCCCTAGCAAGGCCAGCAGGAAGTGCTGGGGATTAACATCCCCCAGGAGCAATCCTCGGCCAATGACTGACAGGAGTGGATTATAAATACCCCAACTCCCTCACCCCTCAAATCAGGAGAAGTGTGTTGTACTGTCTCCCAGAGTTCCCTAGTGGCTTTAACTCCAGTCACCCCCTGTGAAAAATGGCTGGATAATGTACCCTTGTTCGCATCTTCTCCTCCCTCCCTATTTTACTTCCTCACTTCCCTACTGGAGTTTCCTGCACTTTGCAAATAAACTTTTTGCTCTCAAATCCTTGCTCAGGGTCTCTGCCTGGAGGAACCCCATCTAAGCAGAAAGACACCTTCTCTGTGCACCTTTCTTCAATGTCTCCATCCTACTCTCTGCAGCAGTGTCCTTCAGGCACCCCTCATGTTTCATTACAGCCACAGGAATCAGGTGGGTCTCTTCCACTGAACGGTGAGTGAGTGTTCTAGAAATGGATCTCGTTCATTTTGCATCACCAGGATTTTCCCTATTGTGCAGTGTTCAGGGCATGTGTTTGAGGGCTACAGGGTGCTGGATGCATAGGTAGAGGAGGGGTCAAGAGGCAGGTTTGAAGGGGCTGCTGCTGCACCACTACCAATGTGGCCATTTAAATTTAAATCCAAAGTAATTTAAATTGAATAAAATTTAAAAATTCAGTGCCTTAGCCACCTAAGCCACATTTCAAGTGCTCAAGTGCTCAATAGCTGCATGTGGCGATCATATTGGACAGTGCAGATATAGAACATTTCTCTCAGTGTATTTCTATAGTTCTTGAACAGAGCTGGGATGGGGAACAAAGCAGCACACACCAATTCATGATTTGGTTATGTGAAGTTTGAGAGAGTCAAAAAGCTCCTAAAAGCTTTCAAGGGTAAGAGGAGTATGGTATGAACAAGCATCTCTATCCTGCACTTGTGGTTACCTAAGGCAGATGCAACTTCATAATGCAAGAGAGAACCAGTGATGTGTAGTTCAGTTTTTAAATGATTGTTTTATTTACATTTTGGCTGAACCACAAAAAAGAGACGTACTTCAAATTGTCCTAGCCAAATTGAGATTCATGTTGCGTGGTTTAGAGTGTTACAGAGTTCACATCCTGTGTTGGCCATGCAGAGCTCTTAGATAGGCAAGACAGTGACAAAAGGCCAGGCCACTCACCAGAGGGTGAGGATGGATGGAATCATGACCAAGAGAATGCACTCCCTTTCTCCAAGCATTGGATTGGGAAATAAAAAATGTCTTCTGGTCTTCACGTGGAACTTTCATCTGGGTTGAATTCAAGCATTGGTAATTCCTTTATAAGGCATGATCATGAACTCTGGCAGTGGAGAACAAGAGCAGTGTCCAATTCAGTCTGATGGTGAGCCCCCTGCAGGCAGCATCCAAGTTGAGATTGAATTGGACATCCCCAAGGAGCTCACTGTCAGACTGAATTGGACACCTGTGGGTGTGCCCTTGTTTGTTTCCTCAGAACTTAGCTAAGAACATGGTGGATGCTCAGCAAATGTTTGCTGAATGGTAAATGACCAAATGAATGAACAAAACCTGAGTACCCCTTAGTGAACAGTGGGAACCATGCCTGGCCTCACGACCAATGGAGGTAATGCTGTGGGCTTGTCCACCACTCTTCTCCTCCTTTTTTTTTTTTATCATATATTTTGTAAACTTAGAGCCTCCAGCTCCTAACATTTTAGCAAGATTAGAGTCTACTTGGGCCACAGAGGGGCCTTAGAGATGATTTAATCCAACTTTTTTATTATATGGATGAGGAAATTGGGGCCAAAAGAGGCCAAATAATTTGTGCCAGGTCACAGGATTAATTCATGGCAGGAGGCTTCTAATCTCCTTATGGCTGGTAGGACGTATGCCTACTTCTGAACATCTACATAGCAGCCTAGCCTTTTATTTTTTATATCATTCTAAGGTTGTATTTATTTTTTGAATGAGAAGTATGTCCCCATGATTGAAAATCCAGAAGGCACAAAAACTCATGCTTCTTTTCCTCTTCTCCAGCCACCCCATATTGGTACTGGTTTCTTTTGTATCCTTAGAGAGATGGTCTATACACCTAAGTACAGAGTAAAACGTGTGTGTGTGTGTGTGTGTGTGTGTGTGTGTGTGTGTGTGTGTCTGTGTTTAAGCATATGATACACTCTGCTTTGCCCTTTGATTTTATATTTTCATTTTTTAAAATTTTTTACAACGTCTTGCTCTTGTCACTCAGGCTGAAGTGCAGTGGCGCCATCTCGGCTCACTGCAAACTTGCCTCCCGGGTTCAAGTGATTCTCCTGCCTCAGCCTCCTGAGTAGCTGGGATTACAGGTACCTGCCACCACACCCAGCTAATTTTTGTACTTTAGTAAAGATAGGGTTTTGCCATGTTGGCCAGCATGGTCTCTATCTCCTGACCTCGTGATCCGCCTGCCTCGGCCTCCCAAAGTGCTGGGATTACAGGCATGAGCCACCATGCCCAGCCTTGCCCTTTGATTTTTGCACTCAGCCATATATCACTCCTAGTGCTTTAATTCATCCTTCATGCTATCTCTTGGTCAAATTCTCCTGAGTGCTCCTGGAACCTCTCTTACCAGCTGCTGATCTTTCCTTGCCTCCAAACTTGCACTCACCTCCTAACTTCCCTCCTGCATGGTTCTGAGGCCTCCCCTCCATGCTCTATGTGTTACCAGATGTATCTTCCTACATTGTTTTTCTCCCCTGCTCTAAACCCTTCCATAGCTCCCCTTGTGTGAAGTTCATGGCCCACCCTACCCTGCCCATGCCACCCTCCTGTCCACAAATATGCATACCCTCCTCTCTCCCCTTGGGATGGGGCATTCCCTTGGGTTAAAGGTGCCTTCTCCCAAATTCTCTCCCTTTCTAAATCCTGCCTTTCTTTCAGAAAACTGCTCAAAAGCTACTTCCTCCATGAAATCTTCCTCCCCTCACGTTCCCACAAGAAGTCGTTTTTCCCTTCCTGGCCCAGGCATAGCATTGAGTGTCTACCCCTTTGCACCAGAGTTGTTTGTTTCCATCTTATACACCTTCTAGACTGAAGGTTTCATAGGGGCAGGGATTGTGCTTGTCTTACACATTTTTGCATCTTTCACTTAACCTGAAGCAGTGTTTGTGCACCCTGTCCGGATCACCTAACAGACAGCTGTTGGATGGAGAGCTGGCAAGGCTCACATTGCACAGTCATATGATCTCTACTGAGAGGCATAAGTTAATCAGAAGCTTAGAACTTACTTCCCCTAGAAGCCATAACTAGGCAGAACCAAAGGGAATGGAGACCTGAGCCATTCCTACTTTTTTGTGGGGGATACTTTTACATCATAAGTTGCATGTTTTCCTCCTTAGGATGTAGCTCACACAAAGTCATACTCATCTTTGTATCTACTATAGCTTCTAGGGCAGGGTATTAAATATAGGCACTCAAGAAAAGCTCAACTAAATAAAAATGATGGAGTAGAAAGACCCACTAAACTGATTGGTTTACGATGAACTGACATACATACGCTGTCCTGGGTGGTGATTGTTTTTGGCAGAGCCTAGATCACAAGGGTATTTTACATTTCCTTCTGACACTAAAATCTGCAATTTCAAGGATGGGTCTGGAATGTCCAGACATTTTAGCTAGGGCAGTTGTTCTAAAAGCGTGGTTCCAGGACCAGCATCATCAGCATCACCAGAAAACTTGCTAGTGATGCTAAGCACATTCTTGTGTCTCATTCTAGATCCGCTGAATCAGGAACTCTTGGGTGGGGTCCAGCCATCCACATTTTCACACAACTTCCAGGTGCTTCTGATGACAAGTTTGAGAGCCACTGAGCTACAGGTGCCGAGAGTCCCTGCAAGCCCAACACCTCCCCGCTCCATACCCGGGCTACTTCATATGTACAGGAGGCCCTGGCCTCCTCTGCAATGTCAGATTGGCATTAAGAGGACAGTGCACACTTCTCAGGGCTCTGTGAGTCACCCATGGGAAATTTTGTCATTCAGTGTGAACAGGAAATCAACAAACTATGAAGAATATTTAGAACAGGAATGGCATGCCATTATGTTGCTTACGATTATTTATTCACACTGAAAAAACAAGCTTTTCATTAAGCAGGGAAAGAACTAGGCACATTAGAAAATAAAATAGTTAACTTATTGTATTGTGTGAAAATGTTTTATTTATATCAATAGCTGGCTGAAGTTAATGTATAAAATATAAAAAGTTTTACCTTTTTGTAGCGGCATATAGTAACTATCTAACATTCAGGTGCATTAAAATGTAGGTAACTCATTTTAGAGAGAGAAGCAAAGCTCTGCTTTTTAGGGTTGATGATGAGTACGCTGCCCAGCCCCTGGCCTGTGGTAATGACCTTAGGGTACATGCATCTACTGCTACTGCTGTGTGTATATTTCAGTGTCTTCAAGAGCTTCAGTGTTGCACTGGAAGTTTGAAGGACTGTTTTAGAGGTGAGTGTGGAAGGCTTAATGTGTTTGCTTCATCTCCTTGGTCCTTCCTCTTTAGGCAATTTTCTGCATCTGACCTAAAACACAATAGAGAGTTCCGGCTCTGCTGTGGATGGAGAGACAGAGCTGGTTCTTTCCAGCTTCTCACTAGGAAGGAATGGGATGTATCTGCCCAGGTGCATGAGCAAGTGCCTGTGGAAGAAGTGGCGCAGGTACTTCCGGAACCTCTCTCCAACAAAGGCGTAGATCACCGGGTTCATGCAGCAGTGGGAGTAGGCGATCACCTCTGTCACCAGCATGACCAGGTCCAGATGCTTGCTCCGCTCACAGTCATTTCCAAATAAGATGGATTGATAGGAAGAGAGAAGGATAGCCACATTGTAGGGTGTCCAGAAAATGAAAAACACCGCCATGATGACAAAAATGAGCCGGATGGCCTTGTACTTTTTTTTACTGGGGCACCTCAGCAGCGTTTTGATGATTCCTGTGTAGCAGATGGCCATAACGAGCAGAGGGAGAACGAGACAGAAGATGGTCATTCTCAGAGTGTGGAAATGCCTCCAGCTATATACTGTATCCTCTGGGTAAAGAGCACTGCAAAGAGTCTCTTCAAACAACTCTTCAGTCTCATAGAAGATAAATTCAGGAAGAGCTGCTAGCACTGCCAGGCCCCAGGTGACGATGCTGGTGATGACACCAAAAGTGACAGTCCGGGCTCGAAGGGCAAACACAGCATGGACAATGGCCAGGTACCTGTCGATTGTCAGCAGGATTATGAAAAAGATCTCGCTGTACAAGCCTGTGTGATAAAACCCTGAGAGGAGCTTACACATGCCATGGCCAAAAACCCAGTTATGCCCCCTGACATAGTGGATCCAGAATGGAAGGGTGACGAGGAAGAGCAGGTCCGAAATGGCCAGGTTGAGCAGGTAGATGTTGGTCATAATTCGGAGCCTCCTGTATTTTATGAGGATCATCACCACCACCACATTGCCCAAGAGGCCCACAGTGAACACCAGGGAGTACAGCGGGGGCACAAACTGGGCCATCAGTGCTCTGGTATCAGCTTTTTCACAGAGCAGGCCCACGTCATCATAGTAGGATGTGGTACCAAAGGTCTCAACTGTATCTAGTGAGGTTGTCATTTCACTTCTCCCTGTGATAGAAGAAGAAAAATACAATCCCACAATGAAGCATAATCATCCTTCGTAAAACACACCAGTTGATTTATTCATGTACTCAACAAAGATGCCACATGTGATAGCAGCCTAGGGATTCTTTAACATGAATTTCAAAAGGCATATCAGAGGTGCCAGGAAAAGGATTGAGGAAGGAAAGAGCTGAAGCTTTCAAAGTTAGCATGACCCGGCATGGGAAAAGAAGCAGAAATGTTGTGGGGTGGTGGTGAAGAATGGGGATACAGATTTCTGAAAGCATTTAAAGGAAGAAATACAAAACAGGAAAAAACAGGCTAGATAATGATAACAATATAATAATCATTATTATTACTACTGTCTCTTACGGCATTTTGCATTTTATGTTTTACAGTTTACATATACCTTAAAAATCCTTATCCATTTAAAAGCAAAATATGTATAATAATAATAACAATGATTATTACAATTACAAGTAATTATGCTTCTCCAGGGCCCCATAATGATGAGCCATTCATTATAGTTAATGGGGAAATTGAACCTTGAAGAAATTTAGTAATTTGTTCAAAATCCTCTAACAAGTAAATATAAAATTTGGGCTAGATCTTTAGTCTCTATCCATGTCCATTTCTCCTGTCACTAGATTCAAATGTAGTGATTTTTAAATTTAACTTTTGAAAAATTTGCTACGGACTTGAGGAACCTGGCTTGTGTGCTCTTAACAGCATTCTTATTCCAAATGGCATAATCCAATCCACAGCAGCTGTGAAAAAAATACACATTTTGTCTGTTACACATGTACAATCACAGTAATTAACTATTACAATAATTACAATTATAAGCAGCATTAGTTTAGGTTACTTTCCTTTTCTTGCCCCTGGTGATGCTGAGTTAGGCCTGGTAACATGCAAAAAGCAAACCCCTGGGAGCTTCTCCATCACAAAGGGGTAAGCAGGAGGGGTCAGTCAATGGGATTTCTCACTGGACTTGATATTTCTTAGGCCAGGAGCCCTAAGGCCAGTGCCTGCTTTTCTTGAGATTATAGACTTCGGTGGAAAAGGAGGAAAATAGAAAACAGATAAGGCAGGAGTCATGGAAGGACAGTTAAGCCATGCACTAGTTCCTCAGAGGGCATCCAACTGACTTTCTCCTTTCTAGGAGGAAGGGACAAGGGTGAAGATGTGAATATACAGGCCGATGGGCATTTCTCAAGGTAAATCTGAGAAATGCTTAATAACTGGGGCCAATGCGGGGAATTGTTTTTGCTTCTTAATAGAATAATTGATCGAATACTGAGGCCCCACATGTTGGGGTTCTGGGTAGTCAAAGTCAGTGAGAATAGAGATGGAAATGGAGCCAGTCCTAGCGCCTCTCAGCTGCGTGCCTTGGACAAGCCCTTAATGCAGAGCCTCCTTTACTTATATCGAAAGTGAGGACCATTGGGTCACTTGGGGTTGTGATGAGGAAAAATGAGAGTGTATGTGAGTTCACATTTGAAACCAGAAAAAGCTGTAAAACTGGTAGGAAGCAGGAATGAAAGAAGGACAATTAGAAGCCATTTCAAATGAAATTAGGAAAAATAGGGTCCCTTGGGTGGAACTTGTTGATCTCTTTTCATGGGTCTGTCCAGGTACATCTCCCACTGATCAATGGCACATTCCAGGCTTTTGAGGAGGAAAATGGACTGAGGAACAAATGGTTTGTGTGTGCTCCCATCAGCATTCTTATTCATAATAGCATAATCCAATCCATAGCAGCTGAGAAAAAAAATACACATTTTGTCAGTTACACACGTACAATCACAGAGTGTCCTTCTGCACTTCAGCATCTAAAGCAAGAAAAGAACAGAACTGCTAATTCTGGAGAACAAAGGTATAGTAGCCTGTATTCACCGTTAATTATTTGTATTTATTTTCCTTTTTCTCCAAGAGTGATTTAAAAACAGGTCAAACTTTAAAAAAATTACTTAAGTTTTGCTCAGTTTGAGGGTAGTGTCTTTAATTCATGTGTTATTTCTATAAAATCAACATGATCGGGATGATAAACCATAGAACCTTTTGGTTTGGGTTTCAGGGCTGCCTATGAGCTTTTAGCACTGAAGTTCACAGCTCAAGAAAGCATGCAGGTCCTCCAGAGTCAGCAGCCAAGTCCTTGATTACTAGCTGCATGGGATCAGAGACAGAAAATCTCATATGGGCAGGGGACCTTGGCTCATGCCTGTAATCCCAGTACTTTGGGAGGCCCAGGTGGGAGGCTCACCTGAGCCCAGGAATTCAAGACCAGCCTGGACAATATAGTGAGATCCTATCTCTACAAAAAAATAAGAAATTAGCCAGGCATGGTGGCGCATACGTGTGGTCCCAACTACTTGGGGGGCTGAGGTGGGAGAATCCCTTGAGCCTAGAAGGTTGAGGCTGCAGTGAACTGTGATCACGCCGCTGCACTCCAGCCTGGGCGACAGCCAGACTCCATCTCAAAAAATAAATAAATAAATAAATAATTAAAAATTAAAAAATTAAAAACCTGATATGGTTTTCACCTGTCTACCCAGTCTCAATCAAGGTGAATACTTAGATACAAAATAGTGAAGAGGTTTGAATTAGGCTTTCAAAATGGCCTTTTACATTTTGGAAAACGATAGGGTAATCGTAAATAAGTAAGAACAATAAGAAAGAAGAGCACAAAAACGAAAGTAAAAATCACCCAATCTCCTCATGCAGCATTTACCACTGTTAACATATCTCTGTGCAGATATGGATGCCCGTGTGCAAGATTTACAAAAGTGAGGTCAACTAAAATTACTCACAATACAACTCAGCAGTGAAATGTGCAATGATTCTTTAGTCTCCAAACTATTTTGGTCTCTGTTACCAGCTTCTCATCTGCTGGATAGCAGGAAAAAGGATTCACACATTTTAGTCCAAAGTGGTTTAAACTTCTCTTGATTCATTCATTTGAACAATGATTTTAGGTTTTACTCATCCTCTTTATGCTGTCAGCTTATAATTTCAGTTTCTTCTTTCAGTGTTCCTTTCTAAGATGGTGGCAGAGATCTGGAGGAAGGGCCACTACAACTTGAGACATGGGGCAGAGTGGGAAGGGGGTGTTCCTGTCTCCTGTTGGTCCTTGATTTATATGACTGGTGTCTGCTGAGTGGGGGTGACCTGGTTCCAACGCTGAGCCTTTTTCTGGAACCTGCTGTGGTGGTTTGTAGCTAATATACTCATGAGGTATTCATTCTTAGTCTTCCTTGGGCTGGAATGGAGAGCCCTCTCTGTTACCACTACGCCTCCACCAGGGCCCTGGCCCTGGCCCAGGCTATGCACCTTTTCCTGCACTGGTAGGCACTGAGGCAAGGCTGCTGCTCCTTGACTCCCTGCCCATGCCATGAACAAACCGAGGAACTCTCAAGAGTACAAACTAGATCTTTTTTTTCTGCCTGACCACCAACTTAACTGCACTGGCCATCCCATCTGGTAAGGAAGTGCCCCACAGGGAGACATTCCTTGGGGGTCCCCATCTTAGCAGAGAGCGCTCCATGCCCCCTAGCTCTGATGGGGAAGGTAGGGATCCACAGGTGTGACTGCTTCCTTTCATAACCACTGTGTCTCTTCTCACATTCCCTGGGGTCAGAGGAGAGGAGCCTCCTCCTCTCCATTCTTATCTGACAAATTTTAAAACACTATGTGTTGAATAACCATCCTCTCCCCTTTGGGCTTGAAATATCACCTTTGTCGTATATTCTTTAATGTTCCTGAATCTGATTTTGTACCTTATATTCTATTGATATCTTATTTCTGTGCTAGAGACACTTTTTATTGTAGATTTATTAGATGATTTATATAGATGATCTTATTATGCAACTCCCTTTCATTATACATTTCCAAATGTCTTACCTATTAGAGCCATTTGTTTTATTAAACTTTAGGATCATCTACTCAATTACTTATAAAAACATAAGTTTGGGTGGAATTGTGTTACATTTGTAAATAAATTTAGGAAGAATTGATAACTTTACAATATCAAGGTTTTATACCTGGGAATGTGATTTTGATCTGTTTTGAAGGTTATTTAAAGGTTATTTCAACATGAAGAAAGAGGATAATAAAGAACAAAAGTTAAATGAACATAGAAAGTAGGAGGGAGAGAAAGAATGAGAGAGAGAATCTTATGTGGTTAAACTGGATAAAATTGAATGAATTTATTACAAGGATTTTAAAATGGGCTTTCAATATCAAAGTACACTGATGCAAAACTAGAATTTGGTCTTCTTTCTGTTAAAAACCACAAAGTTTTCTTGGATTATTAGTCTACTCTTGATAAGAGTAATGAAAGTGTTTTCTCTGCCTTTTAAGTGATCTGCCTAAAAGAGCAGATTTTATTTCTCATCAAAATAATTTCCTCTGCCTCATGTTGTGTTTATCAAGATCTTTGATTACTTAAGAAAATAGAGTTATTTGTGTTACAGGAACTAAGATTTTTCATTTTTGTTTTCTTAACTATTGCCCAAGACCATTGGAACTCACCTCTTACATCTGCATAACCTGGATGCAAGACATGGAGTCAAAGGAGATCATTCTGGAGCTTTAAGGTTTGACTGCCCTGCTGGATTTTGAATTTGCATGGGGCCTGTAGCCCCTTTGTTTTGGCCAATTTCTCCCATTTAGAATGGCTGTATTTACCCAATGCCTGTACCCTCATTGTATCTAGGAAGTAAGTAACTTGCTTTTGATTTTACAAGTTCATAGGCAGAAGGGACTTGCCTTGTCTCAGATGAGATGTTGGACTGTGGACTTTTGAGTTAATGATGAAATGAGTTAAGACTTTGGGTGACTGTTGGGAAGGTATGATTGGTTTTGAAATGTGAGGACATGAGATTTGGGAGGGGCCGGGGTAGAATGACATGGTTTGGCTGTGTCCCCACCCAAATCTCATCTCGAATTGTAACACCCACAATCCCCATGTGTCGTGGGAGACACACGGTGGGAGGTGATTGAATTATGGGGGTGGGTTTTTCCTGCACTGTTCTCCTGATAGTGAATGAGTCTCACGGGATCTGATGGTTTTTAAAAGGGGAGTTTCCCTGCACAAGCTCTTCTTCTCTTGTCTGCCACCATATGAGATGTGCCTTTCACCTTCCCTCATGATTGTGAGGCCTCCCCAGCCATATGAAACTGGAAGTCCAATAAAACTCTTTCTTTTGTAAATTGCCCAGTCACAGGTATGTCTTCATCAGCAGCATGAAAATGGACTAATACAACTATGTAACTTTCTGTATTTGCCTTTGAAATCTTTTACTTGTCACTTTGGCTAAATGGATACCTAAGTATTGTTTCACAGTGAACTATGATCCTATTTAATCAAGTGCTTTAAATCTTTAGACATTTTTGACAACCTTCCTAAATCAATTCTACATACAGTCTTTTTTTACCTTAAGCTAACTTTGGAATTTTGCAGAGAGCCTCTGGAAAAACCTCAAAGGAATTTATTCTCTCCTTATATTATAAAAAGAGAGATGTTAGACTAATTAAGTTTATTTAACATATTACATTGCATGGGAAGAACTGCCAAATAAGAAATAATGTTAAATCTTCTTTATGTTATATTTGTATAGATATATCTTATTAATATGTGTTTCAGAAATTATATGAATTTCCTAAATATCAGATATGTCCTGGTATAATTTTACCAGCCATGTGTTGTATATCAGCCATATGTTGTATATATTTTATCAGCCAAAATGTTGTATATCACAGAAATAACCAAATTTCTTCTTCAACTGCATTATAGTAAATTCTCAGGGGCATTTTAAACCATTGTTCATCCACAGCAGTTATTGTTTTACTCTGGTGCTTTCCTGAAAGCTTTTGCAAATACCTTATGGTACAAAATGACATGAAATTCATAGAAAGACTCTGACACATACAGGTTTCTGACAGTTTTGAACTAGGGTTGTTTCTAGCCTTACAGTCCTGCAAGCTGAAGTTGAATTACCTAAAATAAACTTCAGAGAAATCACCACAACAGCTTGTATATGAACATCTTTTGTGCATGTTGCTGCACAGCCACTCAGAAAGTTCCCTGGACCTCCACTGACATTACCAGAGACATTCAAACTGCAAGCCAAGAAAATCTATTAGAGTGAAACAGCCATATTTTTTAAAATGCTGTTTCTATGTCATTGAATCAGGAATTGTAGCCCTAAATCTTAGAGATCTAAGAGATCAGATCCTACTATTCTACCAGATCAGGGAAGCACAATTGATTGGCTAAATCTTGGCTCTTAAGTAGGTTGGTTTGGTTGGTTTTGGGGTATTTTTCAGACTCTTGGTATTATCCTCCTATTAGTCATATTGATAATATCCCTTATGCAATGTAGTCTCACAAGGATCTTAAATGCTTGTCAGCAGCCACTAACTCAACAGTTGATCTCCGTGAGGATTGAAAACCAAAACTATATGAATAAGAGTCATCAAAATAACTTACTGAGATTCTAGTTTGTGACCTATAAATGTCTACAGAAAGGAAAGCAACATGTAGTAACCAAGGGTAATAGCCAGTCACATTCTCAGTTCAAGCGAGAGGATGACCAAAAGTGGGGAATTGTTAAAGAAAAATAAAAATGAAGGCCACAGTTTAGATATGTCCCAAGGCCCAGTGCTGATCATATTCTTGAAAAACACAATCCCAAATGCTATAATGTTGAAATCCCAAAAGATCAAAATCACAATCCTAAAAGACTAAAATTCCTAATGTTGAAATCCTGAAAGCTGAATTCTGGGGAAGGATTAGTGCATTTCTGGTTGTACACACCGTAGTTGCATAATGTTAGTTGCATCGTGTTAAGAAGAACTATTACTTGCTATTATCTTTATTTGGAAATTAAGTATGGTTTAAGGAGATGTGTATGCATGTCAACTTGACAAAGGGTGGATCTGTGGACTTAATTTTAGATGTCAACATGACTGAGTAAAGGAATAACTAGAAACTTGTTGAAGCATTGTATTGAGTGTGTCTGTGAAAGTGTTTCCAGAGATTACTGTGTGAGTCTGAGTGGATTAGGTGGGAAAGATCTGCTTTCAGGGTTGACAGGCACCATCCAATCAGCTGGGGGCCTGAAGAGAACAATTACAGAACGCAAATTGGTCTGTCTTTGAGAGCTGGAACAGACTTTTCTTCTGTTGCTTTAGACATCAGAAATCCAGGCTCACCAGCCTTTGAAC
The DNA here is from genome assembly GCF_000001405.40 of Homo sapiens. Classification (NCBI taxonomy): domain Eukaryota; kingdom Metazoa; phylum Chordata; class Mammalia; order Primates; family Hominidae; genus Homo; species Homo sapiens. The sequence goes on along the minus strand of NC_000003.12, from coordinate 46,257,926 downwards.
TATACAACTACCCACCTCCCCCAACTCAGTGGCTTTCAGCCTAGGACTGAGAGTTACAACATTGGCTTCTCTGTTTCTGAGGCCTTCAGAGTTACACTGAGCCACACTACCTGTATTCCAGGGTCTCCAGCTTGTAGATGGTCTGTTGTGGGACTTCTTAGCCGCCTTAATTGTGAGCCAATTATCCTAATAAATCCCATCTCATATATCTACATACATATCCTATTGGTTCTGTCTCTGGAGAACCCAGACTAATATAGATTTGGTATTGAGGAAGCTGAGTATCATCCTTCTTACTGGAATGATATGCCATTATGGTTTTAAATACTAATACATGTTAAGGACTCTCAAATTGATGTCTTAAGCCCTGACCCAAATTCCTACTCAAAATTTCATCTTAAGTGTCTAATGAGCATCACAATATTCCATTACTCTTCCTTTACTCTCAATGGAAGAGACTGGTGAACTTTTTTCCCAGAAAAAAAAAAAAAAAAAAAAAGCCTGGGACAAGCTAAGTGTATGAGGTTACTTTAATGGTGAAAGATAACAATGTTAAAGTTGATTATTATTGGTGCTACAAAAGCACCAATCCTTTAATTGCAACAGCCAAGCAATAAACGGACTTTTAAATGGACAGCATATACTTAGGCAATGTGTAGACAACAACGACTCTCCAAATACAAGTGCAGCAAGTGTTTTGAAGAGCTTAGAAGTGAAAACACACGGAAAAAATACAAGAAATTTCCCTTGCCAAGTTACTCAATTGTGTATCACTTCTGTTCCTTCACCCCTAGTGCCAATTCACTATGCTATGTATTTAATCTTTGCATCATTTTCAGTAGTGGAGTTATAAACTGTGTAAAGACATTTAGAGAGTTTTATTATGTTTTATGCAATTTTTTTTTGCAAATTTGACTCCTGAAGGTACATTACTACTACAACTTTGTGTGTAAGCATTGTGTGTGTGTGTGTGTGCACAAATGTGAAGACCTCCTTGATAAATAAACAGATGTCCTTTTTGTGCCTCTGTGTTTGTGAAAGATACAATTTCTCGAGGTCTTGGCTCTTTGGGCAACTGGCAAATATGGTGGTGACCCATCATGATTCTCGATTGATCTCATCCAAAGAATTAGGATGTCCATCACAGTATTTCAGATGACTACAGTTTATAAAGCTGGGTGCACACAATTATTAACTATAGTGATATGCATTTATACATTGTGATTTTTTACGCAATTTATTTATGAATAAAATTTTGACACTATTTATTTATGAATAAAATTCATCTGCTCATAACTGTTATACCCTTGTGACTGTTGTTAGTATACCTGAGTGTTTATGCTTGCAAAAATATATATATTATTCCCTATTGTGAAGTGTTCTGTTGTGTTTTTATAAGTTTTTCAAAATAAATCCACCTATAGGAATATAAATAAATGTCTTTTAAATTATTGTTTTCAGAGTTATATTTTCAGGATTTTAATATTTTGGGATTGTGGTTTTGGATTTAAAATTTTAGTCTTTCTGGATTTCAACATTTGGGATTATGGCATTCAGGATTGTGTTTTTCAGGATTACAGCCCAAACTCCTCAAGGCCAACCACCCATAGCCACATAGCCAAGACTGAAGTCATCCTGATTTCCCTGAAAAGCCAGATGTAATAATAAATGAAACACAAAATATAAAGTTTATGTCATTGTCAGCATGATTCAGTGAAATTAAACCAATCTGCTATAGACAAATCAGCTTTAAATGTTCTTGTTGCAACACCATGTTAATGTATAACAGCAAATCACAAAAAAAGTTCAAAATACTGAAAGATCTCTGCAAGGAAAACTACAAAACACTGCTGAAAGAAATCATAGATGACACAAAAAATGGAAACACATCCCATGCTCATGGATGGGTAGAATCAATATTGTGAAAATGACCATACTGCAAAAAACAACCTACAAATTCATGTAATTTCCATCTCAATACCACCATTATTCTTCACAGAACTTGAAAAAAAATCCCAAAATTCACATGGAACCAAAAAAGAGCCCACATTGCCAAAGCAACACAGCAAAAAGAACAAACCTGGAGGCATCACGTTACCCAGCTTCAAACTACACTATTAATATAAGGCCATAGTCACCCAAACAGAATGGTACTGGAATAAGAACAGGCATATAGACCAATGGAACAGAATAGAGAACCCAGAAATAAACCCAAATACTTAAGGCAAACTGATTTTCAACAAAGCAAACAAAAACATAAAGTGGGGAAAGGACACCCTATTCAACAAATGGTGCTGGGATAATTGGCTAGCCATGTGTAGAAGAATGAAACTGGATCCTCATCTCTCACCATAGACAAAAATCAACCCAAGATGGATCAAAGACTTAAATCTAAGACCCAAAACCATAAAAATTTTAGAAGATAACCTCAAAAGAACTCTTCTAGACATTGGCTTAGGCAAAGAGGTCATGACCAAGAACCCAAAAGCAAATACAACAAAAACAAAGATAAATAGATGGGACTTAATTAAACTAAAAAGCTTCTGCACAGCAAAAGAAATAATCAGCAGAGTAAACAGACCACCAACAGATTGGGAGAAAATCGTTGCAATCTACACATCTGATAAAGGTCTAATATCCAGAATCTACAAGGAACTCAAACAAATCATCAAGAAAAAAACAAATAATCCCATCAAAAAGTAGGCTAAGGACATGAATAGACAATTCTCAAAAGAAGATATACAAATAGCCAACGAACATATGAAAAAATGCTCAACACCACTAATTATCAGGGAAATGCAAATCAAAACCACAATGTGATACTGCCTACTCTTGCAAGAATGGCTATAATAATAAAAAAAAAAATAGATGTTGGCGTGGATGTGGTGAAGAGAACACTTTATGCTGTTGATGGGTATGTAAACTAGTACAACCCCTATGGAAAACAATGTGGTGATTCCTTGAAGAATTAAAAGTCGATCTATCATTTGATCCATCAATCCTACTCCTGGGTATCTACCCAGAGGAAAATAAGTCACTATATGAGAAAGATACTTGCACACACATTTATAGCAACACCATGGTATACTACTCAGCCATGAAAATGAATGAAATAATGGCATTTGCAGCAACCTAGATGGAATTAGAGATCATTATTCTAAGTTAAGTAACTCAGGAATGGAAAACCAAACATTGTACATTGTCACTCATAAGTGAGAGCTAAGATGTGAGGATGCAAAGGCATAAGAAAGATAAAATGGACTTTGGGGACTCAGGGGAAAGGATGGGAGGGGAGTGAGGGATAAAAGACTACACATTGAGTACAGTGTACACACTGCTCAGGTGATGGGTGCACCAAAATCTCAGAAATCACCACTAAAGAAATTATTCATATAACAAACACCACCTGTTCCCCTAAAACCTATTGATTTTTTTTTAAAAAAGAACTTTGAACCCAGGGGGGAAAAATACTTCCCCTTTATGCTTTATAAACTATGCTGTAAGTGCTCTAAGTGGGAATCCCTACACTTTCAGATCTATGTCTCCTCACTCCCAAACTGTTCTTTTGTGTGCACAATAAACTTCTGCAACTTTAAATTTTGATCTGATTTTATTTTTGACAAATGTAAAGTTTCTTTTATTCTCCCCTTTCTCAATTTCCTCTCCTCCTCAGAGGGGAGTTTGTTGTCGAGCCCTCTTGATATTTGTTTATGTACTTATACACATAATTGTAAGTGGCTTTTTGGTACATAAATCAGGACCTCACATGGCACCCATTTCATTGCTGGATAATTCTATTCAGGGTGTTCTTGAGTGGTGGCTGAATTTATATACATAATTATAAGTGGCTTTTTGGTACATAAATCAGAGTAGGAAATATCAAGTTTTCTGTGACTTTTTAAACTTTATGTCTTGGAAATCTTTCTATGTCAATACTTGTAGAACTGTCTCATTCTTTGGTACATAAATCAGAGTAAGAAACATCAAGTTTTCTGAGCCTTTTTAAACCTTACATCTTGGAAATCTTTCTATATCAATACTTGTAGAACGGCCTCATTCTTTCTAATAGCGAGATGGTATTCCACTGTGTGGAATTTAAACAGTTTTCTATTAACAGAATTTAGATTACCCACACTGGGCATCAACACAAAATTTACCAGTATAACAAACCTGCACATTTACCCCTGAACCTAAAATAAAAGTAGAACAAAAATACTCCAAAAGAATCCGGTAATTCTAGTTTCCCTTAAAGGTTAACATGTGATGGGGTTAATAAAGAAACTTCCTGCATGTAAACTTAGTTAAATTTAATCTTAATTTAATCTAAATTAATAAAAGTGTTATATGCAGATAGTGGGAAGGATCATTTCACAGCATCCGAAAGTGGTCCAAATATGTCCAGGGCTCATTTAATGCAAACATTGACCAATTGAAATGCAGTCAAGAGGAAGCTTTACCCAGTAAAGATGAGTTGAAGAAGCCAAGCGTATCCATCCTGGAGAAAATCCACTTTGGGGAGGGGAGAGAGTATGATACTGGCTGGGCAGATGAGAATCAGAATTATGTGTGACTCCCTGCAAAGCCTCCCAGAACCAGCAAGAGGTAGTTCAAAGATGCAAATTCAACCACCACTCAAGAACACCTTGAGTAGAATTATCCAGCAATGAAATGGGTGCCATGTGAGGTCTTGAGTGAGCTGTGACTGGAGGAATTCACTCAGAGGCTGAGTGACTTCCTATCAGGGACGGGGTAGAAGGGATTCCCCCAGAGGGAGGAAGATTGGCTAGAGCAGCATTTCTCAGTCCTGGCTGCATGTGGGAGTCACTGGGGAGCTCTTGAAAATCCCCAGCTTATAACCCTGAACAATTAAATCAGAGTCTCTGGAGATGGGGTCTGGCTCTCAGTGGTTCTTAATGCTCTTCTGGTGATTCCCTTGTGCAGCCAAGGTTGACAACTCCTGGACTATGTGACATGAAGTCCCTCCTAAATTTGAACTTTTTTTTTTTAAATCCCTGAGTCATGTAACCCTCCAACCTATTTTAAATGTAGTGGAAAGAAAAGGGGAAACTTAGGGGTAGAATAAAGAATATCCTTAGTTGCAAGTTCTTTAGAAGCTATCACCATGAATGGCAAACACAAGAGCCAATTTAATGGTAGGCTATATTGCTGTATCATCCAGAACAAATGAAATCTACCACCTGACTCTCCATCCACCTCTCCACCAGCTATCCCTTCTTGTTTCCATCCAATTACCCATCTAGATATTCAACTTGCTTCCCATCTATGCAATTAAGCTGATCCCCTCCCACTTCCTTCCCTTCCTTCATTTCTTTTCTCAAAAAACCTGGAGTATCCAGAAAAGTTAGTTATCTGTGCAGTGGTCCAATAGAATTTTTCTGTATTAGTGGAAATGTTCTGTATCTGTGCTGTCTGATAAGAGAGACACTTGGCTGGGTGCTGTGGCTCATGCCTACAATCCCAGCATCTTGAGAGGCCAAGGTGGGTGGATCATTTGAGGTCAGGAGTTCAAGACCAGCTTGGTCAACATGGTGAAACCTTGTCTCTACTTTAAAAAAAAAAAAATTAGCTGGGCAGTAGTGGTGCACCCCTGTAATTCCAGCTACTCGGGAGGCTGAGGCAGGAGAATCTCTTGAGCCTGGGATGCGGAGTTTGCTGTGAGCTGAGATCGTGCCACTCCACTCCAGTCTGGGAGACAGAGTAAGACCCTGTCTCAAAAAAAAAAAAAAAAAAAAAAAAGACAGAAACTAGCCTCATGGCTATTGAGCACTTGAAATGTGGCTACTGCAATTGAGAAACTGAACTTTTCATTTTATTTAATTTAAATAACCACATGTAGAAAGTGTCAGGCCTCTGAGCCCAAGCCAAGCCATTGCATCCCCTGTGACTTGCACATATATGCCCAGATGTCCTGAAGTAACTGAAGAATCACAAAAGAAGTGAATATGCCCTGCCCCACCTTAACTGATGACACTCCACCACAAAAGAAGTGTAAATGGCTGGTCCTTGCCTTAAGTGATGACATTACCTTGTGAAAGTCCTTTTCCTAGCTCATCCTGGCTAGGTGATTTTAAATCACCCCCACTGAGCACCTTGTGACCCCCACTCCTGCCTGCCAGAGAACAAACCCCCTTTGACTGCAATTTTCCTTTACCTACCCAAATCCTATAAAACAGCCCCACCCTTATCTCCCTTTGCTGACTCTCTTTTCGGACTCAGCCCGCCTGCACTCAGGTGAAATAAACAGCCATGTTGCTCACACAAAGCCTGTTTGGTGGTCTCTTCACAAGGATGCACATGAAATTTGGTGCCGTGACTCGGATTGTGGGACCTCCCTTGGGAGATCAATCCCCTGTCCTCCTGTTCTTTGCTCCGTGAGAAAGATCCACCTACGACCTCAGGTCCTCAGACCGACCAGCCCAAGAAACATCTCACCAACTTCAAATCCAGTAAGCGGCCTCTTTTTACTCTCTTCTCCAACCTCCCTCACTATCCCTCAACCTCTTTCTCCTTTCAATCTTGGCGCCACACTTCAATCTCTCCCTTCTCTTAATTTCAATTCCTTTCATTTTCTGGTAGAGACAAAGGAGACACCTTTTATCCATGGACCCAAAACTCCGGCGCCGGTCACAGACTGGGAAGGCAGCCTTCCCTTGGTGTTTAATCATTGCAGGGACGCCTCTCTGATTATTCACCCACGTTTCAAGGGTGTCAGACCACGCAGGGACGCCTGCCTTGGTCCTTCACCCTTAGCAGCAAGTCCCACTTTTCTGGGAAAGGGGCAAGTACCTCAACCCCTTCTCTCCATGTCTCTACCCCTTCTCTGCTTTTCTGGGGGAGGGGCAAGTACCCCTCAACCCCTTCTCCTTCACTCTTAGTGGCAAGTCCCACTTTTCTAGGGGGCAAGAACCCCCAATCCCTTATTTCTGCACCCCAACCTCTTATCTCTGCACCCCAATCCCTTATTTCCTCACCCTGACCTCTTATCTCTGTGCCCCAATCCCTTATTTCCGCACCCAGACCTCTTATCTCTGTGCCCCAATCCCTTATTTCCATGCCCCAACCCCCCTTCCCGCTTTTCTGGAGGGTAAGAACCCCTGAACCCCTTCCCTCCATGTCTCTACTCTCTCTTTTCTCTGGGTTTGCCTCCTTCACTATAGGCAAAATTCCACCCTCCATTCCTCCTTCTTCTCCTTTAGCCTGTGTCCTCAAGAACTTAAAACCTCAACTTACACCTGTCCTAAAACCTAAACGCCTTATTTTCTTCTGCAACACTGCTTGGCTCCAATACAAACTTGACAATGGCTCTAAATGGCCAGAAAATGGCACTTTCGATTTCTCCATCCTACAAGATCTAAATAATTCTTGTCTTAAAATAGGCAAATGGTCTGAGGTGCCTGATGTCCAGGCATTCTTTTACACATCAGTCCCTTCCTAGTCTCTGTGCCCAGTGCAACTTGTCCCAAATCTTCCTTGTTTCCCTCCCGCCTGTCCCCTCAGTCCCAACCCCAAGCATCGCTGAGTCTTTCTAATCTTCCTTTTCTACAGACCCATCTGACCTCTCCCCTCCTTGCCAGGCCAAGCTAGGTCCCAATTCTTCCTCAGCCTCCACTCCTCCACCCTGTAATCTTTTTATCGCCTCACCTCCTCACACCTGGTCCGGCTTACAGTTTCGTTCCATCACTAGCCCTTCCCCACCTGCCCAGCAATTTACTCTTAAAAAGGTGCCTGGAGCCAAAGGCATAGTCAAGGTTAATGCTCCTTTTTCTTTATCCCAAATCAGAAGCGTTTAGGCTCTTTTTCATCAAATATAAAAACCCAGCCCAGTTCATGGCTCATTCGGCAGCAACCCTGAGACGCTTTACAGCCCTAGACCCTAAAAGGTCAAAAGGCCATCTTATTCTCAATATACATTTTATTACCCAATCTGCTCCCGACATTAAATAAAACTCCAAAAATTAGAATCTGGCCCTCACACCCCACAACAGGACTTAATTAACCTCACCTTCAAGGTGTACAATGATAAAAAAAAAAAGTTGCAATTCCCTGCCTCCACTGTGAGACAAACCCCAGCCACATCCCCAGCACACAAGAACTTCCAAACACCTGAACCGCAGTGGCCAGGCGTTCCTCCAGAACCTCCTCCCCGAGGAGCTTGCTACAAGTGCCAGAAATCTGACCACCAGGCCAAGGAATGCCTGCAGCCCAGGATTCCCCCATCTGTGTGGGACCCCACTGGAAATCAGACTGTTCAACTCACCTGGCAGCCACTCCCAGAGCCCCTGGAACTCTGGCCCAAGGCTCTCTGACTGACTCCTTCTTGGCTTAGCGGCTGAAGACTGACACAGCCTGATCGCCTCGGAAGCCCCATAGACCATCACAGATGCCGAGCTTTAGGTAACTCTCACAGTGGAGGGTAAGTCCATCCCCTTCTTAATCAATACAGAGGCTACCCACTCCACATTACCTTCTTTTCAAGAGCCTGTTTCCCTTGCCTCCATAACTGTTGTGGGTATTGATGCCCAGGCTTCTAAACCTCTTAAAACTCCCCAACTCTGGTGCCAACTTAGACAATACTCTTTTATGCACTCTTTTTTAGTTATCCCCACCTGCCCAGTTCCCTTATTAGGCCGAGATATTTTAACCAAATTATCTGCTTCCCTGACTATTCCTGGACTATAGCCGCATCTCATTGCTGCCCTTCTTCCCAATCCAAAGCCTCCTTTGCGTCCTCTTCTTGTATTCCCCCACCTTAACCCACAAGTATAAGATACCTCTACTCCCTCCTTGGCGACCAATCATGCTCCCCTTACCATCTCGTTAAAACCTAATCACCCTTACCCTGCTCAATGCCAAGATCCCATCCCACAGCACGCTTTAAAAGGATTAAAGCCTGTTATCACTCGCCTGCTAAGGCATGGCCTTTTAAAGCCTATAAACTCTCCTTACCATTCCCCCATTTTACCTGTCCTAAAACCAGACAAGCCTTACAAGTTAGTTCAGAATCTGCACCTTATCAACCAAATTGTTTTGCCTATCCACCCCGTGGGGCCAAACCCATATAACCTCCTATCCTCAATACCTCCCTCTACTACCCATTATTCTGTTCTGGATCTCAAACATGCTTTCTTTACTATTCCTTTGCACCCTTCATCCCAGCCTCTCTTTGCTTTCACTTAGACTGACCCTGACACCCATTAGGCTCAGCAAATTACCTGGGCTGTACTGCCACAAGGTTTCACAGACAGCCCCCATTACTTCAGTCAAGCCCAAATTTCATCGTCATCTGTTACCTATCTCGGCATAATTCTCATAAAAACACACGTGCTCTCCCTGCTGATCCTGTCCGATTAATCTCCCAAACCTCAATCCCTTACAAAACAACAACTCCTTTCCTTCCTAGGCATGGTTAGTGCAGTCAGAATTCTTACACAAGAGCCAGGACTGCACCCTGTAGCCTTTCTGTCCAAACAACTTGATCTTACTGTTTTAGCCTAGCCCTCATGTCTGCATGCAGCAGCTGCCACTGCTTTAATACTTTTAGAGGCCCTAAAAATCACAAACTATGCTCAACTCACTCTCTACATTTCTCATAACTTCCAAAATCTATTTTCTTCCTCATACCTGATGCATATACTTTCTGCTCCTTGGCTCCTTCAGCTGTACTCACTCTTTGTTAAGTCTCCCACAATTACCATCATTCCTGGCCCGGACTTCAGTCCAGCCTCCCACATTATTCCAGAAACCACACCTGACCCTCATGACTGTATCTCTCTGATCCACCTGACATTCACCCCATTTCCCCATATCTCCTTCTTTCCTGTTCCTCACCCTGATCATGCTTGATTTATTGATGGCAGTTCCACCAGGCCTAATCACCACACACCAGCAAAGGCAGGCTATGCTATAGTACAAGCCACTAGCCTGCCTCTTAGAACCTCTCATTTCCTTTCCATTGTAGAAATCTATCCTCAAGGAAATCACTTCTCAGTGTTCCATCTGCTATTCTATGTGCTATTCTACTACTCCTCAAGGATTATTCAGGCCCCCTCCCTTCCCTACACATCAAGCTCGAGGATTTGCCCCTGCCCAGGACTGGCAAATTAGCTTTACTCAACATGCCCTGAGTCACAAAAACTAAAATACCTCTTAGTCTAAGTAGACACTTTCACTAGATAGGTAGAGGCCTTTCCTACAGGGTCTGAGAAGGGCACCGCAGTCATTTCTTCCCTTCTGTCAGACATAATTCCTCAGTTTAGCCTTCCCACCTCTATACAGTCTGATAACAGACCAGCCTTTATTAGTCAAATCAGCCAAGCAGTTTTTCAGGCTCTTAGTATTCAGTGAAACCTTTATATCCCTTATAGTCCTCTGTCTTCAAGAAAAGTAGAACGGACTAAAGGTCTTTTAAAAACACACCTCACCAAGCTCAGCCACCAACTTAAAAAGAACTGGACAATACTTTCACCACTTTCCCTTCTCAGAAGTCAGACCTGTCCTCGGAATGCTATAAGGTACAGCCCATTTAAGTTCCTGTATAGATGCTCCTTTTCATTAGGCCCCCAGTCTCATTCCAGACACCGGACCACCTTAGACTGTGCCCCAAAAAAACTTGTCATCCCTACTATTTTCTATCTAGTCATACTCCTGTTCTCTGTTCTCAACTACTCATACATGCCCTGCTCTTGTTTACACTGCCAGTTTACACTGTTTTTTCAAGCCATCACAGCTGATATCTCCTCGTGCTATCCCCAAACCGCCGCTCTTAACTCTTGAAGTAAATAAATAATCTTTGCTGGCAGGACTATGCTGAATCTCCTTAGGCACTCTCTAATCAGATGTCCTAGGTCCTCCCGATTCTTAGACCTTTTATACCTGTTTTTCTCCTTCTCTTATTCCATTTAGTTTTTCAATTCATACAAAACCATATCCAGGCCATCACCAATCATTCTATACGACAAATGTTTCTTCTAACATCCCCACAATATCACCCCTTACCACAAGACCTCCCTTCAGCTTAATCTCTCCCACTCTAGGTTCCCACGCCGCCCCTAATCCCGCTTGAAGCAGCCCTGGGAAACATCGCCCATTCTCTCTCCATACCACCCTCCAAAAATTTTCGCCACCCCAACACTTCAACACTATTTTGTTTTATTTTTCTTATTAATATAAGAAGGCAGGAATGTCAGGCCTCTGAGCCCAAGCCAAGCTATCCCATCCCCTGTGACTTGCACATATACGCCCAGATGGCCTGAAGTAACTGAAGAATCACAAAAGAAGTGAATATGCCCTGCCCCACCTTAACTGATGACATTCCACCACAAAAGCAGTGAAAATGGCCGGTCCTTGCCTTAAGTGATGACATTACCTTGTGAAAGTCCTTTTCCTAGCTCATCCTGGCTCAAAAATCACCCCCACTGAGCACCTTGCGACCCCCACTCCTGCCCGCCAGAGAACAAACCCCCTTTGACTGTAATTTTCCTCTACCTACCCAAATCCTATAAAACGGCCCCACCCTTATCTCCCTTCGCTGACTCTCTTTTCGGACTCAGCCCGCCTGCACCCAGGTGAAATAAACAGCCATGTTGCTCACACAAAGCCTGTTTGGTGGTCTCTTCACACGGACACGCATAAAAGCAAGTAGCCACCATAGTGGACAGTACAGGCCTAGTGTCCAGCATGATGCCTGACAAATGAAAGATGCTTAATAAACTCTTCTTAAGTGTATGAAAGGATGGAGTAGAATAATTTTTACTCTGCTTTGCACTGTCCAGACTACACATCTGAAATATTATGTTCTGTTCCAGGCACCAAATTTTAAGAGGGTTAGTATCAACCTAGACTATAGAAGGAAGTAGGATGATAACAGTCCCAAAACATCAGCCATAGTTGGCAGAACTTGGAATGTTTTGTATGAAAAATAATAGCCTTTGCATGAAATCAAACTAAATGCCCATCAATGACAGATTGGATAAAGAAAATGTGGTACATATACACATGGAATACTATGCAGCCATAAAAAAACAGATAGTGTCTTTTGCAGGAACATGGATGGAGCTAGAAGCTATTATCCTTAGCAAACTAATGCAGGGAAAAAACCAAATACGACATGTTCTGACTTATAAGTGGGAGCTAAATGATGAGAACTCATGAACACAAAGAAGAGAACAACAGACACAGGGGTCTACTTGAGAGTGGGAGGAGGGAGAGGAGCAGAAAAACAAGTATTGGCTACTAGGCTTAATACCTGGGTGATGAAATAATCTGTACAACAAACCCCCATGGCACGAGTTTACCTACGTAACAAAGCTTCACATGTACCCCCAAACCTAAAATAAAAGTTAAAAAAAAGGAAAATAATCATATTTGGATTCATTTTAGGTTTTGTTTTGTTTTGTTTTGTTTTTGTATGCCTTTGGTCTGGATCAAAGTTTTTTTTTTTAATTAAAGGGTTGGATTAGGCAATGTTTTAGGCCCACGTAAGATAGAAAAGTCTATGATACGATAGTTCTTCCTGTAGAAGAGGAAGTAGACTCTCATAGAGCAGAAATTTGATGACCTTGGAGGATACTAGATACATCCACACATGGGGAAGAACTTTCTGAGAACAGTGCAGGAACGGAATGAGGGAGCCAGTGAGCTTCTTCCCTGGAAATACACAAGAAGAGCCTCTCAAAGTTCAAATCATGAATGAATGCAGTCTTCTTTCCAGCCACAAACATTTCCCAGAATTGGTATTTTAGGGCAGCACATGGATTTCCAGAGCTTCCAATCATTAATAATAGTTACTAATGCAAAAGTTACACCTCATGCTTGTGTCTTTCAGAATTGTGTCTGAGTGCGGTCAGTTCATCTTAAGTGACAGGGTTTCGCCCACCAGCCAAATGATTTTGGATTATTGAAGGAGTTGGTCATGAAGAATATGTTTTCACAAGGAAAGTATGCATATACATTCCAAATAACATGGTTGTGGGATAGTCACCATGACCAGAATTTCAGCTTTCTGGGACCCAGTGCTTCCACCTCCAACTGTGCTATGGAGAGAGAGCCACTGCCTTTCCAGGTACCATGTATGTTATAATTGACAGTGTCAGGCCTCTGAGCCCAAGCCAAGCCATCACATCCCCTGTGACTTGCACATATATGCCCAGATGGCCTGAAGTAACTGAAGAATCACAAAAGAAGTGAAAATGCCCTGCCCCGCCTTAACTGATGACATTCCACCACAAAAGAAGTGAAAATGGCTGGTCCTTGCCTTAAGTGATGACATTACCTTGTGAAAGTCCCTTTTCCTGGCTCATCCTGGCTCAAAAAGCTCCCCCACTGAGCACCTTGTGACCCCCACTCCTGCCCGCCAGAGAACAAGTCCCCTTTGACTGTAATTTTCCTTTATCTACCCAAATCCTATAAAACGGCCCCACCCTTATCTCCCTTCGCTGACTCTTTTCGGACTCAGCCTGCCTGCACCCAGGTGATTAAAAAGCTTTATTGCTCACACAAAGCCTGTTTGGTGGTCTCTTCACACGGACGCGCATGAAAGATAGTACACTTGTATATCATTTTGTATTCTGATACCTTAACTTCTTTACCTTTCACCTAGTTCCTTGTGGCTAAAAATTACTTAAAAATGTAATTTGTAATGACTCCAACATATTGTATAGATAATCATGCTTATTTAACCATTGCCTTTTTGTTGTGTGATTAAGTTATTCACAATTTGCTCTGCTATAAATAATACTGCAATAAACATATTTGTGTGCATTTTAAAATTATTTCCTTAAGGTATATTACACAAATCACAATTTCTACATTGAATTATATTTCGAAGTCTCTTGATGCATTTTGTCAAATTGCTTCCAGAAAGTGTGTAACAATATATATACTCTTGGCACTAGTAGGTGATGGTGCCCATTTCAGCAAGCATCCATCAATATGGAGAAGATCTAAAAGAAAGAAAAAATTACTTGGCCAATTAGATGGGCAAAAGGGTTGCCATTATTGTTGTAATTAACATTTATTTCATTACTGATTTTTTTTAACTACAAGTATTAGTCATTCATATTTCCCTTCCTGTGATTTATCTCTTTGTGCCCTTTACCCAATTTATTCTGCTGTACAGATCTGCTTTTTTCTTATTAAGTCATACAAAGGGCTCATATTTCTTCTCCCAGAAGAGCTAACTCATCCTGCGTGGTTCAGTGTAATCATCACCATTTTCTGGAAAGAGCTGCACTTCAAAAATATACTTCAACTTATACCACATCCATGTGGAAGACCCCTTATTCCCACCACTCTCACTTGAAGTACTTGTCAAAGTTAACACTCATCCTCTGTCAATCCAGGCGTTTCCAGAAGAATCGGTAAGGCTTTCTAGCTCTACCCTCTAACACAGACAATCTCATTCACCCAGAAAAAAAGACACCAAATCAATCAACTGACTCATCTAGTAGCTTGATTTAGTGTGGATTTTCAATGAAAACTTCAAATAAATATATATATTTCCACACATACATACTTAATGCACACACACATATGTATATAATCAGCCCTCTGTATCCATGGGTTCCACATTTGTGTATTCAACCAATCACGGATCAAAAATATCTGGGAAAAAGCTCCACAAAGTTGCAAAAACCAAGCCTTGAATTTGCCACGCAGCAAGTGCTATGTTGACTCCACATGAATGAAGCGCTCTGTATGCGTTGTATTAGGTATTACAAGTAATCTAGGTACTTGTATTTAAAGGGTACTGGAGGATATTTGTAGGTTATCAGCAAATACTACATCATTTTATATAAGGAACTTGAGCATCTATGAATTTTGGTATCTGCAAGGGTCCTGGAACAAATCCCTCACAGATACTGAGGGAGGACTTTGTATATATAAAAATGTATGTGTGTGTGCGTATATATATATATATATATATGTGTATATATATATATATACACATATATATGTAAAATTATATTTTTGCTATTTCTTACAAGTCAATATAAATAAACACAAGCTATTAAGTGTAAGCTCTTTGGAGTAGTCATATGCACATAGTTGAGAATTTGTGAAAGTATAGGAGGGTAACATGGGCACAGATGTTGACTAAAGAGGTATAAAGGGCCAAGTTTGGGTGAGTGCTACACGCAAACTTATCATTGTGTGGATGGGAGACAGAAAGGGAAAATTAGAAAAAGCAAGAAGAAAATGGAGATATGTGGCCATATTTTCTCCCACTCTGGCCCCATACTACCTCTAAATTGCTGTGTACCTTCCTCTCCTCCCTCCTAGATCCAAGAGCACTGCTGGAAGTTACTACTTCCACCTGCCTGGACCCCTCCTTGTTCCACCTCCCTTTTCCTGGAAAAGCGACACCTACCTGAAAATCTCTTCTAAGTAAAAACTTCTATTGTATTTCGATAAGTTCTTGCCCGGATAAGCACAAGAAGACCAGTGGTACCTGCTAATTTAGTGAAGTCCTTGATATGTCCAGTGATAGCTTAGGCGTCACCACTCCTGAAACAGAGATACCATCAGATCACAGACATTAGTAAAGTAGTAAACAATGTAAGTATATAACTTCCTGTTTTAAACAGACTAGCTTCTCAGTTTTGCAAGTTTTCAGAAAGATACTTTCGTGCAGTTCTTCTTTTTCATGATTGACACCACATACTAACCAGTCACCTGAGAAATCCTTGCAATTAGTGCTGCTTTAGGGGCTCTCCACCCATTGGCATTGCTCATTTTTAGTGGTGGGGGGTTGTTATAATTTTTTTTTTTTTTTTAAGACAGGATTTCATTCTGTCACCCAGGCTGGAGTACAGTGGCATGATCTCAGTTCACTGCAACCTCCACCTCCTGGGTTCAAGGGATTTTCCTGCCTCAGCCTCTGGAATAGTTGGTATTAGAGGCACATGCCACCATGCCTGGCTAATTTTTGTATTTTTAGTAGAGACAGGGTTTCACCATGTTGGCCAGGCTGGTCTCAAACTTCTGACCTCAAGTGATCTGCGAGTCTCGGCCTCCTAAAGACCTGGGATTTATAATTCTTGAATAAGCATTGATTTGACTCATCGGGAGACAGGATGAAGAATGAAATAAGAATTTCCCGGCAAAGGAATAAACTAATTATTCTGCAGGGTCCAGTAGACACTTGGATGGGGCAAAATGTGGCTGCAAAGGTTTAGACAAGTCTAAAAGACTTGAGTTTGAGTTTCAGTTGTGGCATACACAGCTACATAAGCTGGGGGTAGTAATTTAAACTTGCTGGACCTCAGCTTTTTCATCTCTAAACTGGAAATAATGATATTTAAGTCATAGCATTGCCGTGGAACCAACTAAGATAAATATGTGAAAAGTCTCTGCAGAATATACAGGGCTAAGGAAATGTAAAGTGTGGGTAGAATGCCACTGTGACATAAGCGTCATAGGGCAGAGCCATGTCTCAGGGCAAAGCGTCACAGGGCAGAGCCATGTGCCTGCTGTATGTGCTGATGTGTCCCTTGGGACCTAGCATGGCACTGGGCACAGAGCAGGTATTCACCCAATATTTGTGGGAAGAACTCTGACTAAGCATGAAGTGATCTTTGATACACTGACTAACTCGACAAATGAGTGTAATGCACCAAAGTGTTTATCAAACGTTTGATATGTGTGTAGGACTGTGCTGTATGCTTCATGATAAAGAAAACATAGGAACAAAAGACAAAGAAAGAGGAAGGAGGATAAGAGAGACAGAGAGAGAGAGAGAGCGCACACACATGTGCATTAGAGAGAGAGAGAAAGAATAGGGAGAGAATTTGAGAGAAAGAGAAGAAAGGGAGGAAGGGGCTCAGTTTCCACCTTAAAGAGTCTATAACCTTGTTGGTGATCAGAGACAACAGAGACCTGATAAAATATCAAGAATGCTCAAATATAGTTAAAGCATAACCAAAGAAACATTTCACTATTTAATCTACAGCATATTCAATATAGCATATTCAAATTGGCTAAAACAAAATTTTCGACTGATAGTAAGATCTCAGACTTTGCTGCTGGACACCTGAATGCAAAACCTACCTTTACCGCTTAATAGGGATATCACCGTGGGCAAGCTACATAACCTCTGTGTGCCTCAGCGTGCTCTACTGCAAAATGATGTAGCAATGCCTAGCTTGTAGGATCTGTGTGAGGAGCAAATAAATTAGGACTACGTGGAGGCCAGTGTGTGGCATGTGGACAGCGTCATGAAAATACTTATCATAGTTGTCATGACAGACCCTCTCAGTGAGAAAGAGGCAGCCACTCAGGGTGGTCTGAAATATAGTATAATATATTGTGCTCTGATTCAGCATGTGGGATGTCAAATGCAAGTTCTACAGGGTTTAGAAAACAGGACCATGTGGGCTGAA
Source organism: Homo sapiens (assembly GCF_000001405.40). Taxonomy (NCBI): domain Eukaryota; kingdom Metazoa; phylum Chordata; class Mammalia; order Primates; family Hominidae; genus Homo; species Homo sapiens. The sequence continues at coordinate 46,240,527 of NC_000003.12, read as the reverse complement.
GGGACTGGGAACGGCTTCATGGAAGAGAAAGGGCCCGAGGGATGAACAGAATTTGGCCATGTGGAAGGGGTAGGGAGAGTTTCCAGGAAAAAGGAAGTAGAGCTACCAAGACCAAGAGGTGAGGTGAGCTTGGTCCCTGTGCAGGGGTAGGCAGGAATGAAATTAGGGAACAGATATGCTTGCATCCTAATGCCAGGAACCAAGAGCCAGGGAGATTAATATATATACACACATACACATTTTAAAATGTGTAACACATTATATACATCTGTTAGGGTGACACACATTCAGAAGCTCCAGCCCTGCAGAGCATTCAGAGCCACCTGCAGGTCTCTGGCAGAGGGTGGAATTTTGCAGGCCCATTGTGGTGCATCTGGCTTCCACTCCTTTCACTTTATCTGGGGAGTTTTATCCCTAGATCACATGACATGCCAACAGGCGGTCAATGACATCTGAAGACAGGAAAGGCATGGGCCTGGCAGAGGTAGTGGGCATGGAGCAAAGAGTGGAGGGAGATAAGATTGACTGCTGGTTTTGGCTAGATTATAAAGAGTTGACGAGTTCACAGTAGATTCCATGGAAATGTGGGAGCTATTGAAGGATTTTGAGTTATAGTACTGGTACTACCTTATTTGAGATCAGTGTTTGAGGGTTTTCAGAGTATTCCACATAAATTTTCTGGGTGGAAATCCCACAATGACCTTTTAACTTAATAGGGAGATTGTCATCCCAGAGCTGCCTCCATGGGGTGCCATTCACAGGGTAATCAATGCAAACTGCTCCACCTGGGACTACGCAGTAGACCAGAATGAGGAGCAATGCTGGTAATCACCTAACCTGTGGATAAGGGAATTGAGATCAAGTGACCTGTCCAAGCTCACACATGACTAAATGGTGGAGTGGAAATTCCAGCTCCAGTCTCCTTAATTAGCACTCTGTGTTCTCACCAGTGGTGAAATAGAAGGCACCTGGGATTTAGCACCACACAGACCGGGTTCACCTCGCCCATTTATGGCTCATATAGATGAGTCATGTAGCCTTCCTGAGCCCTAATTTCACCATCTACAGTGGAAATTTTGGCTAAGATGAAGCACATGGTAGGAGCTTGATAAATAATCACAATTACCAAATGACATCTCTGCAGAGTTAAAACTATAACAAAGCATTCTTCATCTGAAATCAACAAATTATAGTATTTCCTAGAAGGTTACAAAGATTTAAAAAGCATTTGGAGATTTCTGTAAAGAAGCTACATGCATAAGATTTTTAATAGCTAATTCGCAAGAGATTGTAAAAATTCAGTCACTTCCATTTCTACACCTTGGAGAAAAACAAAGAGGACGGGACAGCATTTTTTTCTGGCATTTTGCAATAAGGCAGATTCTTGTAATAATCTCTACGATTTCCCTCATTAGTTTTTCAGTTAACAACATATTGAAGTGTCATTTGCTTGCACCCATTTTAAGGGTACAGGTCAACAAATTCAACAATTGCATACCTCTCTGAATCACCATCATAATCAAATACAGGACATTTTCACACCTCAAAAAGTACCTTATGCCCCATTTCAATCAATGACTCCCTTATCCCCTGTCCCAGGCAACCGCTGATCTGCGTTATGTTGCTCTAGCTTAGTTTTGCTTGTTCTAGAATATCATATATAAATGGCATCATGCCATATCTACTCCTGTGTCTAGCTTTTTTCTCAGCATAATGAGTTTGAGATTCATTTGTGTTATTCCATGTATCAGTGATTGTAGGGTCCCTCAGGTCCCCCCACTTTTTTCTCTGTCTCACCTGAGAAATAGAGAGTGCCTTGACTACGCTGTGACTTGGCAAGTTTTGTGTTGTCTCCTGTGGCTTGAACTCAAGCTAGGGACTTGAACACTTCCACGCACTAATAAAGGTATTCAGGTTATTGCTAAAGCACTAAGAGAAGTTATCCCCAGCCCTGAGCCAAATTCCGTAAATCCTCATATAAACTCCATACCCTGATCCCCTTGTGGTGGACATACCTAGGTAAAACATCTCTTTTTCTCACTGTCATGAGAACTGCTGCAACACTTTGTTAAGTTTCCCTAGTAAATGCACTGCACTCGACATTGAGAAACCAGCCCAATAAAAAAGATCTGAATAGATATTCCATAAAAAAAAAGTATAGATGGCAAATAAGCACACAAGACTGTCAACATTGTTAGTCATTAGGAAAATGTAAATTAAAATTGCAATGAGATACAACTACATACTTACTAGAATGACTAACTTTTTTTTTTAAATTGACAATATCAAGTGCTGACAAGAATACAGAACACTAAAACTCTCATACAGAGCTAGTGGGAAAGAAAAATTGTATAGCCACTCTGAAAATAAGGCAGTTTATTATACAACGCATTATAATTCAAAGCAGCTCATTATTTGTTTAAAGAACTAAAAGTATCAATCTGTCAGAACATTGGAGCAACTTTCAAGTAAAGCAGTTTGGTTCTCAGGAATATGTAATTGAAATAGAGAAAAGATCTGAAACTATGTGTTTAACCAACTAGGAAATGTAAGCAGATCTTGATTTCTTTCAAATGTGTAGAAATTATTCTCTCAAACTTGAAGGTGGTAAGAAGATCAAAATCAGGCACCTGGATTATGAAAAACAGTGTTCTGGTTACTGTAGCTTCATAACAAATGATCTTAAAATGTAGCAGCTTACATTGTAACCCAAACAGCATGGCGTTGGTATTAAAACAGACACATAAACCAATGGAATGGAATAGAGAGCCCAGAAATAATTCACACAGTTACAGCCAACTTATTTTCAACAAAGGTGCCAAAAACATACATTGAGGAAAGGACACCCTCTTCAATACATGCTGCTGGGAAAACTGAATAGCCACATGCAGAATGAAACTGGACCCCTATCTTTCACAAAAATATACTTATAATGGATTAAAAATGTAAACATAAAACCTAAAACTATAAAACTACTACATGAAAACATAGGGAAAATGCTTCAAGACATTAATCTAGGCAAAGCTCTTGTGGCTAACACTTCAAATGCACAGGCAACAAAAACAAAAATAGACAAATGGGACAGTATTAAACTAAAAAGCTTCTGCACAGCAAAGGAAACAACCAACGGAGTGAAGAGACAATCTGTAGAATGGGAGAAATCTATGCAAACCATTCACCCAAGTACTAATATCCAGAATATGTACAAGGACCTCAAGCAACTCAACAAAAACAACTGGAGATCTATCAAAAAGCTAAAAATGGAACTAAGGTACAATCCAGCAATCCCATTATTGGGTATTTTTACAAAGGAAAGGAAATCAGTATATCAAAGGGATACTGCACCACCGTGTTTACTGCAGCACTATTCAACCTAGTTAAGATATGGAATCAACCTAAGTGTTCATCAATGGATGAATAGATAAAGAAAATGTGGTATATATGCACAATGAAATATTATTCAGCCATAAATGAATGAAATCATGCCATTTGCAGCAAAATGGATGGAACTGGAGGTCATTATGTTAAGTGAAATAAGCCAGGCATAGAAAGACAATTTCACAAGAGGTAATTTGAATTGACTGAGAGGCAGCTGCCTCCTTTCTCTCCTCAGGTCTCCCCTTACAGCTGCCTGCGGGACAACTTTCCAGGATCCCTGGCCTCACACCCACTCCCCTTTCCCTCCTCTGCTGAAGAATCTTCAGCCATGTGCTATTGTGTCTTAGATAAGGTACAGACTCTTGGAACTGAGGTTTTGAACTCTTCTGAGCCTGCTGCCTCTCTTCCCACTAGGGTCCCACTATGTGCTGCCTCTCTCCAATGCTGCTGGGAAACTCTGGACATCCTGGGGACCCCAGTGTGAGGGAGCTTGACAACCAGCAGTCCCAAGAGGGCCAGCAGAACCAGTGGAGAAGAATTAGAGGAACTGGAAGCCTCTGGTCTGCAAAAGAGAAGATAAGAAGTCCTCTAGTTGTTTATTATAGAGGTGACATTTCCTGTGGGCAGTTTGACGCAGCCCAGGGTGGAGAGGTTACATGGAAGCAGACTTCTACCCAATGCAGCAACAACAGTGTCAGCAGGACTTCCTGGAAGGTGAGCCGTCCTGGGAGCCTGTCGATGGGGCTGGTGGAGCAGAGCCCATGTGGCCTTGCACATGCACCACCATGGTGAGGGCAGCTCTCAGCAGCCGGTGTCTTCCCTTTTCTCTTCTCTCTGCTGCTCTGAGTTCAACTATCATGAGGGGCACAAGGTCAGAGATAACCAAGTCCATGTATTTTCATGTCTTTCCACGAGGTCACACTTCTGCTGGTGCTGTTTCAATCATAAAAGCCACGAACTGCATGGAGTTCCCAAGGAGGCAGTTCCCGTTGGTACCACCCATTTACTCTGTAGTCAGAGCCATGGGCACACAGGCTCAAGCCACTCCCCAAGTCAGTCAGTATTGCAAACCATACATCATAGTATACTTAATCAATATATAAATATTATAGATTAAATATTCCACATCAAACAAAGTAACATTTGACATCAAGAGAAAAGGGATAGGAAAAAGAGTTAACAAACCAGTCCAGGGAGAGCAACATGAACAAAAATAATGTCCTGGAATGCCCCAGGTGCCAGTCAGCATCAGCATCTTGCAAGGAAGAGTATTTGATGTGCGTAGAGCCTTCGGCAGCAGATGCCATGTGCTTATCACAAATGACAGCAAGACAGCATCTGTTAAGTCTGCTGTTTTGAGCTGCTGAAGTCCTGCTCTTTTATGGCCAGTCCTCTGGTGAGGGCTCGTAGTGGAAGAGTATGTTTGGTTATGTCCTTATTTGCTTGAATGCAGTGTTTTGTTCAGGCAAAAACATCTGGTCCTCAACGCCTTTTGAAATGTAAGATGAAGTCTTTTTCTAAGATGGAGTTACTTATGTCAAGGGCACTCTATACACTGACCTGCAGTCAAGATTCAGTTTCTCCACAAAGATATCTCTTTCTGCTTAGAAAGAATGGACTCCAATCCCAGTGAGTTATTAGCAATGTGAAAGTTTCAATTTTCTTGTCTATAAATGAAGATCATTATAGTACCTGCAGGGATGTGAGAATTGGGTGAGCTAGCCTATGAGAAGTGCTTGTAGGAAGTGCGCCTCCAATGCTAACCATGATAGCATGTGTTGTTATGTCTTAATGTAGCAGGCCTTGGTACTCACCTCCCTTTCCACACTCCTGTGGCATTTATTGCCTACTTAGTCTTCTGGTGCTCAGTATCCTCTGGAGAGAAAGAAGCCCTTCCCTGTCCCCTGCCCCCTTTATTGTCTGGGATCTGAGCAAGTTAAGATATGGGGGTAGGTGGGGGAGTGAGGGAAAAAAGAAGCCTGTTAATTAAACCACAGAACTGTACAGATGTATCTACTGAGTGACAGGCAGCTCTCTTTCAAGAGGAAGAGGAGCAGAGCTGGGCTAAGGCTTCCCAGCTATTCTTTCCAAATCTGACCAATTTAAAAGCCACTCCACCTCCAGTAGAGGGGTGGAGAGAAGCCAGATGTAGACCCTTTGAGCTCCCTTCAGGAGAAAGGGAGTGGGATGTGGGAATGGGGGCTATGCATGGGCGTGAGCCCTCCACCTGGTGAGTGGACCTGGTCAACTCCATCCTCACCACTCACTGTAGCCTTAGAATTCCCCAGAAGTGATTTAAACAACCAAAGAGCTTCATTTCTTCATAAAACAAGCTAAATGCTGGTGATGGTGGTGGAAGGAAAGCCATAATAAAGAAATCTTAAAAAGCAGTGGTTCTGGGGCAGAAAACATAAATTTGGGATAAATTATCGACAGGAATATGGAATTCAGCAGTGACTCAGATCTTCATGGGAGTGACTCTACTGTGTGTTCCACATAAAAACAAGGGAAATCAGGGGGTATTTTGTGGGGTGCTCCAGTTAGGGCAATGAGTGCTCATCAATTGCAAGACTAAGCTTTATAGAATGTTAAAACGAGGCTTAATTTATGTGAGGATAAGCACAACCACATAAATTCTTGGTAGAAATATGGCTCCAGATAACATCTGGAGCCCAAGTGGACTCTGAAAGGGTATGTGGTCACTCTGGGAGATCTTGGATCTGATGTTTCACAGATGTCAAGGATCTCCCCTGGGCTTTCTTGGGTATCAAGAGCCCTCAGGCCTTTCAGGTTGAAGCTTCTCATGAACTACCCATTGATTAAACCAATGAATCCATCCCAATACATTTAATGTCTCTTAGGATAAAAGCATGCACTGTTAGAAAACACTCCTGGAGATTCACAGTGCATTAAAGGCCCCTGAGAAGTCCTGTAGTGATGAATCTGTTTGAAACCTTCCTAATCCAGCATTTCTCAAACCTATCTTTAACTTAGAAAAAAAATACTTTTCAAATGACAAGTGTTAACATCTCTCAAGGTCAGGATGCCTCAGGAGCACTCTGAGCAGTGCCGGCCTGATGCATGCACAGGCACTACAAGGGCATACTGCCCCCTGTCCATTGTCTTACCTTGACGGGGTATCCATTGCAGCCCAGGAGGTGGCAGGATGCTCTTGCAACCCTGCTACCTTACCCCTGTGTTGCAGATGGGGAAGCTGAGACTCAATGAGGGACTTGGCAAAAGCCACAGAGAGTGAAGGGCAGAGCTGGCTCTACCCCAGAGCTTGGGCTAGCCACATGGTGCTCTGTTTTCCGGCATGGTACTGCCGTCTGAAGAAGAGTTGCCTGTTGCCCTTCAGCCAAAGGTGAGGATGGCATCAAACCTGAAGGAAACCAGAACACAAAGTGGTTTCCCCAAGGTCCAGAATGGCTCGTTCTGTCCTGGCTTTTCCTACCACGGGAAAGAAATTTTTGATGCTTCTTTTGGGGTTCTTAGCTCACAGGAAAAACAGAGGTGTGTGGGAAAACCCAACCAAACACAAATGTCTTCCAATCTCCCAGATTCTCACTGCCACATTACACTGAAGCAGACACATTTCTGGGGGGCGGGAAAAAAGAGCCAAAACAACAACAACACACGCAGAAGATAGCTTAGGAGTATGGGAACATGGGAGGGGAAAAGCAAAGAACCTCAGAAATAGGAAAGGGTCAGCAATATTTTGCAGGAGAGCATAGGTCAAGCCACAACCTTGAGCATGTGAACGGAAACGATTGCCAGAGCAGCAGGGAGAAGTGCAAAGCTTCCTTTAATGCACCCACCTTCCTTCCCGGGCACCAGGGCCAGAAATGTGGGGCTCCAGCCAGACTTGTGTTTACTGTCACTTTTCTAGTGAAGTTAGTGGAAGGACTTTTGTAGCCAGCAGGGCCCCTCTCTAGCACGTTGGCAATCCTGTGTATTTCTGTGTTCCCTCCACTGACAGCACGTCACCCTCCTGTGAAAGCTTTACAAAAAGGACTATGGGCCGGGTGCAGTGGCTCACGCCAGTAATCCCAGCACTTTGGGAGGCTGAGACACGTGGATCACGAGGTCAGGAGTTCGAGACCAGCCTGGCCAACATGGTGAAACCCCGTCTCTACGAAAAATACAAAAATTAGCCAGGCGTGGTGGCGTGTGCCTATAATCCCAGCTACTCGGGAGACTGAGGCAGGAGAATTGCTTGAAATCAGGAAGTAGAGGTTGCAGTGAGCCGAGATTGTGCCACTGCACTCCAGCCTGGGCAACAGAGCAAGACTTCATCTAGAAAAACACAAAAAAGGATTATTCCCCTGATAGATAGCCTATTCTACAAAAGAGACAGGAGTGAGAACGTGGAAGCTGTGCTATTGGGGGAGGTGGTGGGCCACCTGTGATTTCAAGATAACAGGTGAACAAGAGTCTAGCATTGATCTGGGCCTTGATATTTACCATCAGTGCAACATCACATCCAGAATGGCACCAAGGATGGGGCAAACCACCGGTGCAGCCATGAACATGCCCCTCCCACTCCAGAAAGCCTAAGACCCCTCTGCAGGCTCTGAAATCAATGTTGTGCTTCCAATGACTGAGCACACAGGGATACTGAGGCAGGCCCAATCCCTAGAGATGCACTGACATTAGCTTAAGGACCCCCACGTGGCTATGCCAAACCTTCCTCAGGCTGCAGAACAGTCTAGGATGCGTCTACTACCGCTTGGTTCCCCTGCTACCTCACTGGGGTTCTGCCGGCTTTCCCAGCCCTTCCTGCTCCAGCCCACTTTCCCTCCCAGGTGCTTTTCCAACAAAATCTTTCCCTGTGTAAAACCTGCTTGGTGGCTGCTTTTAGAGATCTGGACAGACGTAACCTTCATGTTCAAATTAGCTTCAACATATTCCTTCAGGGCATTCCCGTGAGGGATTGTGTTGTTGCTTGTTCCTCTAACCATTCTGTGTGTTTCATTTTGCTCATTTTCATTTTTTTATAAGAACATCAAAAATCTAGTATCAAACTCAGTAAATAAATATGACGATGAAGAAAAAAATTGAACAATGATTTAGAAATTATGCAGAAAATACATTTTTCTCCCCAGGATATGGAAAATACTTCCTAATTAAATGCAAAAACAATGCACTTCCAATAAACAGGAACAAATTCATATAATGTTACCCAAGTAAAATATGTGAAGTTCTTATTTCCATGGTACCTCACACTGTCACATGGGCCCCTGGAAATGCAAGAGAGACATTGGGGCAGGGAAAGAGATGGGATAGATCAATAGATCTTGTTTCTCCTGAAACAAGATAAGAGGGGTGGATGAATAATGGATCTTTTTTAAAAACCACTTTATTGAAGTATAATATACAAAAAGCTGTGCATATTTAATCTATACAACTTGATGAGTTTGGAGAGAAATATACCCCTGTGAAACCCTCATCATAATCTATACCATAAACACAACTATCACTTCAAAAGTTTCCTCCTGTCCTATTTATCAAGATTATTACTTTAACGTAAGATCTACCCTCTTGGCACATTTTTAAGTATACGATGCAGTGTTGTTAGCTAGAGGCACCATGCTGTTCAGTACATCTCTAGGACTTATTCATCTTCTGTAACTGAAACTTTGTGCTCGTTGACTAATACAGATAGATAGATAATAGATATTGAAGCTAACCGCTCCTTTTCCTACAAGTAACAACCAGAAATATTTCTTATTGTGGGAAGATGTAATCTCTGCTTTGTTCACACCTGAGTAATAAAGTGTTTTGGAGCCTTCTATAAACTGCAGTGGCGATCAGGATTCTCAGAAAGTCATGTAGGGAGGGGTGCACAGCCCATTTCCATATGGAGTGCTGTTTTGCATCTCATCCACAAGATTAATCTGGGCACTTTTAAAACTTGTCAAAATCTGGGCCTGGCACAGTGGCTTATGCCTGTAATCCCAGCACTCTGGGAGGCCAAGGAGGGCAGATCATGAGGTTAAGAGATCGAGACTATCCTGGCCAACATGGTGAAACCCCTTCTCTACTAAAAATACAAAAATTAGCTGGGTGTGATGGTGTGTGCCTGTAATCCCAGCTACTCGGGAGGCTGAGGCAAGAGAATCGTTTGAACCCGGGAGGCAGAGGTTGCAGTGAGCCAAGATCGCGCCACTGCACTCCAGCCTGGACGACAGAGCGAGACACCTTCAAAAACACAAACAAAAAACAAAACAAACAAAAAACGGATCAAAATCTGTTTTGAGCAGCACAAATCCTGAATGAATAAAAACATGTGCCTAGGTCCCTGCCCTGGAAAAGATCAGAGGGCCAGTGTGGAGGGTGGAGGAAAAGTGCCTCGGTCCTTAACACCGATAAAGATGACTTTAATGCACCCAGGCTCATGAACTAGGACAGTGATCCGGAGGACGGGGCGAGGAGGTAGATGGAGGGGCTGCATTTACATCGTCAGAGGGGGCTGGGCCCTCTGCTAAGGGCTTTAGGTACCCTGTCTTGTTCAAACTCTTCAGTGACCCTGGGAGATGAGTGCATTTCTTTTTACCAGTTCACAGAGGAGGCACTGAGGTGAGTTTGTTAAGCAACGGGCCCAAGATCACACAAGCAAAAAATGGTGGGGCTTGTCCTGGAATCCAGCTCTATCAGATTAGTACCCAGCCCTAACCACTCTGCCTGCTGCCTTCCTGGAGGTCCGTTGATGTGGCATGAGGGGTTACATAGGACCAGGTGGCCTGAGGGGTGGGTGGTGGAGTATTTCTGTTCACTCCAGGCTTTCCATTCCACTCCAGAGGCCCATGTCCAAAATTCAGGAGTTGAATTTTATGTCAGGACACCTCTGCTTTAATTCTACACTTCTCTTTAATAAAGAAAATCTGAAGAAAACTTGCATATTGTGACTTCATTACAGAAAAGAATGAGTCCTCCTTATAGAAGGAGAGTGTCATGGATATTGGTGGGGCTCTGCTGGACCCTGTGGAGTCCTTCTTACCTTTCCTATGCACCCCTTTCTGTTTCCATGTTTTTTGCTTCCAGCTGCTTGCACCTATGATTCTATCAAGACCTGCCCTCTGACTACTGGAGTGGTTTTGCCCACAGAGCCAGAAGGAATCTCTCCAACTTCCTTGTCTTGTGTCAGAATAGACTCTGAGGCATAACCTAATGCTCCTGAGTCCAGCGTCCACTCATGGGATAAGGGCTACCCTAAGGGCTCTGCCTGGGACCACGCTCTTACTTGGCCTCCTCCCTCTCTGTCCTGCTTCTCTGACTCCTATGCTGTTTTTTTTTCTCAGCACATTTCCTTAATATATTCCTTGCACACGAATCTTCACCTCAGCATCCAGGATCATGATCTAAGATAAGGAGTTTACCATGTATGGGATCTGTTGTTGTTTTAAACAACTTATTGCAATATAATGTATGTATAATAAACTACATCAATTTAATGTCCGTGATTTGAGGAATCTTGACAGCTGTACACATCTGTTAAATAACTCCCATAATCAAGATTCAAAATATTTCTGTCACCTCCCCCAACCAGAGATTCTTTGTGTCCCTTTGCAGTCCTTCCTGCCCTCCACCCCCAACTCCAGACAACCATGGCTTTCCAGTCCTTAAGTTCAGTTTCTTTGCAACCCACAGCCTGAATATTTAAGGCAATTTATATCATCAATGCTATACATTTTAGGTTTTTGTATGTCAGCATCCCACTTCAAGGTACCAATTTCTATATTTGTTAAGAAAATGATATAAAAAACAAACTCTGAAATGTACAGTGGACTTAAACACTTAGGAGTGTATTCATTGATCATGTAAAGCTAATCAGGATTGATAAACATTAATACAGGCTCCTAGGCACCTTTCATATTGTGATTCTGATATCACAAGAGTTAGCATCTGAGATCACAACATATACAACTGCACCACCCAAAGGAAGGAGACAGTATGAAAGAATGTTCATGAAAGGGCTTTATGGGCTGGCCTGGAAATCGCTCATATCACTTCTATCTATATCCCATTGGCTGCAACTCAGTGATATGACCACACGCACATGCAAGAGAGACTGGAAATACAGTCTACCTATGTGCCCACAAGCTATCAAAGCTCTCACATATGCATATAGCTAGCTGAGCAGGAAAGGAAAAGCTAGAAAGAGGAAGAAGAAAGAGACATTGACACATAACATTATCATTTTTGATAATAGCAAGCACAACAACCAAATGACACACACATGGTAAGAATACACATAGCAGATGTAACATGAGAAAGAACAGATGAAAAGAATAACTATCATCTGATGAGCAGGCACATGCCAAGTGTTTTATCATGCATCATCACATGTATCCTCACAAGTCTGTAGATATCCAGTTTACAGATGAGGATTAAGGCAACGCAAGATTATATGACCCACCATGTTTGTACAGTTATCAAATGGCAGAGAATAGATTTGTACACAGGTATTTTTAATTCCTAAGCCTGTGCTGTTAACATTGGGCAGAACAAACCAATTGTAGTTTGTTTTATTTTTTCCTTCCATGAGAGCCTTGAATATCACCAGCAGATTTCAAAATAAGTCTGGGTACCAAGAACGTGAAGATTATGTCATATCATTAAAAGATCATAGAAGGATTAGAGGAGATGGATTTCACAACTTAGACCTCAGGGCAGATGGCCAGGAAGACATGTGCACCACAGATACAAGGGTGGGGTCAAATTCAGCACTAAGAGATAGGGAAAGTTACTCGCTATTTACTATAGCCTCTGCATTCACAGAAGGGTGACTCAGATAAAATTCTTATAAGATGATGGGTGAAGAGGCAAATTTTAAAATTAGAGAGAAAAAAATTTCTCTTTGTAACAACAGGGATAGAGAGAGTGGGAGGGGGTGTGCGTACAATGTAAGATCTAGGAAGAAAGACCAGGGTGTCCCCAGTGAGATTGGAAAGGCTGTGTGGGACTGTGAGGAAGAAAAAAAAAAAAGACCACAAACTGGGCAGTAGGTGGGAAAGAGTTTGGGAAGGAAAGACAGAAATGTTAAACAGGGATTTTCAGGAAGGCTTGCTGTATAGTGTGGGATGTTATCTTCCTATTGTCAAGGTTTGGTCATACAAATCTTCTCTAGGTATGTTGACTAGGAAGGGGCTTCATATAAAATGTAGATACCTTCACAACGAATACACTTTTTCAAGTACCTATGGAACATTCACCGAGATAAACCATATGCAGGGTTTTAGTTTTTTCATTAAAATTATGCCAAGTATGTTCTCAAGCCAAAGTGGAATCAACTAAAGTTTAATAACAGAAAGATAACAGGAAAATCTCTAAACACTTGAAAATGTAAAAACACTTCTAACTAATTTATGGGTCAAAGAGGAAGTCTCAAAGGAAATTTAAAAATATACAGAACTAAATGAAAACAAAATAATAATATATCAAGGTATGTGGGCTGTAGCTAAAGCAGTTCTGAGAGGAAAATATGCAGCGCTAAATTCTTCCATTAGAAAAGAACAGTCTCGCATCAATAATCCAAGTTCTTTCCTCAAGAAACCAGAAAATGCAGAGCAAAATTAACTCAAAACAAGTAGAAAGGAGACAAAAATAAAGAGAAAATATAAATAAAATTGAAAACAGAAAAACAGTAGATAAAAATCAAAGAAACTTCCATCACAAGGGATGCAAGAGAAAAAAAGGCAAGGAAACAAAAAGCCAGTTTTTCAAAAAAATCAAGAAAAGTGATAAACCTCTAGCAAGACATACAAGAGAAAAAGAGAAGACATAAATCACCAATATCAGAAATAAAACGGGATATTACTACAGCTTCTTCAGCCATTAAAAGGAATAATAATAGAATACTATGAACTACTTTATTATCATAAATTCAACAATTCAGAAAAACTAGTTTGTTGAATATTGACATAGATAAAATATCTATGACAGAGTGATTTAACAAAATGTTTCAGCTGGGCGTGGTGGCTCAGGTCTGTAATCCCAGCACTTTGAGAGGCTGAGGCAGGGGCTGGGATTACCTGAGGTCAGGAGTTTGAGAACAGCCTGGTCAACATGGCAAAACCCTGTCTCTACTAAAAATACGAAAAATAAAAAAATAGCCAGGCATGGTGGCATGCACCCATAGTCCCAGCTACTCAGGAGGCTGAGGCATGAGAATCGCTTGAACCTGGGCAGCAGAGGTTGCAGTGAGCCGAGATCATGCCACTGCACTCCAGCCTGGGCAAAAGAGCAAGACTCCATCTCAATTAAAAAAGAAAATATATATATATATATATTTCACCTATTCATGGTAAACACTCAGCAAACTAAAAATAGAAAGACACTTCCTCAACTTGATAAACAGCATTTACAAAGAGTCTAGAGAAAACATTATACTTGATGGAGAAAGAATGAATGTTTTCCTCTAAGATCAAGAACAAAGCAAGGACGTCTACTCTCACCACTCCTATTCAACTGGAAGTTTAAGCCAGTGCAGTAAGACAAGAAAAATAAATAAAAGGCATACAGATTGGAAAGGAGGAAATAAAACTGTCCCTATTATTTAGGAAAGACATAGCGGTCTACATAGAAAATCCCAAGGTCAGTAAGATTGCAGGAACAAAACCAGGAAACAAAAGTCAATCACATTTATATGTACTAAGGAACATGTGGAAGCCAAAATTAACAATTTTTGTGCCATTTTCAGTTGCTCCAAAAAGCTTTTAGATGATACTTAGGTATAACTCTAGCTAAGTATGTACATGACTTGCATGCTGAAAACTACAAAATGCTGATAAAATAAATCAAAGAAGACCTAAATAAATATAGAGAGATATACCATGTTCATAGATTAGAAGACTCAACAGTAAAGATGTCAATTTTCCCCAAATTAATCCAAGGTTTAGGGAAATTTATATTATAGAAATTCCAGTGAAATTTTTATAGCCATTTGTAAGCTTATTATTCTTAAGTTTATATGGAAAGTCACAGGACCTAGAATAGCTAAAATAATTTTGAAAAACAATAATAAAGTGAGAGGAATCACTTACCTGATTTCATGACGTATTATATAGCTACAGTAATCCAGATAGAGTGATATTGGCAGAGAGATAGACATACTGATCAAAGAACAAATAGAGAACTCAGAACTAGACTCACAAATATGCTTAACTGTTTTTTGACAAAGGTGTAAAGCCATTAAATGGAGGGATAGTCTTTTCAAAAAATGGTGCTTGAGGAATTGTACATTCGTAGATAAACCAAAAAACAAAATGACCCTCAGCCTAAACCTCACACCTTATACAAGAAGTAACTCAAAAATGCAAACAACATATCTAACAAAATATTTGTTTAGAATATAAAGCATTCTCAAAACTCAAAAGCAAAAAAGCAAAAATTCCAATTAGAAAATGGTCAAAGATATGCACAGACATATCACTGAAGAGGATATACAGATAACCACTAAGCACATACAGAGATGTTCAATATCATTAGTCTTTAGGGAAATGCAAATTAAAACTACCATGAGATGTTACTACATACCTATCAGAATGGCTGAAATAAAGAATAGTAAAACAAACACTGGCAAGGATGCAGAGAAAATGAATCACTCATACTTTGCAGCTGGGAACATAAAATAATACAGCCATTATGAAAAAGAGCATGGCACTTTCTTACAAAACTAAATTCGTGCTTACAATACAACCCAGCAATTGTAGCTGGGTAATCCCGAGTAGCTGGGATTACAGGCAGGTGCCACCATGCCATGGACAATTTACCTAAAAAATGTTCAAAGATTTAAAGATTGAGATGGTAAGATGCCTAATGAGTTAATGCCTAAATCTTAAGTTTTTGCATGTGCACATACCCATGTAACCACCAGTCAAGACATTACTAGAACCCCAGAATGTTCCCTAGCACTTCTTCCCAGTCAGTACCCACCTCCATAGAGGTCATGTCTATTTTATTTCTATCACTGCTGATCAGTTTTGACCATTATTGAATTCATTATAAATGAGGTTATGTAGCATGCAGTAGCAATAGTTTGGTCTTTTATATTACTATATATAGTATTCTCTCATATGACTAATTTATCTGTTTTACTACTGATAAGAATTTTGGACTATCAGTTTGAGACTATTATGAATAAAGTTACTAACAACATTCTTGAACACATCTTTTGGGTTTATGTGCACTTCTCTTGGGTATTTACCTGGAAGTAGAATTGCTGGGTCACAGGGAAAGCACATGTTTAGCTTTACATACTGCTAAACAATTTTTCAAGTGGTTGTACCAATTTATACTTGCACCAGCATGGTGTGAGAGTTCTCATTGCCTCATAACCTTTTTAATACTTGGTATTGTCTATTGTCAGGGTTTGTTTTTTGTTGTTGATGGCTTTTTTTTTTTTTTTTTTTTTGACAGAGTCTTGCTCTGTTGCCCAGGCTGGAGTGCAGTGGCATGATCTCGGCTCACTGCAACCTCCGTCTCCCAGGCTCAAGCAATTCTGCTGCCTCAGTCTCCCAAGTAGCTGGGATTACAGGTGTGTGCCACGATGCCTGGCTAATTTTTGTATTTTTAGTAGAGACAGGGTTTCACCATGTTGGCCAGGATATCTCAAACTCCTCACCTCAGGTAATCTGCCCGCCTCAGCCTCCCAAAGTGCTGGGATTACAGGTGTGAGCCACCGTGCCCAGCTAATTTTTGTATTTTTATTAGAGATGGGGTTTCACCATGTTGGTGTTAGCCAGGCTGGTCCTGAACTCCTGGCCTCAGGTAATCTGCCTGCCTCAGCCTCCCAAAGTGCTGGGATTACAGGTGTGAGCCACCGTGCCTGGCCCAGGGTTTGGTTTTTTGTTGATGTTGTTTTGCGTTTTTTTCATTTTAGCCATTCTGGTGGTTATGTGCTGCTGTCTCATTGGTTCGTCTCATTAAAACCAGTGGTTTTAATTTGCATTTCTCAAATGATTAGTGATGCAGAGCACATTTTCACATACATGTTAGTTATTTGGATATCCTCATCTATGAAGTTTCTAATCAAGTCTTTTGCCTATTTAAAAAACAAGAGGCCATTGGTCCTTTTCTTATTAACTGGCAGGAGTATTTAATCGATTTTGTATATGCATCCCTTTATTTGAAAGAGCTCTCCCTGAGCTGTTTCTGGCTGTGGGCACTCATGCTGCTTTCTACCCAGCTCCTGGCACACCCTGATCACACCCGATGGAGACTCTATTTACCGACACCTCTGGGCTTATGTTTCTGAACCTGCTCAAGTCATCCACTGTCCTCTAGTACCTCTATCCATGTCCCATACCTGCACCAGCACCCTGTCCGTGGCCAAGTTTCAGGCAAGCCATGGGATCTAAAATGTCTCTCTCCCTTCTTTGTCAGGAGCCAAAAGAATTCTTGCTTCCTGAAACTGAGGCAGGCTGAAAGGGAAAACAGATTGATACAAGTGACACGTGATAATGTCACTCTGAATAAAAGAGGTCAAACTGTACTTATCAATAGTCACACATACATACATGCACACACACACCTGCATGCATGTACACAACATGCATGCACACACACAAGCATCAACTTTAATCAGCAAGTCCTTACACTGACCACCTCTTATATATATGCATCTCAGTGCTGGGTACTGTGGAAAACATATGAAAAAGGATTGGGCATGGGCCCAGCAGCTGAGAAGCTTACAATTTAGCTGGAGAGAAAAGATGTAATACAGATAACATGATATAAAATGCTGTGTATTAGACTGTATGTAAGCCCAGACTCAAAAGAGATTTTATTTGTTTGTTTGTTTGTTTTCAAGACAGAGTCTTGCTCTGTCACCCAGGCTGGAGTGCAGTGGCACGATCTCGGCTCACTGCAACCTCCACATCCTGGGCTCAAGCAGTTCTCCTCCCTCTGCTGGGATTACAGATGTCCACCACCACACCCAGCTAATTTTTGTATTTTTAGTAGAGACAGGGTTTCACCACATTGGCCAGGCTGGTCTCGAACTCCTGACCTCATGATCCACCCACCTCAGCCTCCCAAAGTGTTAGGATTACAGGCGTGAGCCAACACACCTGGCCTCAAAAGAGTTTTAAAACTTGGCATGCAAGACTGTAAGTGTTAACTTGGGCTGGACCTGGACAGGGAGTTTTTAGAGCACTTCCTTAATATACTTTCTCCTTCCCCTTTTTAGCATGAAGGGTTTCTTGACAATTTTCTTGCACATAGGAGACATTCAACAGATGTTTACCAGTTTGACTGAGGCATAGGATGAGGAAATAAATAGCCACGTAGCTCCCATCGGCTGAACATTTACCAAGTGCCAGACACATATTGAATCATATTTAATTATTGCAACAATCCTGAGAAAGAAATATTACTCTCACTATTTTAAACGTGGGGAAGCTGAGGTTCTGACAAGCGGTAAATAAAAATGCCCAAGGTGGCATGGCTGGCATCTGAGGGCTGTGCCAGGTCTGGTGTGCTGGAGGACTTGCTGCCTGTGGCAAGGTGCTGCCATTGTCTGTTGCTTGAACAAGGTGAGGAGCGCAGCATGCCTGGCCATGCATGATGTCTGAAGTTAGAGCCCAGGACCTAGGGCACTAGATCTGTGGGGTGGGGCCCTGAAAGATTAAGGGACTCTGGAGGTTTTTCTCCTGAGTTCTCTACTAGCCTGGCAGTACCCTTCAAGAAGAATCCTAGGGCTTCCTGATAGGTAGCTTCAGAGGCAAGGCAGCAGCAAGAGGGCGACAAATTAAATAAGAGAAAGTAACGCAACCAGGCTGCCTGTCAGCCCCTGTAACTTCTCCAGATTATCATACTGGACCCATCACTTGCCCAGTCTAGCTAGAAGTTCATCTATCCCCATGAAACCCCCATCTCCCCACCTCCACCATGGCCATCCAGGAATGCCCTAGGTGTGCCATACTCTGTGGCTGCTGTGTTGATATGGATTGGTGGTGTGGCATGATACATGGTCCTGCTTCCTCTGTCTCACTGCTCTGAAACAGGAATTCAGACATGGGTCCTTTGATGTGGAGAGTGTCACGCCTTATTGTCCTAGAGAGTGGGACAGCCTGGGAGGCCTGCCTATCTGACCTTCAGGGCTCCTGCCCAGTCCTCAGGGGGAATCTTCAGTGCCAGTTTGTGTGGAGGAAGCCTGTGGGAAATTGTGTGGACAGCAGTGGCAAGAGAGGGGCTGGGGAGGGACTAGGGGGCACACGGGAAGAGGAAAGGCAGGCAGAGCTAAGTGAGGGGTGGCGGCCAGTCAGGGGCCCAGACACACTCCTTCATGGACCCCCTTCTTTGTCTTCAGTGGTCTTGGGTAGGTCTGCTTTGCAAGGGGCAAAAGAACACAGGATGATCCTTTGGAAGAAGTGAATGTGCATTTCAACAACCGGAAACCTGCCAGGGGTTCTTGGAGGAAAGCAAGCTCAAAAATGAAGGCTTAAGCAAAACAAAATAGCCCACCCCGCAGAATAACCCACAGAGGGAAAAGGAAGACAGGAATAAGACTAAAAGTCTAGAAAAGGGAAGTGCAAATTGGGTTCAAGATGCCTCAACTGCAGGCAGAGCCGTGTGGTTTGAACTGTTTGTGTGACTTGAAACATAGCCCAGCCAAGGTCAGGACCTCTCTTTGTGAAGGATTGGGCTGCGGGGGGCATGTGAGGGGTGCATCTTGCATGTGCAGGAATACCCCTACAACTAGGGAATCAGGCCCCAGCTGCTAGTGGGAAGAGCAGATATTCAAGTAAAAGCTATTTCTGCTGAAACCAAAGATTTATATAAACTCAGATACAGTATTTGTTGCTGTTGTCAGATCCATTTGTCCTTGAAGACTTAAGATGAAAGAAATGCAAACATCTTCCCTGTACATTCATGGCCTATAGGTACTCTGCAATGGTGTGCTGGTAAATGTTAACAACCAGCTTTCTGGAGGAAGAATCAAAACAGGCACAACATGCCTGATATAATAGCATCAATTTCCAGTTTCCTTGGTGTAAATACTCTCCGTGGCCAAGTTCAAGTTGTGAACTTAATATCACTAAGGCGAAGGTGGGTCTAACAGAGTTTAGGTAACCATAATAACAGAGTTTGTTGAGTTTACATTATTTGCTAAATTCTTCATGTGCATCATTTTATTTTATTATTTCAATAGTTTTTGGGGAACACGTGGTGTTTGGTTACATGGATAAGTTCCTTAGGTGTGATTTCTGAGATTTTGGTACCCCCATCACCTAAGCAGTGTACACTGCACCCAGCGTGTAGTCTTTAATCCCTTGTCTCTTTCCCACCCTTCCGTCTAAGTCTCCAGAGTCCATTATGTCATTCTGATGCCTTTATATCCTCACAGCATAGCTTCCACTTATAGGTGAGACCATAGGATGTTTGGTTTTCCACTCCTGAGTTACTTCACTTGGAATAATGGTCTCCAACTCCATCCAGGTTGCTGGGAATGACATTATTTTGTTCCTTTTTGTGGCTGAGTAGAATTCCATGGTATATGTATATCACATTTTCTTTATCCACTCGTTAGTTGACGGACATTTACTTTGGTTCCATATTTTTGCAATTGTGAATTGCGCTGCTGTAAAGATGCATGTGCAGGTGCCTTTTTCATTGTAACGACTTCTTTTCCTCTGGGTAGATACCCAGTAGTGGGATTGCTGAATCAAATGGTAGTTCTACTTTTGGTTCTTTAAGGAATCTCCATACTGTTTTCTATAGTGGTTGTACTAGTTTACATGCCCAGCAGCAGTGTAAAAATATTCTCTTTTCACCACATCCCTGCCAACATCTATTATTATTATCTATTATTTTTTGATTTTTTAATTATGGCCATTCTTGCAGGAGTAAGATGATATTGCATTGTGGTTTTGATTTGCATTTCCCTGATAATTAGTGATGTTGGGCATTTTTTCATATGTTTGTTGTCCACTTGTGTATCTTCTTTTCAGAATTGTCTACTCATGTCCTTAGCCCGCTTTTTGATGGGATTATTTGTTCTTTTCTTGCTGATTTAAGTTCCTTGTAAATTCTGGATATTCACCATTTTGTCAGATGCACAGTTTGCAAAGATTTTCTCCCACTCTGTGGGTTGTCTGTTTACTCTGCTGATTATTACTTTTGCTATGCAGAAGCTTTTTAGTTTAATTCAGTCCCATCTATTTATCTTTGTTTTTGTTGCATTTGCTTTTGGGTTCTTGGACATGAACTCTTTGCTTAGGCCAATGTCTAGGAGAGTTCTTCTGATGTTATCTTCTAGACTTTTCATGGTTTCAGGTCTTAGATTTAAGTCTTTTATCCATCTTGAGATGATTTTTGTCTAAGGTGAGAGATGAGGATTCAGTTTCATTCTTCTACATGTGGTTTGACAATTATCCCAGTACCATTCGTTGGAAAGGGTGTCCTTTCCCCACTTTATGTTTTTGTTTGCTTTGTCAAAGATCAGTTGGTTGTAAGTATTTGGCTTTATTTCTGGGTTCTCTATTCTGTTCCATTGGTCTATCTGCCTGTGCCTATTTTTATACCAGTACCACGCTGTTTTGGTAACTATAGCCTTGTAGTATAGTTTGAAGTTGGGTAATATGAGGCCTCCAGATTTGTTCTTTTTGTTTAGTCTTGCTTTGGCTTTGTGGGCTCTTTTTTGGTTCCATATGAATTATAGGATTTTTTTTCTAGTTCTGTGAAGAATGATGATGACATTTTGATGAGAATTGCATTGAATTTATAGATTGCTTTAGGCAGTATGGTCATTTTCATAACATTGATTCTACCTGTCCGTGAGCATGGGATGTGTTTCTATTTGTTTGTGTCATCTATGATTTCGTTCAGCAGTGTTTGGTAGTTTTCCCTGTAGAGATCTTTCACCTCTTTGATTAGGTATATTCCTAAGTATTTTATAATATTATTTTTTGCAGCTGTTATAAAAGGGGTTGAGGTTTTGATTTGATTCTCAGCTTGGTTGCTGTTGGTGTATAGCAGTGCTACTGATTTTTGTACATTGATTTTGTATCCTGAAACTTTACTGAATTCCTTTATCAGATCTAGGAGCTTTTTGGATGAGTCTTTAGAGTTTTCTAGGTATGTGATCATATCATGGGCAAACAGCGACAGTTTGACTTCTTCATTACTAATTTGGATGGCCTTTGTTTCTTTCTCTTGTCTGACTGCTCTGGCTAGAACTTCCAGTAATATGCTGAATAGAAGTGTGAAAGTGGGCATCCTTGTCTTGTTCCAGTTCTCAGAGAAAATGCTTTCAACTTTCCCCTTTTCAGTATAATGTTAGCTGTGGGGTTGTCATAGACGGCTTTGATTACCTTATGGTATGTCCCTTCTATGCTGATTTTGCTAAGGGTTTTAATCATAAATGGAAACTGGATTTTGTCAAATACTTTTTCTGAATCTATTGAGATGATTATATGATTTTTGTTTTTACTTCTGTTTATGTGGTATATCACATTTATTGACTTACATATGTTAAATCAGCCCTGCCTCCCTGGTATGAAATCCACTTGATTATGGTGCATTACCTTTTTGATATCCTGTTGAATTCGGTTACCTAGTGTTTTGTTGAGGATTTTTGCATCCACATTCATGAGGGATATTGATCAGTAGTTTTCTTTTTTCATTACGTCATTTCCTGGTTTTGGTATGAAGCTAGGGTAATACTAGCTTCATAGAATGATTTAGGGAGGATTCCTTCTTTCTCTATCTTTTGGAATAGTGTCAGTAGGATTGGTGCCAATTCTTCTTTGAATGCCTGATAGAATTCAAGCTGTCAATCCATCTGGTCCTAGACTTTTTTTTTTTGTTGGCAATTTTTAAAATTACCATTTTAATCTTGCTGCTTGTTATTGGTCTGTTCAGAGTTTCTATTTCTTCCTGGTTTAATCTAGGAGGGTGGTACATTTCTAGGAATTTATCCATCTCCTCTAGGTTTTCTAGTTTGTGCACATAAGTTTGCTTATAGTAGCCTTGAATAATCTTTTGCATTTCTGTGGCATCATTTATAGTATCTCCCATTTCATTTCTAATTGAGCTTACTTGGAACTTCTCTCTTCTTTTCTTGGTTAATCTTGCTAATGGTCTATCGATTTTGCTTATCTTTTCAAAGAACCAACTTTTTGTTTCATTTAGCTTTTGTATTTTTTTTTTGTTTGTTTCAGTTTTATTTAGTTCTGCTCTGATCTTTGTATTTCTTTCCTTCTGCTTGGTTCAGGTTTGATTTGTTCTTGTTTCTCTGGTTCCTTGAGGTGTGGCCTTAGGTGTCTATTTGTGCTGTTTCAGACTTTTTGATGTAGGGGTTTAATGCTATGAACTTTCCTCTTAGCACCGCTTTTGCTGTATCCCAGAGGTTTTGATCAGTTGTGTTACTATTGTCATTCAGTTCAAAGAATTGCTAAATTTCCCTCTTGATTTTATAGTTAACCCAAGGATCATTTGGGAGCAGATTATTTAATTTCCATGTATTTGTGTAGTTTTGGCAGTTCCTTTTAACTTTTAATTTCCAATTTTATTCCACTGTGGTCTGACGGAGTACTTGATACAATTTTGATTTTCTTAAATTTATTGAAACTTATTTTGTGGCCTATCATATAGTCTATCTTGGAGAATGTTCCATGAGCTGATGAAAAGAATGTATATTCTGCAGTTTTTGGGTAGAATGTTCTGTAAATATCTGTAAGGTCCATTTGTTCTAGGGTACAGTTTAAGTCTAATGTTTCTTTGTTGACTTTCTATCTTGATGACCTGTTTAGTACTGTCAGAAGAGTACTGACTTCCCCTACGACTATTGTGTTGCCATCAATCTCATTTCTCAGGTCTAGTAGTAATTGTCTTATAAATTTGGGAGCTCCAGTGTTAGGTGCATATATATCTAGGATTGTGATATTTTCCTGTTGGACTAATACTTTTATCATTACATAATGTTTCTCTTTGTCTTTTTTAACTGTTGTTGGTTTTAAGTCTGTTTTGACTGATATAAGAATAGCTACTATTGCTTGCTTTTGGTTTCCATTTGCATGGAATGTCTTCCCTCCCCCTCACTTTACCTTAAGTTTATGTGAGTTTGGTGGATTTTTATCTATCTGTCATTCTATTTCTTTTAAGTGAAGCATTTAGGCCATTTACATTCAATGTTAGTATTGAGATGTGAGGTACTGTTCTATTCATCATGCTAGTTGTTGCCTGAATACCTTTTTTTTCATTGTGTTATTGTTTTATAGGTCCTGTGAGATTTTCACTTTAAGTAGGTTCTATTTTGGTATATTTTGAGGTTTTATTTCACAATTTAGGACTTCTTTTTAGCAGTTCTTGTAGTGCTGGCTTGGTAGTGGTGAATTCTCTCAGCATTTGTTTACCTGAAAAATACTTTATCTTCCTTTATTAATGAAGCTTAGTTGGATTGGATCCAACGCTCTAGGGTGATAATTATTTTAAGGAGGCAAAAGATAGGACCCCAACATCTTCTGACTTGCAGGGTTTCTGCTGAGAATTCTGCTGTTAATCTGATAGGTTTTCATTATAGATTACCTATAAAGGAGAAGCTGAGGTTTTCGCCTCACAGCTCTTAAGAGTCTTTCCTTCATCTTGACTTTAGGTAACTTGATGACTAGGTGCCTAGATGATGATCTTTTTGTGATGAATTTTCCAGGTGTTCTTTGAGCTTCTTGTATTTGGATTTCTAGATCACTAGCAAGACTGGAGAAATTTTCCTCAATTATTCCCTCAGATACGTTTTCAGATAAGTTTTAGATTCCCTTTCTTCCTCAGGCACACCAATTATTCTTCCAGAGACACAGGTGCCTTCAAGCTCACCCAATGTGTGCAGTGTGTACATAGTACAAGGTCCTTGCTCATTCACTTGGCACTCCAACCTGGGGGGCGTTTCGTGTCAACACATAAAGTTGCATAGCATTCCAGCGGGACTTAATCAGTCCCTTACATTGCAGTGAATGTGCCTGTAATCTGTATCTTCTGCCACATGTGTAAATATTTGTAAGATAAATTCATAAAAGTGGAATTGCTGGAATAAAAAATGCATACACTTCAAATTCCGATAGCTATTGCCAAACAGTCCTCCATGGAGTGGGACCCAATTTCCCCTCCCATCAGCAATAGGCAGGCATGACTTTTCCTCCACAGCTTCACCAACTCAGTGCTGGAACCAGATCTGAAGTCAGGTGTCTGACTCCCAGATTCTGGCTATTCCCATGAAGTGAAGCTGCAGGTTGGGTCTCAGAAGTAGCCATCTATAGGGGCAGCCTAGTGAGCCTGCTCCCTACAACCCATGACCAACCAAAAAATGTTTACTGAACATCTACAAGCTGAAATGTGCTGGGGTGTGCTGGGTTGCTCTGTGGCACCATTCATTCATCTCCAGCCCTCTTGGTCCTCTGGCAGACTCCAACTCATTTCTCTAGCCCCAGGGTAAACATCGATGCAAAGTGTTTCTGACTCCAGCTAACTTCCATTGTGTATCTCTTGAACCCTATACAGACTTCTATCCCACTAGAACGTGATCCTCTAGACCAGGGTGTCTCACACTGTCGTGTGCAAACAAATCCCTTGGGGATCTGATAAAAATGCAGACTCCCACCCAGTAAACCTGTGGTGGGGCCTGAGAGTCTGCATTTCTGGTAAGCTCTCAGGTTTTGCCATCACTTTGAACAGCAGGGTCCAGCACTGATTCTCAAACTCTAGCATAAATAAGAAGCACCTGGAGGACTTGTTAAAACACAGATTCCTGGGTCTAACCTTCAATGGGGCCTGAGAACCTTCATTTCCACCAAGCTCCCAGGTGACACAGATGCTGCTGGTTCACATACCTCACCTTGCATAACACTACTTCCAGGCCCTACCTAACTCAACTTTTAGGACTCTTAACTACTCCATGCTTGACAGAGAGAACACATGCTTAATAGCTGTGTGATGGATGAGGTGTAAGGGAACAAATACCAGCATGAGCACTCAGACTGGATGTAATAAGTGACAGGAACACACATGTGACTGTCTGGAGCTTAGGTTTGGAGTACAAGGATCATTATCAGCTCTTCATTCCTGCCTGACCCCCTGCCAGCCTCAAACCACAATGAGCCACTGCCCCATTCTTGCGAGCACTTAGATTACAGACCTACCAGGTTCTAGTTGGCAGCTCTTGGCACCAGCCTCTTCAGGTACAATGGCCATGCTCTCAGGCTCTCTGCCAGCAGGAACCACCCCAGAAACTTGTGTGTTTGGGGACAGGAAGGGACATTGGGAGGGGATAATGTGCTCTTGGTTCATTCACAGGCTCTCAAATCCTGCCCCCCAGTGTCTGCTTTCTGCTAAGCACTTCACTGTGCCAGAAGACCTGAGGGAAGGGGCTTCCCTACATCATCCACACTGCCCTGCAGCATCCATTACCCTCTGCTTGCCCAGGGAGGAAAGGTGGAGGCACTATCTACTGGTCTCCCCAGAGGATCTGGCTCACAAGTGGCTGTTTTATCACAGAACATCAGGGCTCCTTATTTCTATAAATTGGCAAAAAGAAAAGGCAGCCCTTTTCTCTGTTAGATGTCCTCATACCTCAGTGTGACCCCAGCAGCCACATCCCTGAGCAGAGGTGGTCTGAACATGTCAGAGCAGAAAGATGGGAGGAACCTGAGTCCCAGATGAAGCTGCTAAATTAAATAACTCGGATAGGAATAATGCAATAGAGCAGGAAAAACTGACAAGATGAGAGAAAATCAATAGAGCAATGTCCTTGAGTGAGTGAGAGAGGTTGGGATCCTGCACAAGCGGAAGGGATGGGTTTAGACAGGAACATGGAGAATCCAGCCATGTAACAGGTGGGAGGCAGAGAACTGTCCAGGAAAAAAGTGACCGGTAGCAGGGGAGGTGAGAGGTGGGGGCTTGTAGAAAGTTTCTTCTGATGGCTTTCATTTTCTCAGCGAAATAGGAAACAAGATCATCAGCTAAGAATGAGGATAACAGGTGGTGTTGGAGGTTTAAGGAAAAGGCAAAAGGTGTGAAATAATGTCTAAAAGAGGGGAATGCAGTTGATGGGCATTAAGGATGCTTTGGATACAGCTATCATCATTTAGAGCCACCCTAGTCACTGTGGTTGTGTGATTTTCTCTGGCCATATTTAACTTCACAGATGCAAGTGGGGGAGCTGGATCTAACTAGGACCAAAATTTTGCCAAGTGGGCATGACAGGATCAGAAAAGAGCAAAGGAATTGAGGGTGTGTTTAAGGGAGAGACTGTAATGATGGCTCATGGATTTTTAAGATGATGGGAAGTGAGGGCATGAGGAGGCTGAAGGTCAGTGGAAAATTAAAATATCAGTGGACTGGAGGTCCCACTGGGGTTAAAGAACTGTTGGAGTTGAGGTGCTAGAGGCAGTGAGTAGTAAATGTAGGAGGTGGTGGTCAGAGGCTGGATGCTGGCAGCAGGAAGTATGAAGAGCTACAGATATTAGTGATAGTAAGATTCAGGAGCTATGATCATGGGCATATGTGACCAAGGTATGGGGAAGACAAGACCATTAGAGGGATGAAGTTCAAGAAACTACTTGGCTATGGAACTAGAGGAAATTTGTGCATTGTGGTAGAAGATAATTTACGGACTCAAACTCCTCCAAGCCGAGTACACACAGCCTTTTACAATGTGACTTTGTAGCTCTTCCAAAAAAGGTAGTTTCTATTTCCTGACTCCTTGAATGTGGCTTGGCTTTGTGACTTACTTGCAAAAGCAGCATCATGTGACTTCTGAGGTTATGCCTTAAAATGCTTTACAGCTTCTATTTTGTACTCTCGTAACTGGCCTGAGACAGAGATGAGATGTCATGTCTATCTAGCTGATTGGAAGATGAGCAGCCACATAAAGGTGAATTGACAGTTGACAGCTGGCCCCAACCCTAGATGTGGGAGTGAGAGCACCTTGGACGATTCATCTAACTCACAGAATCACGAGAAAAAATGTCACTGTGATTTCAAGCCCCTGAGTTCTGAGGTTGTATTTTAGGCTGTAAAGACGAATAGAAACATGTGAATAGTGAAATCATTAAGAATTATTACAAGAGACTGTTAAAGAGTAATTTCAAACCAGAGCTAATATCTAGATTTGTGAGAAAACAATGATTTCTTTTCTTTTTCTTTTTTGAGCTATTTTGAGTCCATTGCTTTGTTATTTGCTGTCAAAAGTACCCAATGTATACAATGAGGTTTCAACACAGGTCTCCCCCTACCCCCCTAAGAAGTTTAAAAACCTCAGAGGTGCTACGTCAGTCTTTCATTGATGACTTCCTGTCATGGAGGATGGGAAGGCTTCAGGGAGGAGGCAGCCTCTTGGATGATCCATGGTGAGGGATCTCACACTGATGTGCCCAATGCCCTCTTTCACTTTGGGACACGATGAAGCACAGTGGGATAGATGAGCAGGACAGAGAGTAGGGAGAGAGGGGGCAAAGAAGTCTTGGCCCCTTTCTCCTTGGTTTGTCAAGTTGGAGTTTGTAGAATGGGAGGTGAGAGAGCACCTTGGAGAGGCCAGAGGCCAGGCAGGCAAAAAGAGGCAGAGATGCAGGAGGAAAAATGACCACCTGGATAGAAGAAGTATGCAGTGAGGAGGGGAGGTGGAAAGAGAGGCTGGGGAAAGAAATTAGACAAGACAAGAGGAGTGTGGTAGGGGGGCCAAGAGGGGGGAAATGAGGTGATGTCGAGGGACCTGGGGTGCTACTGCCTAAGACCCTCTTACATCTCCCAAAACCACTTTTGCCCATCTGTGAGACAGTAACCAATCTGACTTTGGTGTTCTGGAAATAGCCTGGGATCAGAAGCAACCTCTTTCGTCATGCAGACAGTGTGCCCCAAGATTAGGCAACAGGGACATCTCACATCTCTGTGATCACGGCACCACCAAATTAACCTATTCATGTAGCCACCGAACCTAAAAGGTTTGCATCAGTGACCACCAGGGTCCATGCAGTTGAGGTGCCTGGGCCCTGCCCCGTCTTGGTTAAATCAGAACATAAGGTTTCTGGAATGTTGAGGTTGTATCACGAAAGGAGAACCAGAAACAGGGCCAAGTCAAAATTGGATGCCATGGATGATGTGTGCAGGTCATGAAAGGCAAATAAATAGGTGAGAAGGAAGAGGAGGAACGAGCAGGCCAAGTCATGGGGCTGACACAGGAGGGGGTATCAAATTAAGGAATCAGAGACCTAGACAAACTCAAGGTTAGAATCTTCAGGTGTGCACCTTATTGATATTTCTCTGTTTCCACCACATCGAGAGGCTATAGTCACTGCCTACATGCTTATTCCCAGGTGCTTGCTGGTGGAGAAGAATCTTCTGGGTATGAGGTTCAGTGACAAAAGCAATGGAAGACAACGTGTATTGTATTCACTCACCAGTGTAAAAAAAAGTGTGTGTGTGCGTGTGTTCTATGTTCAAAGTGACATGAGAATCTGATACTGTTGTTCCTTTTGGGAAGAGAAATGGGGAAAATAAGGCGCCAGGGGTAGGCAAACTTAGCTCTTCACCTTATATTTTGTGTACTTACAAATATAAACAAATTACATCTCAGAGAATTCCTGTAGACCAGTGGTTCTCGAAACTTATTAGAAATGCAAATCTAGGTCAGGCATGGTGGGATCACAGGTCACACCTGTAATCCCAGCACTTTGGGAGGCTGGGGCAAGAGGGTCACTAGAGCCCATGAGTTTGAGACCAACCTAGGCAACATGATAACACACCCATTTCTACAAAAAATATATATATATATATATACATATTTTTTCAAATTAGCCAGGTGTGGTGCCATGCACCTGTGGTTCCAGCTACTTAGGAGACTGAAGTGGGAGGATCACTTGAGCCCAGAAGGTTGAGGCTGCAGTGAGCCATGATCATGCTACTGCACCCCAGCCTGGGCGACAGAGCAAGACCTTGTCTAAAAAAAAAAAAAAAAAAAAGTAAATTCTCAGGCCCCATTCCAGACCTACTGAACTTAATCTCTGGAGATAAGTCCAGAAATCTGTTTTAACAAGCCCTCTGTAGATTCTGATGGATATTCAAATTCGAGAACCATTGCTTTAGGCCAGGGATTCTAGTTCTCAGATTTTTTAACATATTAAAATTCCAATGCCCAGGCTGCACCCTAGACCAAGTACATCAGAATATCTGGGGGTGGGCCTAGGAGTCAATTGTCCTTCAAGCTTCCATGTGACTCTAACATAGCGGAGGCAACACTGGTTTCACCTACCTTCTTCCAATTCTGGGATCCACCTCTTCCCAGCCTCAAATCTTGCTCAGGCTTTAGATGTGATAACCTGGAGATTGTTTTCTTGGAGTTCTTCCACAATGGCCTCTGGCTCCTCAGTTCCCCACCATCGCTGATTTGGAGAGAGTGTGTGGCCAGAAGACAAGGCCCAGCAGTTGAATATGAGGTTGAACCTGATGACGGCCAGGGTCCATGAGCTCTGCAGGTGTTAAAGACAGAGTCATCCACATCCACCACTGGCAGGGTCCCCTGCATCTCTTCCCTGAACATTGGTGCCAAGGCTGGGGTGGAAGGCTGTCTCAGGACAGGGTTTGGCTTAGTGCTGGGCTTCCACTGCAACCTCTCTGGGGCAAAGGAAGCTGCCCACATCTCCCCCTTCTCTCCAAGGAAGAGGAACATTGATGTGGATCAAGGACAATACGGCAACCTTGAGAGAACACTACAGCTTTTAAGGAGAGGAGTCAAAGGGCTTTTAAGAGAAATGAATGGAGCAAGGTCATCCCTCTTTGCTGGTTTCTCTCTTGTCTCTCTGTGCTGCCCCCATTGTACACATCTGCTGTGGTGAGAGGGGTGTGTGCACTAAGGGGTTTGCAAGGCCATAGGAGACCTGAGTGTGGGTGTGGGAGGGGAGACAGAGCAGGCAACTGAGCAGCCTCTTGTTTAGGCCTTGAGCTAAAGAGAGAAAGAAGGCTTCCTAGCTCATAGCTGGTCCAGCCTAACTCTTCTGAAGAAAGATCACATGGGACTCTGAGCCAAAAGCATTGAGAAAATCTAGATCCATGCCCCCCAAATTTAAGCATGCATCAGAATCATGCCAGTCTTTGTCAAAACCTGGATTGCTTGGCCGCATCCCCAGGATTTCTGAGTCAGTATATCTGGCATGTAACCCCAGAACTTGCATGGCTAGCAATGTCCCAGGGAATGTGAATGCTGCTGGTCCAGGGACCTCACTTTGAGAACCACTGCTCTAAAGGACTTCCTCACCCCTTCCCACCCTCGATGCACCCTTCCTTAGCCCAGGGTATTTCCCAGGCCACTACAAAAGCTGTTCCTCATTGTGGTAACTTGGTTAATTGTTTGTGATCCTTCCTAAGCTATAAGCTCTCAAAGAATGGATCCAGCCTCTTTCTTCACCACTATATCCCAAGCACCTAACACAATGTCCGGCACATTGTGAGTACTGAATAAATATTTGTTCAATGAACAAGCAGATTTGCCTGGTACATCCCCTCTGTGGAATGAAACCTAGAGCAGAGCTGGAAGCCTGGTCAAGGATGAGGTACTGACCATGTCCCTTACTTTAGACAGGATCAAGGAAAAGGCAGGCCTCACAAGCCTCTGTTCTCTTTGGAAACTGATCCACCAGCAAAGTACTGCAAATAGCCAGGCACATGCAGACCCCCATTTATTTCTTTGGGGTGAAGCTGAGTGATGATCAGATGTCAAGCTTAGGCCATCTTGTCTGAATTCTTCATTTTACAGATAAGAAAACTGAACCATGAAGAGACAAGTGATCTTTTCAAAGCACATTCACACTGATGATTTCTGAAACAGTGCTTTGTAGCAATGCCGTGAGGAAGGTTAGGGGTGTCCCCACTTTATAGAAGACACAAGGGCAGAGGCAGAGTAGGTGTTGGCAGTTGTGAGGAGAGTCACAGTACTCATCATTTGTCAGACATTTTTCACTGTGCCAGGCACTCTGACATTTTTCATGTACAAGTTGACTTCGTGCTTCTCCTCTGAGGTAAGCATTCAATACTCCCATTTAGCAGAGTAGGAACCAAGACTTAGAAAGGTGAGTGATCTGCCCATGTCACAGGTGGAGAGCTGGGATTTGAACTTGGCCCATGTTTGACCATCACGT
Organism: Homo sapiens; assembly: GCF_000001405.40. NCBI lineage: Eukaryota > Metazoa > Chordata > Mammalia > Primates > Hominidae > Homo > Homo sapiens. The sequence goes on along the minus strand of NC_000003.12, from coordinate 46,209,025 downwards.
AAAACAGGAATGGGGCATCAGAAAGGGAAGGTCAAAATGTAACCAACAGACCTATATTCCCTTCATGCTGGAGGTTCCTGGGGCAAAGCCACTCTCTGAGGTTTGGTGGGGAGGGACTTGGGGAGCAGAGAGCAGAGGGACAATGAGCTCCCAGAAGCCGAGGGGCATAGGGTGCCAAAGAGAAGCTGCTGCCTCTGTGAGCACCCATGTCAGTTAGTTTTGAGGAACAGGACTCAGGGTTCCAGTTTAAATCCTTCCATTCACAATCTTTAAGAAGAAGAAAAAAAAGAAGTCTGCCGCTGACCACAAGAGCTCTATGCCCTGCCCCCATCCCACATACACACATCCCACACTTCAATTGCTCCAAACATTCTGGGAACATCTCACTGCCACCCACCTCACCCAACTCAGCTTCACCTGCCCCCAATTCCCTTAAGGCTGAGCTCCCAGGGCCAAGACTCAAGAGGCTCAGAGTGAGCAGAGAAAATCCTCGCAGTTAACTTGGCTTCCAGGAAGTGGCCACTGGTGGGCGTTGTGGCCATTCATGAGCACCAAACCACACAAAAAGAAGAACTTTGTCCCTTTCTTGTCATTTTGAAAGACTGTGAAACTGGAGCCAATTCTCCATCATCACACAGGAAGCTGAGTACTTCCTACTTGGTCAGGATCTTGAAACTTGAATTCATAAAAACCCAGAAAGCCCCAGAAACAAAGACTTCACGGACAAAGTCCCTTGGAACCAGAGTAAGTGTCACTTGTCTTTTCTGTCTTATCTGTTACTGTGGAGGGCAGTGTTGTTCAAAGACATGCATGCAGCTAGGGGCTCCTCAAAGGTAGGGGGAATTCTTTGAGTAGGCTGGGCAAATGTCTAAGTAGCCCATGGATGCATCTCCAAGGCAATTAATACTGTAGCAATACTGAGAATGGTGGATTTATAAAGCTGGGTGCTCAGATGAAATATAGGCTTTTTTGCTAAAAAGGAAGCTTACTTGAAGGATTGGCTTTTGGTTACTGATTAAGAAAGTCAGTCAGTACTAAGGGACAAAAGGTGTTTTCTGTGGAAACCTATTCAATAAGAAATTACTTGGCGGGGCGCAGTGGCTCACGGCTGTAATCCCAGCACTTTGGGAGACCGAGGCAGGTGGATCATGAGGTCAAGAGATGGAGACAATCCTGGCCATATGGTGAAACCCTGTCTCTACTAAAAATAAAAATTAGCCGGGCATGGTGGCGCATGCCTGTAGTCCCAGCTACTCAAGAGGCTGAGGCAGGAGAATCACTCGAATCCGGGAGGTGGAGGTTGCAGTGAGCTGAGATTGCACCACTACACTCCAGCCTGGCGACAGAGCAAGAGTCTGTCTGAAAAAAAAAAAAAAATTGCTTGCCAAATTCCCCCATGTAAAGGAAAACCAAACATGGTGTATGAAGAAATTATAGCAAGAGGGAAATATTAGCTAGAAAAATCTTGGCAGATGCAAGGATGATTTGATACTGAACCTATCTCTTAAGAAGACTAGAACCAAGGATCCTCAAAATTGGCACTGCTATCTTTGGAAGAGGTAGGCTTTCACTCACCCAAAGGCAAGGAGCTGGCCAGGTGATCTTGGGGGGCATCTGTTCTGCTCTACTAACAAAGACACAGGTCAGGATTTTGTTCTGAAGATAGAGGGGCATGGTGGCTCCGTATAGGTATCTACTTCATAGGTGGTCTTGGTGGGTCCCAGATTTCAAAGAAGAGATGGAAACTCCCAAAAGTTTGCACAACCTGGCACCAGGCTATGTGCCACTCACTGATCCTTTAGTTCCCGCACCGAGCAGTGGGACAGTGCTGGACTGTTCAGAATGTGGGGCCTGGGCAGTGATGTGCTGGTAAATGTTCAACAACTGACTCTTCTGAAGAAAAGATCCCTGCTTTATAACATTTGTTGATTTTCATGGTATAAATGCCCCCACTGTGGTCAGTTTCAAGCTACCAACATGCTGAATGTGGAGTGGGGAAGAGATGCACGCAATTGGCATTTATAAACCAGTATAAGCCAGCCAGCGCACCATAGGCCTGGGTGTCTTTCACCATCACAGACTGCTCTATCTCTGCTCAGAGACTTCACCAACTCCCAGGCTGGAGGACACTAGCAGTGGAGGGTCCAGGATCCAGGGCTATAGCTGACCACTGTGCAGTGGCCTTGAGGCAGACTTCTGCAGTAGACTACAGCAGGGCTGGCAGATTAGATGACAACATGGTCCTTTGGTTTCTCTTCTCGGGCCCCACCCCAGATCACCTCCCTTTAGGAACAGCATGCCTTGGAGTGGTTGCCTGGGGCTTAACAAGTTGGGGAAATAACAAATGGGTTGGAGGTAGGGGGTGTATGGAGGTGACTCGGTTTAAAATGCCACCTGACAATGTTGACTCAACTTGCCTTTGCCTTTGCCAAACCTTCCCAGAAACTGGACTCATGGGATCAGGCTTGCACTAGCTGCTCTTTGTGCTTTCCAAGCTATTTGCATACTTCCACTGTTAACCTGCCAGCCCACCGAAAAGTGCTGACTATCAAACCGAACTGTCTGCCCTCATCAGCAATGGCTGTGGCTGCAGAAATTAGAAACTGCCAACACAGCTTTGTTAGTGACCGTTAGCCTGACTCTCTCCAGAAAGAGGGCTGATTGGATCTCTCTGGAGATGGAGGAGTGGGCCAGGGGATGGGTTTGATAAAAAATTAAAGCTCCTCACTTCTCACCCTAATAGAGTATCTCCCTTTCCAGCCAGGGTGCCCTATACCCTCCATGTGCCTTAATTTCCTTTACAATGGCTATTGAAAAAAATGTGAATTGTGTAAGCAGGAAACATTCCTTAAGGAGAGTAGAAGGAAGAACACCAGAGACCCAGGTTTAAGATAGAAATTATAAAGTAGGTGCCACCTACTTTACTGATTGGCATTTGGGTCAAATCAATTTAGATTGGCGGCAATAGATTGACAATTTCAAATGTCATTCACATGGAAGGGACCATCATTGTCCACCGTTATCAAGAAAAATCACTTTCTAGATTAACTACAAAGAAATTTGGCAGGGGGGTGGGAGACAGGGTATACCAGCCAGCCAGGGACATCCTGGACATTGGTGCCTGGGATGTGCTGGTGGTGTCAGGCCTCAGGGAAGGGCTCCTGCAGTGAAGGAGTTCTCTCAGGGAAGGTCCCCAAGAAAAGTGCCCTGGCCTGGCTCTTGCCAGGCCCTCAATAAGGGGCCTGGCTGTTGCCAGGTGGTGGTGGTGGGAGGGTGATGGTAGCACTTTTCTCATACATTACCTCACAGTAGCCTTGCAAGATAAGAGTTGCTTTCCCACATTACAGATGAGGAATGAAGCTCAGAGAGGTAAAATAATTTATCCAAAGTCACAAAGCTCGTAGGTTACACCAAAGCCAATGCTCCATTTGGGGAGGCATCTTTAATAAGCAACTGGAAAGGATTCAAGTGCCAAAAAAGCAGGGACTGGGAGAAGTCCTACAAAGGCAACCTACAGAGTGATTCTTTTTTGTTTCATTTTTGTTTGCTTTAAGGCATCCGTGGGTAAAAATATCTAAGAGCTTATCTCAGCAGAATTCAGCTAGTCACTGTGTAACATCACCTCATAGCTCCAGACCATTCTGAACTCTTCCTCCCCTGATGCCCAGTTTTCTCTTTTTCTGACCAGGTTACCTCCCCCTTCTCTGCCTGCACTTTCCTCTCCTTCAGGAGGTCTGCAAAGTGACCTTAGATCTACCTGTGCCACCTAAGGACTGTGCAATGTGGGTCAGGCTCAGCCCACTCTGGTGCCCTCAGTGTCCTCATCTCCAAAATAATGGGGTTGACCTACTAGGATTTCACTATGGCAACACCACTGGTGTTTGGGGTAGAATGATCTCTGCACTGTAGGACATCCTTGGCCCTGCCTACCAAATGACGGTAGCATCCCCCAGTTTTGGTGACAACAACAACAAATGCCCACACATTTCCAAGTGCCCCAAGGGTACTAGGTCACTCTCGGCTGAGAATCTTCTTAGACCAAAAGCCATGAATATCTGTTTGTATCTTTCTCTGAGCCAGGACCATTTTCCTTCTCAGAGTCCTCCTGTGGGCTCCACAGTGCAAAGCTACTGCTCGGGGACAGCAGCAGGAAAGCGTAGTGGTGTCAGGGCCGGGCATGAGAATGATGCACAGCTGGGTTGGAGCTCCAGGTCTGTTCTCACAAGAGGTGTGTCCTTGAACATGTTTCCTAACCACTCTGAACCTCTGTTTCATCACCTCTTAAATAAGAACAACAATGGGACCCCTCCAGGGCTCTTTAACCCTAAGTCCAGTGCCTAGGCCATGGGGGTGCTTAGGAAGTGTTGGTTATGAATAGTATGGTAAGGTCTCCCTCTGGCTTTCCACCCATTGAACTTATCCCTTACAAAACTCTTTGCTGAAATGATTGAATTAATGATTTGTGCACTCATTTACTTATTGCTTCCACTCCCTGTTAGACTAAGATTCCTAGAAGGCAGAGAGGATCTGGGTCTCTCTAACACTCCATTTTGTCCCCAGGGCATGGTACACAGAAGGCACTCAATAAACATTTATGGAGTGGCTGAAAAAATGTTACCTCTCCCTTGTCTTTACTGTCCAGTGCCCACTGCCTTTAGTAGCAGAGTAAAGACAAATCTTTTTTTTTTTTTTAACCTGTAGGAGAAGCCGGGATGGAAACTCCAAACACCACAGAGGACTATGACACGACCACAGAGTTTGACTATGGGGATGCAACTCCGTGCCAGAAGGTGAACGAGAGGGCCTTTGGGGCCCAACTGCTGCCCCCTCTGTACTCCTTGGTATTTGTCATTGGCCTGGTTGGAAACATCCTGGTGGTCCTGGTCCTTGTGCAATACAAGAGGCTAAAAAACATGACCAGCATCTACCTCCTGAACCTGGCCATTTCTGACCTGCTCTTCCTGTTCACGCTTCCCTTCTGGATCGACTACAAGTTGAAGGATGACTGGGTTTTTGGTGATGCCATGTGTAAGATCCTCTCTGGGTTTTATTACACAGGCTTGTACAGCGAGATCTTTTTCATCATCCTGCTGACGATTGACAGGTACCTGGCCATCGTCCACGCCGTGTTTGCCTTGCGGGCACGGACCGTCACTTTTGGTGTCATCACCAGCATCATCATTTGGGCCCTGGCCATCTTGGCTTCCATGCCAGGCTTATACTTTTCCAAGACCCAATGGGAATTCACTCACCACACCTGCAGCCTTCACTTTCCTCACGAAAGCCTACGAGAGTGGAAGCTGTTTCAGGCTCTGAAACTGAACCTCTTTGGGCTGGTATTGCCTTTGTTGGTCATGATCATCTGCTACACAGGGATTATAAAGATTCTGCTAAGACGACCAAATGAGAAGAAATCCAAAGCTGTCCGTTTGATTTTTGTCATCATGATCATCTTTTTTCTCTTTTGGACCCCCTACAATTTGACTATACTTATTTCTGTTTTCCAAGACTTCCTGTTCACCCATGAGTGTGAGCAGAGCAGACATTTGGACCTGGCTGTGCAAGTGACGGAGGTGATCGCCTACACGCACTGCTGTGTCAACCCAGTGATCTACGCCTTCGTTGGTGAGAGGTTCCGGAAGTACCTGCGGCAGTTGTTCCACAGGCGTGTGGCTGTGCACCTGGTTAAATGGCTCCCCTTCCTCTCCGTGGACAGGCTGGAGAGGGTCAGCTCCACATCTCCCTCCACAGGGGAGCATGAACTCTCTGCTGGGTTCTGACTCAGACCATAGGAGGCCAACCCAAAATAAGCAGGCGTGACCTGCCAGGCACACTGAGCCAGCAGCCTGGCTCTCCCAGCCAGGTTCTGACTCTTGGCACAGCATGGAGTCACAGCCACTTGGGATAGAGAGGGAATGTAATGGTGGCCTGGGGCTTCTGAGGCTTCTGGGGCTTCAGTCTTTTCCATGAACTTCTCCCCTGGTAGAAAGAAGATGAATGAGCAAAACCAAATATTCCAGAGACTGGGACTAAGTGTACCAGAGAAGGGCTTGGACTCAAGCAAGATTTCAGATTTGTGACCATTAGCATTTGTCAACAAAGTCACCCACTTCCCACTATTGCTTGCACAAACCAATTAAACCCAGTAGTGGTGACTGTGGGCTCCATTCAAAGTGAGCTCCTAAGCCATGGGAGACACTGATGTATGAGGAATTTCTGTTCTTCCATCACCTCCCCCCCCCCGCCACCCTCCCACTGCCAAAGAACTTGGAAATAGTGATTTCCACAGTGACTCCACTCTGAGTCCCAGAGCCAATCAGTAGCCAGCATCTGCCTCCCCTTCACTCCCACCGCAGGATTTGGGCTCTTGGAATCCTGGGGAACATAGAACTCATGACGGAAGAGTTGAGACCTAACGAGAAATAGAAATGGGGAACTACTGCTGGCAGTGGAACTAAGAAAGCCCTTAGGAAGAATTTTTATATCCACTAAAATCAAACAATTCAGGGAGTGGGCTAAGCACGGGCCATATGAATAACATGGTGTGCTTCTTAAAATAGCCATAAAGGGGAGGGACTCATCATTTCCATTTACCCTTCTTTTCTGACTATTTTTCAGAATCTCTCTTCTTTTCAAGTTGGGTGATATGTTGGTAGATTCTAATGGCTTTATTGCAGCGATTAATAACAGGCAAAAGGAAGCAGGGTTGGTTTCCCTTCTTTTTGTTCTTCATCTAAGCCTTCTGGTTTTATGGGTCAGAGTTCCGACTGCCATCTTGGACTTGTCAGCAAAAAAAAAAAATAATAATAATAATAAGGCCTGCTGTGTAAGCTGACAGTATTTGTAGCTGATAGGGGGTTGGGAGGAAAGTGTCTACTAGGAGGGTGGGGTGAGATTCTGTGTTGATGTAGGAGGCCGAGAAGGCCCTTAACTCAAAGTAGCTTATTTATCCAAAATGTTCTGGATGCATCATCTCCAACCAAGGACCCCTTATTTATCATGCCTTTGTTCTCTTTTCCCTCAGATGTATATTTCTTTAAAAATAATTTTCCTAATAACAAAACTTATTTCTAAAACAGCTTAAAAATTCAAAGAAAAACCCCAAACACTGACATTACCTACACTTCCACTACCCAAAGACAAAATGTGCCCACTGTGTGCTTTTGAGTGTATTTTCTTTTAGTTTGTTTTTTGTTGGGTGCATATTTATGATAATAACAATGATGGACTTCAATTGTACTCACTGTTCTATTGTTGGTTTTAATTAGCAGCAAGTTGTGATCACTTTCCCAGGTGAATAAATCATTTCAAAGCATTGTTTTTGGTGCCTGCACTGAAGTCGTTGGCAGGGATGCACCCTAATTTACTCCACCTGTTTACCCACTATTGCTTGCACAAATCAGTTCAACCCAGCAGTGATGACTGTGGGCTCCATTCAAAGCAAGCTCTTGAGCCATGAGAGACACTGGTGCATGAGGAATGTCTGTTCTTGCAGGGTGCTCAGCTCAGTGAGCCAGACAGACACAGGGATGCCAACAGGGCCCAGGCAGCATGGCAGGGGGTTGGGGGGACTGCAGAGCTCAGGGTGCCAAGGCAGTAAAAGGGAAGAAGGAATCATCAGTCAGAAGACACCCTAAGCTGACGGGTGTCCCACCTTACAATACAGTGACACCATTGGGCTGACTTTTCTCCTTTTGTGGACACTAGAGCTGCACTCTTACCAAACCACACACCCCCTTCAGTGGGAATTGTGTTCACATGTGGTCTTTGTACAAAGAAGCTGGTGTCATGATGGTCTTGAAAACTTTTGTCTGGGATAGAGGAGGTCATGCCACCTGGGCTTACACCCCCACACAGAAAATATAGACAAATATAGGTCTTAGGAGTCCAAGTGGATGTCAGCTTTCCAGTTGTAAACCCACCAGCTCTCAGTGTGTGGAAAGGAGGCTTAACTGAATTAAGACATATTTGTCTATTGCTTTAGTAAAATAAAACTGCATCAGAAAACAGTATTTGGTCCAACAGTGAAATCATAATGTGAAATATTTCACAAGATCCTCCAATTCCGTTTTGAAGTAATGCTTGTTTTTTCCCTTATTACAAAGGGAATTTCTAGTTGTAGAAAACTAGAAATAGCTAAAAAACACAAAGGAGAAAAATGAAAACATCTGTGCAATTCTGCTCCCCAAATATAGCCTCCCTTATTATACTACTGTTTTAGTACATTTCCTTCTAGTACTGTTTTATAAATGCACACACATACATAGACGATCACACTTAATATTTTCTGTGCGTGTAACCTCGGTAATGTTTGACACATAGTAAACACTAAGTAAATGCTGGCTGAGTGAAGCTCAATTTCTGAGCTCCAATTTCCTAATCTATAAAGTGAAGAGGAGCCTGGTATCTACCTCATGCTGCTGTTCTGAGGATTAAATAACATAAAGTTAGGGAAATCGGGTAGTATTCCTCTAACATTATCCAATAAGATGTCTGCCAGCACCTTTCCTTGGTCACTTAGGAAATTCCAGCTCCTCCTGACTGCCTCCCCTGCCCCTCCCATGCCCTGGTCCTGTGCTAATGGGGTGCAGCCCCAGACTCGTCGCTATTGTTGTCCCTTCGATTTCATCCTTACAGAAAGTCTGCCAGAAGAGCACAAAGAACTCCCTTGTCCCCTATTCAGACTCACCAGTTGTCAGCATTTTACCACGTTTGTGTTAAATTCATCATTCTCTAGATGATATATTAGATACATACATACATACATATCTAGATCTAGATGCTAGATATAGATAGATATACAATGCTATTTTTTCTCCACAATCATTTGAGAGCAAGTTGCAAATACGATGCCTCATTATCATCATTACCCTCAGAATGCTTTTACTAGCAACAAGGATATTCTCCCACGTAACCAAAACAGGAAACTGATATGGACACAATATCATCATATTATCTGTAGCCCTGTTTCCAGTTTTGCCCACTTTGCCAATAATGTCCTCAATAATCCCAGGGTCCAGAAATGCTTGTTTTACTTAGTTGTCTGCTCCTCTAGTCTCCTTTAAGAGCAGTTCCTCAGGCTTTTCTTGTCTTTCATGACTTCAGCATTTGAGAGAACACTACAGTTACCTGATAGACAACAATTCCTCGATTTGGCTGACTGATGTTTCCTTAGATCCAGGTTATGAAACTAGGGCAGGAATCTCACAAAACAGTTGCTGTGTTCTCAGTGCATAATATCAGAACGCACCTAATGCCAATCTTCCCCACGACTGGTGATGTTAAACTTTATCACTTGCTTAAGAAGGTGTCTACCAGTTTTTGCCACTGTAAAGCATTTTGTACTTATTACTTAATAAGTGACAATTATTAGTTCACTTCTTTCTGAAAAGTGAAAGCTTCTCTTCTCCTCATTTATTATTTGTATCAGCAGCGTCTCATGGGGTTAAACTATATTCAGTGGAATATAGTTTAATGTTGTCTTTATTTTGATGCACAGATCACCCCAGATTGATCTAACGGGAGCTGGATCCTATGTCCTTTTGTTCTGTCTCCATTGTACTTTGAGCAATCCCTCCCTCTTTAGCAAAGAGGTTCCAGCTCTGTCTTGTATTTTCCCTGCCCTGGCCACAGAAAGACACATCTCCAAGCAGTCTGGCTTTTTGTAGTGGAAACTAATATTTAGAAACCATGATTGGAGAGCTAGATGTGCTCATTGTTAGTGGAGTACTATTGTTTTTGGGCCTTCTCCATGGACAGAGCTACGAAAAATATCTATGTATGTGTAAATACAGTAACACACACACCACACACACACACACAAGCATATCTATCTAATCTATCACATGTAAAGCCATGCGTTCACACCAATACCTTCAATGACAATCTTACATAGCATTGTTCTTTCTAGTCTACTTTTTTTTTTTTTGAGACAGAGTCTCACTCTGTTGCCAAGGCAGGAGTGCAATGGCACCATCTCAGCTCACTACAACCTCGGCCTCCCAGGTTCAAGCGATTCTCCTGCCTCAGCCTCCCGTGTAGCTGGGATTACAGGTGCCTGCCACCACGCCTGGCTAATTTTTGTAGTTTTAATAGAAACGGGGTTTCAACATCTTGGCCAGGCTGGTTTTGAACTCCTGACTTCATGATCCAACTGCCTCGGCCTCTCAAAGTGCTGGGATTACAGGAGTGAGCCACCACGCCCAGCCTCTTCTACCTTTTCATAGTTGAAACTGGCTTCTCTCACAACAAGAAAGCTGGTTCTCATTGCTGTCAATGTATTCCTTTTTACATAATCCTTTAGTGAGTAATCACAGTTCTTCTGAATAGGCCAGTCTAATGCCTTACTGCTGCCAATGATGAGAGACTCTGTACATCACTTGAGTACCCCTCAGTCTTTTGGCTCAGGCTCCAGCATGTGAACCGCTCTACACAGTCTTGGCACCAGGGCGAGGATGAGACCTTTTACTTTCATAAATTTTTCATCTTTTCCTTTTAAAAAAATCCACATATCCCCGATCTGCTCCCCACCCCAACATCATAGGCACAATTTAAAGATTTTATTGACTTTTTTAAAGAAACAGCTTTTGTTTCATTGATTTCTTTTCTGGTCTTTCTTATCTTTTTTCTTCTGCTTACTTTGGGTTCATTTGATTTTGTTTTATTTTGTTTTTGTCTAGTTTATTAAAATAGAAGCAGCTATGATAATTTATTTAAACCATTCTCCTTCTCCAGTATCAGCATCTAGAGCTATAAATGTACCTCTAAGGACTGCTTTTGCTGCATTCAACAAATTTTCATATGTTATCTTTTTATCTCATTCAGTTCAAAATAATTTTTAATATCCTTTTATATTTATTTGCCTGTAAGTTATTTAAAAGTTTGTCAGCTTCCAAAGATTTGTGGATTTTTCAGATATATTTGCTATTAATTTCTAATGTAATTCTGATGTGACTTACACAATTTGAATAATTCTAAATGTACTGAGGTTCCTTTTATGGCTCAGAGAATGAGCTATATTAGTAAATGTTCTGTGTGTATGTAGCCTAGGTTGGTTAATGTTCCATGAGCACTTGAAAAGACTATGTGTCTTGCATTATAATATTTAATAAATGTCAGTTGGGTCAAGTTGGCCAATAGTGTTGCTCATATCTTCTATTCAATACTAATTTTTTGCCTCATTGTTATATCAGCTAGCTAGATAGAACAATAAGTTGCCTTGTTAAAATATTTAATTATGATTATGGATTTGTCTGCATCTTCCTTTATTTCTGTCAATTTTTGCTTCATATATGTCCGAGCTCTATTATATGAAAGACATATAAGACTATTCTGTCTTCTCATTGACTCCTTTGTCATTAAGAAATATATCCCTTTATCCCTGGTAATAGTTCTTGTCTAGAAGTTTACTTTTTCTGATATTACTGCTATTCTAACTTTTTAATGCTTCTTCTTCACATGGTACAGTCATTCGTCCTTTAATGATGGGGATACATTCTGAGAAATGCACTCTTAGGCTATTTTGTCATTGTGTGAACATTATAGAGTGTACTTACACAAACCTAGATGGTATACCCTACTACACACTTATGCCACATGGCATGTCCTATTGCTCCCAGGCTACAACCTTGTACAGCATGTTACTGTACTGAATACTGTAGCCAATTGTAACACCATGGTAAGTATTTGTATACCTAAGCATAGAAAAGGTACATTAAAAATACAATAAAAAGGATTTTTAAAAGGTACACCTGCATAGGATACTTACCATGAATGGAGGTTGCAGTACTGGAAGCTGCTCTGGGTGAGTTACTGAGTGAGTGGTGAGTGAATGTGAAGGCCTAGGACATTATTGTGTATTACTGTAGACTTTATAAACTGTACACTTAGGCTACACTAAATTTATAAAAAACAATTTCTCCAGTGATAAATTAACCTTAGCTTACTACAACTTTACTTATAAACTTTTTAATTTTAAACTTTTTGACTTTTTTATTATACTTTTTTGTAATAACACTTAGCTTAAAACATGCATTGTACAGCTATACAAAAATGCTTTCTTTCTTTATATCCCTATTCCATAAGATTTTTTCTATTTTAAAAAATTTTTAACATTTTTACTTTTTAAACTTTTTTGCCAAAAATCAAGACACAAACACACACTTTAGTCTAGACCTACACAGGATCAAGATCATCATTATCACTGTCTTCCATCTCTACATCTTTTCCCACTGGAAGGCCTTCAGGGGTAATCACAGGCATGGAGCTGGCGTCTCCTATGATAACAATGTCTTCATCTGGAATTCCTCCCGAAGGACCTGCCTGAGGCTGTTTTACAGTTAATTTTCTTTTTATAAGTAGAAGAAGTGCATCTTAAAATAACAATAAAAAATTCAGTATACTGAATACATAAGCCAGTAACATAGTCATTTATTATCGTGATCAAGTATTATGTACTGTATATAATTGTATGTGCTCTATTTTTATGTGGCTGAAGTGCAGTAAGTTTGTTTACAACAGCATCACCACAAACACGGGAGTAATGAGTTGTGCTACGATGTTACAACAGCTCTGTTGTCACCAGGCAACAGGAATTTTTCAATTCCATTATAATCTCATGGGACAACCTTGGTATAATCAATCCATCATTGACTGAAACATCATTATGTAGAACATGACTGTATATCTTTTTCAGTACTTTTATTTTTAAATATATGTTGTTTTGTTTTTTAATATAAAGGGAATCTCTCGTAGAAAGCATGGCGCTCAATCTTCTTTCTCATCCAGTCTGACAACCCCTTTCACTTGAATTATTTAGTCTATTAACATTTTATGTAATGATTGATATTATCAAGTTTAAGTCTACTACAGTACACTTTGTTTCCTATTTGTATTTTGTTTTCTCTATCTCTTAATTTTTTTTGATTATTTGAAAAATGTTTAGTAGTCTATTTCAGTCCCTCTATTGACTTTTTAAGCTATACCTCTTTATATTATTGTTGTAGTGATTTTCTGTAGGGATTTCAGTATGCATCCTTAATATATCACAGACTATTTAGGATTAATATCGTGCCATTTCATATAAAATGTAAGAACCTCCTCTCATTCTCTGTATTGTTATCATGTATTTTACATTTACATATATAGAAAACCTCATAATACAATGTTATTATTTTTATTTTAAACAAATTCATTTTTAAAAAGACATCAAGACAAAAAATGTAATCTTTTATATTTATCCAAGTTTCTATCTGGTGTCAATTTGCCTTAGCCTGAATAACTTCTCTTACTATATCTTGAGCATGAGTCTGTTGGCAAAGAATCTGGTATTTTTCACTTATTTGAAAATGTCTTTATTTTACCCTCATTTTTGAGAGATATTTTTTCCAGATACAGCATTCTGAATTGGCAATATTTTTTCTCAGTCCTTTAAAGAAATCATTCTACTGTCATCTGTACATCATTGTCTCTGATAAAAAGTTAGCAATTGCTCTTATCATTGTTATCTCCTACGAAATGTGTTTTTTTCCCCCCTCTGGCTGCCTTTAATGTTATTCCTTTCCCTTTTTTTTTTTTTTTTAGCATTTTTTGCTTCATTTGTGTTTATTATTCTTGGTGTTTATGAAACATTGAGTTTTAGGTTGATTTTCCCCCAATTTGAGAAATTTGGGGCCATGATTTCTTCAAATACATTTTTTTCCCTGCTTAATTATCGCTTTCTCTTCACCTTTATATATACCAGTTATACAGTGGGTCCCCCCTTAACTGCAGTTTTGCTTGCTGCAGTTTCAGTTATCCCTGGTCAACCATGGTCTAAAAATATTAAATTGAAAATTCCAGAAATAAGGAATTCATAAGTTTTAAATTATGCGCCATTCTGAGTAGCATGATGAAATCTTACACTGTATTGCTTCATCCTGCCTGCACATGAATCATCCCTTTGTCCCATATACCTACACTTTATTTGCTACCTGCCCCTTAGCCATTTAGCTGTCTCAGTTATCAGGTTGACGCTTGTGATATTGCAGTACTTGTGTTCAAGTGACCCTTTTTTAACTTAGTAATGGCCCTAAGAGTAGTGATGCTGGCAATCTGGATATGTCAAAGAGAAACTTGAAAGTGCTTCCTTAAGTGAAAAGGTGACCTTGATGTTCCTTGGCTGGGATTTGGCACTATCAGCAGTTTCAGGCATCCATTGAGAGTTTTAGAACATATCACCAATGGATAAGGGTACTATACCTTTATTAGACTGCTTAATTTTGTTTCATATCTCCTTTTAAAACTCATTTTTTACAGTAATTTATATTCATTTCTTGACCTTTCTTCTATTGTCTCTACTAGGTTGTTAAGACCCTCCAATTTATTTCAGATACTGTAATTAACAGTTCTAGAATTTCCATTTGGTTCTTTTACATAGTTTCCATTTATCTACTGAAATTCCACATCTGTTCATTCATTATGACAATTTAATTCTTTAAGTCCTTGATTATAATAGTTGATTTAAAGTCCCTAATTGCTAATTACAACTTCCCAGTCATCTTGGGGTCTGTTTCTATGGACTTTTTTTTAGAATTATGGCTATAATTCTTTTTCACATCAATTACTTTTTTATTGCATGTCAAGCATTATAGGTGATATGTTGTACGGAGTCTGGACTATTATCTTCCTTTAAAAAGTGCTGGGTGTCATTTTGTCAGGGTTGTAAAATCATTGGTGCTTCCTTTCAGTCTCATCAGACTCAGTTTTATGTTTTGTTAGGATGTGTCTATTTCAGATTTGGCTTTAGTTTTAGGGCTTGCCTTTACTCTAGGGCTGTGGTCTTCAACAACAACAGCATCACCTGGGAACTTATTAAAAATACAAATTTTCAGGCCCTACTTCAGAGCTACTGAATCAGAAATTCCAGGGGTGAGACCCAGCAATCCGTATTTTAACAAGTGTTTCAGACGACCCTGGTACATGCTGACATTAAAAAACCACTGCTGTAGGGCATAGCCTTTGCTCATAAGAGGTGGCAGAGAAGTCTATCCACCCTGACTGGGAATTTTCTCTCAGCATTGTGCAAACCCCGGTATCCCATTGTTCAGCTCTCAGCTCCTCAGTAGCCACACACTTATACCTCAAGGAGTCTCACTTTCCTCTAGTGCAATCCTTCCTTCAGCCAAGGATCCAACAGAAAATCCCTGTGGAGACTTCTGAGCCTCTTCTCTATGGAGCTGCCTTCTCTCCAGTCCCCTGCCCTGAAAATTGTAGCTGCTTCAGCAACCCAGGTCTAATCTCTGCCTCCTCAGCTCAGTGAACCCTCTGCTCTGCCTGGGCTCCATCTCCCTGTACTACCACAGGAAAATGTTCCTTTTCTCAGGGATACGAGTCCTCTATTTGCTGTTGCCCAATACCTGAAAATAGTTGACTCATACTTTGTCCAGTTTCATAGTTGCTTACAATGGAAAGGCAAATTTGGCACCAGTTACTCCATCATGACCAAAAGCAGAAGTCCTATTCTAAGGTTTTTTAATATGTGTCATTTTCTTTTTAATGTGTCCTAAAATATATGTATTGTTTTGTATGTAGTATTTTTAATTTAGGTAAATGATATATGTTTCTTACTTTTTTTAACATCGTGCCCAGCTTGCCTGATCATCTATGTTGCTATTTAGAATATTCAACCCATTTCTTTCACCTGCTTCACAGTACTCCACAGAGTATATCTTCCACATTCTACTTATTTACTCTCCTAGGCATGGGAACCAAGATTGCCGCCAGCTCTCCACTCTGGCAAATACAATTACAACGTTCTTGTACAGAGTTGGACTGGAAATGCTAGATCACAGGGAGATGTAAATGAGTTCAATCTATGTAGCCACTAACTGTGCAAAAAGGTTCCTCTCCCCACATCTTTACCAACACTTGGCATTATGCTGCTCTCTAATCTTTGCTAGTTGAACAAGTAACGTGACTCTCATAGTTGCTTCATTTTGCTTTTCTCTGATTACTGATGGGTTTGAACATCTTTTTATAAGCTTTTGAGTTTCTCCTATAAATTACCTGTTCGTGTCTTTGACCATTTTTTATTGGGTTTCCCGCTATTTCTTGTTGATTATCAAGAGTTATTTACATACTCTGGATTTTAATTTTTTATTGCTTTAAGATATTGCAAATAACTTTTATCATTGTCTTATATGTATATTACTTTGTTTATGGTATCCTTCATTAAATAGAAATACTTTTGATGTAATAAAATTTAAATTAAAATTCATTAAATGTTGTCTTTTGGCTTATACTAGCTCAATGTAGTTTAAAGGCTCCTTTCTCACCCTTAAGTACAATTGTTTTTCTATTTTGTCCTATATTTTCTTCTATTACCATAATAGTATTTCAATTCTTATTTAGGTCTTTATTCTGGTATGTAACTATGGCAAGTCACTTAACTTCTCAGAGACTCATCGTCTCCATCATTGAATGGAGTAGCATCTCATCTAATGGGGTTGTCATGAGGATGAAATGTCTTAATGCATGTAAAGTGCTTAAAAGAGTGCCTGGCACATAGTACCATGTAAGTGATTGCTATTATAATTAAAATAAATGTATTTAAGTATAATGTTTAAGTAACAATGCAATATGTGAAAATATAGCAAAAATCAAAAAGGTAATTCTAATAATTAAAGCTTGAGAAACATGAACCAGAAGGAATACATTTTGATTTTCCCAGAGTGGAAGGACTCAGCATCAAGTCAATAAGAAATCCTGATGTCGGCTGATTTTACATTTCCTTCCCTTCACACTCATTTCTCCCCTTAATTAGCTACTTAAAATGATACACTAACCCCATTGATAAGTAACATCTTTTATCATGAAATTCTTTGAGAAATTTTTGAAAAAAGAAAACTGATTTTTAAGTCCACAGCTGTTGCTCTGTGCAGACCTAGTTCAGTACAATAAAATCTCAATGTTGTGTAAGAATCTGGGCTTGACAGGGTTATCCAGGTCTGAAGTTGCCCAATATTTATTTCTGGTCCTTTCATTTCCCATTCTCACTTTCTGTGGTAGGAGCTGAGGAAGAGTGAGAAGACTGAAACGTGGGTGGCATGAAAGGAACAAGGGTATTTACTAAGAAGAGCCTCAGGCTCGTGTTCTGACCCCACTCCTGGGTGCTGCAACTCCTGGAAGCAGGCAGGGTGCTATCCAGGATGCTCCTGACCCCCTGCTATGCCTCCATAATTGGAAGCCTTGCCCGTCTGCATTTCCTTACCTAGAGTTTCCATCCAGTTTTAGCCCTGCTCTACCCACCTGGAGCATCTCAGTGCCCCCACTCCCATGAGTGAGTGGGCTTGCTTGCCCTGTGCTAAGGCTTTGAGATGACTTAAGGCACAGGGACCCTGAAGCCAGGAGCTGTGATGTTCTGAAGCTGCCAGCAGACCTTTTGGACACAATTAAATTATAGAAACCTCTAAGTGTGTTCCCCCAAGAGAACAAGAGGAAACAGAGTTCTGGGAGCCAAGTATTGGAAGGAGAAAAGGAGAATTTTCCCGTAAATTTTATTTATCCATTGATTTGTTTATTCATCCATTCAAATGTCACTCATCCACCCACTCATTCACTCATCCCTTCATTTGGTACAAGCCCCTTGAATCAGACATCAGGGGTATGAAGGCCACTTGAAGAAGGACCTGCCACCCCACCATGCACTGAAGCTTCCCCTGTGCCATGGTGGGCAGGAGCCACCAGAGGAGTTGCTGGAATAAGGTCACTGCGTTCTCTAGACTGTCAGGGACTCGCTGTTTGGCCCTGGATACACACCAGTGAATTTCTTTGAGCTTATGCTCTCTCTATTCGAGAATATCTGTGGTGTCTAACTTCATCCAGCTTTCAAGAGTCTCCTCTTGACCAACAAAGGTTGGTTATAGCTTTTGTTTGAAAGCGTTGAACAAAAGCATTGTGTGTTGGCTTTTAATTTAGCAAATCTAAAATTCATTTGTAGAATAATCAGATGAGACAGTCTAAGTAAGTTTCAAAAAAGAACAGTATTGTATTGGGGGAGAATTTGCTTGTATGCTGACATACACTATACAGCCTGAACTATAAAGATCCTGTACCAAAAAATTTTAAAGTGTAATAAACTAAAGATTAAGACAAAGATGCCAAAGTATCAACTCTCCTAACATATAAGGCAATTTTACGAATCAATAAGAAAACTAATAATATATTCCAATTATTTATTTGCTTATTTATTTATTTATTTATTTGAGACAGAGTCTCACTCCGTTGCCCAAGTTGGTGTGCAGTGGTGTGATCTCGGCTCACTGCAGCCTCTGCCTCCCGGGTTCAAGAGATTCGCACATCTCAGCCTCCCGAGTAGCTGAGATTACAGGTGCACGCCACCATACCCGGCTAATTTTTGTACTTTTAGTAGAGATGGCGTTTCACCATGTTGACCAGGCTGGTCTTGAACTCCTAACCTCAGGTAATCCACCCGCTTCAGCCTCCCAACATGCTGGGATTACAGGCCAATAACTTATTTAAATAAACAAAGATACAAACAGTCATGGAATAAATGCAATACCCATTAAAATAAAAATACTAATCATACTAGTAATAAAACAAAATGTCAATTACAATGAAATATTTCTTCTGCCTGTTAAAAATGGTGAGGAGATTTTATTTTATTAATGGAAATACCCAGTGCAGTTAAGAATGTGGCAAAATAGCCACTGCCATGTATTTTTTATTGGAATATAAATTAGTGCATTATTTCTGAAAAGCAATTTAACAATAGTTATCAAGATTGTTTAAGAAGTTCATTTGGTAATACTGCTTCTAGAAATCCATTTTAAGGAATATTGACAGATAATAGCAAAATGAAATACAGCTGGAAAATTCAAGGACTGGAGGAAGATTAAATTCGATATTGGTAAATTTGGTATATGATTCAGATATAAATAATTTTTAAAAGAATTTTTATTGACATGGGAATACACTCATAACATTGTCAAATTAAAAAAAGGGAAATATAGAATTCTTCTGGTCCACATTTTATAATATATGTGGAGAGTACAAAGACAGGAAAAGAATACACCCAAATCAGCATGGCACTCTGTGTATCAGAAGCAATATGAGACAAGGCTATGGTTCTCAAACTGTAGGGGCCACAGTGAGTTCACAGGGGTGCCATGGAATATTTCCAGTTTTCAGAGGATATACATTGATAGCTGACCCTTCTTGGACACCTTGGGAACTACTCGATTGAGGAAGTTCACAGTTCGAACATCAGATTGCAGTATATTCCTTTCACAGTTGTCATATCTTTCCAAAGCTGGGTTTTCAATGATTGCTTTGAGGTAAAATGGTGTGGGACAGAAAATGAGGGCAACAGTGTCCAACTTGATTCCAAGGTTGGAGAAGTTGGGCCTTGTCCAACAGGCACATATCCCATCGGCACTGCTTATTTAAGAGGAAAATCAAATATTATTTTTTCTTTCAATGTATGTATATTTTCTTTTCAAACAGCTATTACAAACATACCTACGTCATTTGGATCTAACCACTTAATTAATGGAACTGTTTGGTATTTCTTTTGGCCCAGGTGCACTAAGAAGAGAGTACTGAGAAATTAAGGGCACCACACGCAGAGAAAGTTTGGGGACCCCTGAGCTGAGGGATTTATTTAGGAGTGAGATTATATGCAAAGTGAGAGCTGGCGGGCAAGTCTCTCCGGGCTGTCCCCTCTGCCTGCAGTGTTGAGTGGGAAGTCTCTTCAGGTCAGCCACTCCAGCAGTCAGGAAGGAACGCCAGCTGAGGATGTGAGCAAGGATCAGATGGCACCTGTAAGGACAAGCGAGATCCTACACGGAAACTACCCGCCTTGAGGACAAACAGGAGGTTCATCTGTCTCTCGCGGCATCCAGCCACTACCTCGCTAGGAATCTGCAGAGGAAGCTGCTGCATTCACCATGGAGGTTCACATGCGCCTGGCCCAGGACTTGTACTTCCAGAGGGGAGCATGGGAGCCGGAATCCAGTGGGTCCAGGTGCCGTCCTACGCCAAAGTGAGCCTGCAGATAGACTGCAGTGTGCACAAGCCACCACAGGGCCCCGGAACCTGCTGGCACATTCACAGCGTTACATTACAGCTGTTGCTCCATTCTCTCGTGAATCTCAAGTTAGTTATATAGATCCCCGGGCCTGTGCTAACCTGGAACCCTACTGACAGTGAGTTCTGGGAAATGTAGTTCCCGTTTAAACTGACATTGTATAAAGTCATCGCAAATGAGTGATGTTAATTTTCTTCTGTATGCTTTCAGTGCTATCTAACTGAAAAAAAAAATACATATATTTTTTTAGAGCAGGATCTCACTCTGTCATCCAGGCTGGAGTGCAGTGGTGACCACAGTTCACTGCGGTCTTGAACTCCTGGACCCAAGAGATCCACCCGCCTCAACCTCCTCAGTAGCTGGGACCACAGACCCATGTCACTACACCCAGCTAATACTTTATTTTTATCCTTTGTAGAGACAGGATCTTGCTTTGTTGCCCAGGCTGGTCTTGAACTCCTGGCCTCAAGGGATACTCCTGCCTTGGCCTCCCAAAGTGCTGGGATTACAGGCATGAGCCACCAGGCTGGCCTATCCAACTTTTAAAATGGCCACATCATAAGAAAAACTATTCTTTGTGAAAAGAAAGAAAGGAAGGAGAAAGGGCAAGAAGGAGAAGAAGTCTAATGGGGGGAAAGTTGGGGAAAGAGAGTGAGAAGGAGACAGAGAAAAGAAAAAGATGAGCAGTTGCTTCTTAGAAGAACACAGTGGGATGAACATTCCGGGGTAAGGGTGTGGAGTGAATGAAGGCCAGAAGCATGACTCTCTCTGGGACCTGCACAAAGGTTAGTATGACTCCCGTCATGTGCAGGGGAGCAGGAGTGAGAGGGGGAGCATGGGGCAGTGAGTGGGCTGACTGGGACATGGGGCCAGAGCAGGAGGCTGTGATGAGTCACTGAGCTTGAGTCTCCACTTCATGAGGTGACTCCCAATGCACACTCTGAGCACAGAGTTTAAAAAGCAGGTATTTGTAAGCCAGAAGTCCCTGTGTAAGCACTTTCACATCTCTCTGAGCCTCACTTTTCATAGTAATAGAAAGGGGTACTTTAAATAATGGTAATTATATTGAATAAAGGTCTTGCCAAATAGTGACAGTTGCTCAAAACCCTCTTATCCCCATACAACTTAGTGCCCTTTCTCCTCCAAATCCCCCATGGCTCACTGCTCTCCCAGATCCCAGGCCTCTGCTGCTTCCCATTTGTAACAATGTGGATAAAGCTATGTGGGCTCCACAGAGCTACAGATAGGCATCTAATAACTACTTATTAAAAATATCTATTGGCCAGGCATGGGGGCTCATGCCTATCATCTCAGCATTTTGAGAGCCCAAGAGTTTGAGACCAACTTGGGCAACATGGCAAAACCCTGTCTCTACAAAAAATACAAAAATGAGTCACTCATGGTGGTGCACACCTGTAGTCCCAGCTATTCAGGAGGCTGAGATGGGAGGATTGTTTGAGCCCTGGAGGTCGAGGCTGCAGTGCGCCATGATCACACCACTGCACTCCAGTGTGGGTGACAGAGTGAGACCCTCCCTCAAAAAAAAAAAAAAAGCATCTGATCCAAAGTGGCCCCCTAGTTTTATTTGCACTTCTTACAAGATTTCCTCGAAAGGAAGATCAGATATATTTATCTGAAACAGTGTCACACTCCAGTGATTTCTTTGCAGTACTCTTATGTACAAGACACTTTCAGGAAGCTGACACATTGTGGCCATTCACACTTGACTTCCACTGCCTGTCAAGACAACTATTTTCCTCCTCAGCATTTGCTTAATTCTATACTTGGTTCTTGAGAGGGAGAAAAAAAAGGGGGGGAAGTCACCTCTATAATTTAAATTTTGTATATGTGTTTTTGCAAAATTGCAGAAGTTCAAGCTGCTTTATACTCTATTTGTCAAAACTTGATTTTCTTTATCATTAAAAGGAAGCAAGGCTGGCGAGGGGGTTGTCTGAAAGTAAATGTGATAGACACTACTAAATGTGACCACAGAAAGGCTTCAAGGATGTTGCCCACAGCTGTGTTCCTAAGGAGAGAGAACTAGAAACTCCCTAGAGATACAGCATTCATTTATAGCGATGAATAAAATAGACTGTTTCTGCTTTTTGTTTCTTTTTTGCATCTTTTGTATATATTGAGGGTAAAAGAGAGAAAAACAAGAAGCAAACAAAAATAAAACAAAAACCCAGGAGATTGGTTAAATTGATTTAGTGATATGCTAGAGCCAGCTTGTAGCAATTCATAAGAATCAATGGTGTGACTTCTTCCCAACTCCATATGTTATGTCATGTAGTAGCTTTAAATTAAACACTGTTGGAATATTTACACAGGGAAATTGGCAAATACTACAAATCAGGGCTTTTTTAAAAGAGATGATTGTCAAATATTTACCAGGACCTCACTGTTTATAGTATGTTCATAAAATAAAATATTAAGCTATTATCATATTAACTTCTAGAAAAACATTTCATAATATAACTATGTGTATGCAAAAAAAATGACCTTGGACCCTCACCTCACACCATGCACAAAAATTAACTGAAAACAAATCATAGACTTAAATGTAAGAGTTGAAACAATTAAACTTTTAGAAGTAAACATAGAAGTAAATCTTTAGGACTTTGGGCCAGACAGATTTCTTTTAAAAATGTGATTTATAAATGAAAAAATTGATAAAATAGACCTCATCAAAATTGAAAACCTTGCACTTCAAAAGATACCATTAAGAAAATGGAAGGACAGGAAAAACACTGGGAGAAATATTTGCAAAACACATTTATGATAAAAAGCTGGTACCAGAATTTAGAGAGTGCTTGTATAACTCAATTGTAAAAAAACAATCAAAGATAGATGCATGCTCTCACTTATAAGTGGAAGCTAAATAATAAAAACACATGGACACAAAGAGGGGAACAACAGACACTGGGGCCTACTTGAAGGTGGAGGGTGGGAGGAGGGAAAAGTTCAGAAAAAAATACTTATCGGGTACTATGCTTAGTACCTGGGTGAGGAAACAATCTGTACACCAAACCCCTGTGATGACACGAGTTTACCTACATAACAAACCTGCACATGAACCCCAGAACCTAAAACAAAAGTTAAAAGAAAAAAAATAGCCATAAAGCCTCAATTACATGGAGGAATAATTTTTGATTTCTTTGAGGTATATTGCATAGCTTGGTGAATATAGTAAATAATAATATGTTGTACATTTCAAAATTGCTAAGAGAGTAAATTTCAAATTTTTTAACACAAAATGTAAGTACTTGAGGTGATGGATATGTTAATTAGCTTGATTTGATTATTCCACATTGTATTTATACATTATAACAAAACTTTGTGTACAACAATAGTTTGTCAATTTACAATTACAAAATAAAAATTAAAAATAATAAGCAAAAAATATTAACAGACATTTCACCAAAGAAGATACATGAAAGGCTAATAAAGTATGAAAAGATGCTCAACATCATTAGTCATTAGGGAAATGCAATTGCAAATTAAAGCCACAATGAGATGCCATTTCACACATACCAAAAGGGCTGTAATAAATGAGACACACAACAGCAAGTGTTAGGAAGGGTGTGGAGAAATTAAACCCTCATGCATTGCTGGTAGGGATAAAAAATGGTATAGCTGCTTTGGAAAACAATTTAGCATTTTCTCAAAATGTTAAATATAGAGGGTTCATCTGACCTAGCAATTCCATTTCTAGGGATATATCCAAGAGAAATGAAAACATATGTCCGTAAAAAAAATTGCACATGCTTACAACAACATTATTCATTGACATGGTTTGGTTCTGTGTCCCCACCCAAATCTCATCGCAAATTGTAATCCTCAAATGTGGGGAGGGAGGGACCTGGTGGGAGGTGATTGGATCATGGGGGTGGTTTCCCCCTGCAGTTCTCATGATAGTGAGTGAGTTCTCACAAGATTTGATGGGTTTAAAAGTGTTTGGCAGTTCCCCCCTTGTACTCTCTCTGCCTGCCACCAGGTAAGACTTGCCTTGGTTCCCCTCTTCCACCAGGATTGCAAGTTTCCTGAGGCCTCCCTAGACATGTGGAACTGTTAGTTAGTTAAATGTCTTCTGTTTATAAATTACCCAGTCTCAGGTAGTATCTTTATAGCAGCATGAGAACCAACTAACACATTCATAAAAGCCAAAAAGCAGAAACATAAATATCTATCAGATGGCAAATAAATAGACAAAATGTATACCCATACAATGGAATGCTATTGGGCAATAAAAAGGAGTGAATCACTAACACATGCTGTGTGATGAGTGAACCTCAAAGCAACTGCTGAGCAAAATAAGTCAGACACAAGAAACCACATGTTGTGTGATTCCATTTACATGAAACATCCAAAAAGAATACATTTATAGAGGCAGAAAGCAGATCAATAGTTGGCTGGAGCTGGGAACAGAGAATAACTGTAAATCGGTATTTATAGGTTTCTCTCTTTTCCTTTCTTTTTTTTTTTTTTTTTTTTTTGACACAGTCTCACTCTGTCTCCTAGGCTGGAGTGCAGTGGCACAATCTCAGCTCACTGCAACCTCTGCCTCCCAGGTTCAAGTGATCCTCCTGCCTCAGTCTCCCAAGTAGCTGGAATTACAGGTGCCTGCCACCATGCTAGATTAATTTTTGTATTTTTAGTAGAGATGGTGTTTCATCATGTTGGCCAGGCTGGTCTCAAACCCCTGACTTCAAATAATCCGCCTACCTTGGCCTCCCAAAGTGCTGGGATTACAGGCGTGAGCCACTGTGCCCAAACTACATGTTTCCTACCTTTAAGACTAAAGAGTTGTACCAAATCACATAAAAGTCCATAAATTCTGTAGATGATCTCCAGTGCTCCTGGAAGTATTCAAATGCTATGAATTATGACTTCTGCTTGTGACCAAGATGGAGCAGCTTTGTTTCCTCCCAGGTCCCTTTTCTTACAACTTTAAAAACCCCTGGACATTACAAAGCATAGGAAGACTGAACAGTGGGGAGAAAGGTGACTTCCAAAGAACTTTGGGACTTGAGAAATGATGTGGCACTGAGTTCTCTGGGTTTGCTTATTGCCTCACATATATTCTGGACATAGATAGGGCTACAGGAGCCTCCAACCTGGAACTGCCAATAGGCACAGATTTTTTAAAAACTACAAGGAAAGCCTCTTCCCCCTAACCAAAAGCCTGGGAAAGGGGTGGCCAAACTAGAGAAAACCTTTGTGGCACTATGTGTGGTACTCCAGCCAAATACCCACAGCAAAATCTCACAACCTTCCCTCCTCCACAGCACGCACACACACGTAATTTCAGCGGGGCCAAGCAGGAAGCTGCTTTCCATCCTGCCCAGCCTGCACATGTGGAAGTGGGCAGCAGTGCTTCTCTGATTACTCTGCTCGATGGTGCCAGTGTCAGCAGGGCCCACAGGGATGCTAACCTTCCATCCCCCATATGGCAGAAGTAGGCTGTGCTCCAATTCTTCCACTGGGTGGTGTTTAGAGGGGCGGAGCAGAGAGCTGATCTACCATATTCTGCTCTGTGAAAGCAGGCAGTACCCAGAGATCCCCTGCCAGGACCAAGGTAGCCATGTTAGCAGGGTTCAGCAGTACCCTGAGCCTCCACCTTCACCCAGCATTAATGAGACTGAACAAAGCAATGCAAATTAGGTCTAGTAAGTGCAAGTGCTCCACTTTCCCCCCATGCCTGGTCTCAGTAGGGCCCAGTGGGGAACTAAACCTCCCCAACTACCCAGCAGCAAAAAGGCTGAACAAGATGGCATGAAGGAGAGCTGGTAGGCTGTCTTGTCTCCCCACCTCTTGGTGTCAGTGGGGACCCAAGGAACTGATCCTCCACCCTGCCCAGCATCAACGAGACTGAATAAAACAGTGTGAGGTAGGGCTAGCCACTTAACTTTTCATCTCCCCTACCAGTGTCAGGGAGTCCCTCCCCTACCCAGCAGGGAGCACAGCTTACACCTCCACTCAAGGGAGGCAGTGTCTGTTGGTGTCCCACTTTCACCCAGAGGTATCGCCAAGACCCAAGGTATCAGGGAGACCCAGTGGGGAGCTGAACTTCCACCACACCCATCTTTAAAAAGGCAATGTGAGTCAATCCTCTATTTTTGCCAGTGATGTTAGTGGGGCCTAGCTGGAAAATAAACATACACACTAATCTGCTCCTCACACTACACTTCAACAGAGGGACTATTCGAAGGAGAAAGGAAGAAGAAGAAGAAGAAGAAGAAGAAGAAGAAGAAGAAGAAGAAGAAGAAGAAGAAGAAGAAGAAGAAGAAGAAGAAGAAGAAGAAGAAGAAGAAGAAGAAGAAGAAGAAGAAGAAGAAGAGGAAGAAGAGGAAGAGGAGGAGGAGGAGGAGGAGGAGGAGGAGGAGGAGGAGGAGGAGGAGGAGGAGGAGAAAAGAAAGAAAGAAAGAAGAAGAAGAAGAGGAGAAGAAGAAGAAAAGAAAGAAAGAAAGAAAGAAAGAAAGAAGAAGAAGAAGAAGAAGAAGAAGAAGAAGAAGAAAAAGATAATTAAATAGGACTTAAAATCTACTAAAATATATTTAAATGTTTAGATACACAGTAAAAATCTCATTTGCCATAGCAAGAACCAGGAAAATCACAGCTTTAAGAAGAAAACACGCACTTTGGGAGGCCGAGGCGGGCGGATCACGAGGTCAGGAGATCGAGACCATCCCGGCTAAAACGGTGAAACCCCGTCTCTACTAAAAATACAAAAAATTAGCCGGGCGTGGTGGCGGGCGCCTGTAGTCCCAGCTACTTGGGAGGCTGAGGCAGGAGAATGGCGTGAACCCGGGAGGCGGAGCTTGCAGTGAGCCGAGATCCCGCCACTGCACTCCAGCCTGGGCGACAGAGCGAGACTCCGTCTCAAAAAAAAAAAAAAAAAAAAAGAAGAAAACACAATCAACATATGCCAACACTGAGATGAATCAGATGTTAGAATTATCTGACAAAGATTTTATAGTAGCCATCATAAAAATGTTTCAACAAGAAATTAATGATCCCTTGACATTTTTTTAAATAAATGATTTCATCAGAGACACAGACCTTATCAAAATAATCAAATGAAAATTATATAACTGAAAACTAAAATAACTGAAATAAAAAATTTGCTGGATGGGCTTAATAGTAGAATGGAGGTGATAGAGGATAAAAATCAGTAAACTTGAGGAGAGATGAAAACACAATCTAAACAGAGAGAAAATAGACTGAAAAAAAATGAACAGTGTCTCAGGAATCTGTAGAATAATAACAAAAGGGATAGCATTCATATCATCAAAGTCCCAAAAGAAGAGGAAAAAAAGAATGGATATGAAAAAAGTGTTCAAAGAAATAATGGCTGAAAACTTCTCAAATCTGACATAGGATAAACCTAAAGAAATCCATGCAAAGACACATAATACTTACATTCCTGAAAACTAAAAACAAACAAACAAATCTTGAATGCTTCCAGAGAGAAATGACACATTACTTATAGATAGATGAATATCAACATGAATGACTGCATATTTGACATACGAATCCATGGAGACCAGAAGGAAATGGCACAATATTTTTCAAGGGCTGAAAGAAAATAAATGTTAACTGTGAATTCTAAATCTTATGAAAATATCCTTTATGAATAAAGAGAAAATAAAGACGTTCCTCAACAAAGGAAAGTTAAAAGAATTTATTGCAAGCAAGCCTACCTGTAAAAATAGCTAAAGAAGTTATCTGAACAGAAAGGAAATTATAATAGAAGACTTGGAACTTCAGAAAAAAAAATAAGAATGGAATTACTAAAAATAAGGGTAGGCCGGGTGCAGTGGCTCATGCCTGTAATCCCAGCACTTTGGGAGGCGGAGGCGGGCTGATCACTTGAGGTCAGGAGTTTGAGACGTGCCTGGCCAACATGGTGAAACCCTATCTCTACTAAAAGCACAAAAATGAGTTGGGTGTGGTGGCGGGTGCCTATAATCCCAGATACTTGGGAGGCTGAGGCAGGAGAATGGCTTGAACCCAGGAGGTGGAGGTTTCAGTGAGCTGAGATCACCTCACTGCATTCCAGCCTGGGTGACAGAGCGAGACTTTGTCGCAAAAAAAAAAAAAATATATATATATATATGTGTGTGTGTGTGTGTATATATATATGTGTATATATATATGTGTATATATATGTGTATATATATATACACATATATGTGTGTGTGTATATATACATATATGTGTGTATATATACACATACATATACATATATATGTGTGTGTATATATATACACACATATATATATACACACACACATGGGTAAATATTGTAGACCATTCTTCTTTTCATGAGCTTCTAAAATTACACTTAACACTTGAAGCAAAAAGTTTAGCACCATCTGATGTGGTATTTAATGTACAAAGAGAAAATACTTAGGACTATTATTATTGAAAAGTGAGGAGGGGCTGAGTGCGGTGGCTCACGCCTGTAATCCCAGCACTTTGGGAGGCCGAGGAGGGCGGATCACGAGGTCAGGAGATCGAGACTATCCTGGCTAACACGGTGAAACCCTGTCTCTACTAAAATTTTAAAAAAATACAAAAAATTAGCTGGATGTGGTGGCAGGCGCCTGTAGTCCCAGCTACTCGGGAGGCTGAGGCAGGAGAATGGCGTGAACCCAGGAGGCAGAGCTTGCAGTGAGCCGAGCTCGTGCCACTGCACTCCAGCTTGGGCGACAGAGCGCGACTCCGTCTCAAAAAAAAAAAAAAAAAAAAAGAAAAAGAAAAAGAGAAAGAAAAGTGAGGAGGATAAAAGGACCTAAATGGAAATAAAATTTCTACACTTCATTTGGACTGGTAAAATATCAATACCAGTAGACTGTGATAAGTTATATGTATCCATGCTAAGAACATACTTATACATAGAACGATGACTAAGATAAACATACCAAGCGACATACTAAAAACACTATAAATAAATCAAGATGAAATTATTAAAAATGTCCAAGTAACCCACAGGAAGACAAGAAAAGAGAAACCAGGGTACAAGAAATGGAGGGAACAAACAGAAAATAGGTAATAAAATGGCAGACTTAGAATGCCCTAACATATCAATAATTACCTTAAATGTAAATTGTTGAAATATTCCAATTAAAAAGCAAAAATTGGCAAAGTGAATAAAATAACCATTATTTAAGAACATGCTGCTACAAGAAACTCACTTTAGATATAGCAGCATAGGTAAGTTAAAAGTAAAAGGCTGGGACACGATATACTATGCAAGCCTTAATAATAATTGAAAAAAAGGAGGAGTGACTATGTGAATATAATATAAAGCAGGCTTTGGAGCAAAGAAAATTACTAGAGACAAAGAGAGACATGACATAATAATAAAAGAATTAATCCATGAGGAATACATATGATCCTAAAGGTGTATGCACCAAACAATAGAGCATAAAAATACATGATGCAAAAAGTGATAAACATGAAAGGAAAAATAGACAAATTCACAAGTGTATACGGAACTTCCACACCCTACTCTCGGTAACTTATAGAACTATTAGACAGAGAAACAGCAAGGATATAGAAGAACTGAACAGCACAATCAATCATCAGGAGCAATTGACATTTATAGAACATTCCACCTGACAACAGCAGAATTCACATTTTTTAAGTGCCCATGGAATATTTACCAAAATTGACAATATCCTGGGCCAAAAATAACACCCCAACATATTTTTAAAAATTGAAATTATATAAGATTACGAGATCTGTTCTTTGACCACGACAACAGGAAAACACTTGGAAATTAAACAGCACACTTCTAGAGACAAAGAGGGACATGACATAATAATAAAAGAATCAATCCGTGATTGATCAAAACAATGCATGGATCAAAGATGAAGTTTTGGAAGAAATAAAGCAAAATATACAAGTGAATGAAAACAAAAATGTAGTAGTCTATCAAGATATGAGTGAGGCCGCTAAAATAGTGCTGACAGGAAAATTTACAGCACTAAACACGTTAAAAAATTTAAAAGGTCTCAAATAAATAGTCTAAATTTCTACTTCAAGAAACTAAAAAAGAAGAGCTAAATAAACCCAAAGCATGCACAAAGAAGGAAATAATAAGATACTTGGTGTTAGCAACTATCTTTTCTGTCCACAATGGTATAAGACTAGAAAACAATAATAGGAAGAATTTTGGAAAACTCACAAATACATGAAAATGAACCAACACACTCTGGAACAACCCATAGATCAAAGAAAAAAAATCAAAAAGAAAATCAAAAAGTTTCTTGAGACAAATTAAAATGGAAACACCACATACCAAAACTTAAGGGATGCAGCAAAAACAGTGCTAAGAGGGGAGTTTATTGCAATGTATGCCTACATTAAGAAAAAAGAAAGATCTCAAATAAAAAACTTAACTTCACACCTCAAAGGACTAGAAAAAGAAAAACAAACTGTCTGCGCATGGTGGCTCACACCTGTAGTCCCAGCCACTCAGGAGGCTGAGGTGGGAGGATTACTTGAGGCCAGGAATTCAAGACTAACCTGGGCAACATAGTAAGACCCCATCTCTACAAAAAGTAATTTAAAAATTATTCAGGCACAGTGACTCACACCTGTAGTCCCAGTTACTTGGGAGGCTGAGGTGGGAGGAATGCTTGAGCCCAAGAGTTCGAGACTGCAGTGAGATATGATTGGGTCACTGCACTCCAGCCTGAGTGACAGGACAAGACCTATCTCTATAAATAATAAAAATTTAAAAAAGAAGAAACTAAGCCCAAAATCAGAAAAAGGAGGGAAATAATAAAGATTGAGCAGAAATAAATGACATAGAGACTAGAAAGATAATAGAAAAAGATCAGTGAAACTGAGTTTCATTGACAAAATTGACAATGAGCTAGACAAACTAAGAATGAAAGGACTAAACAAACAGGGTCTGGAGTGCACCTCTAGCAAACTCCAACAGACCTGCAGCTGAGGGTCCTGTCTGTTAGAAGGAAAGCTAACAAACAGAAAGGACATCCACACCAAAAACCCATCAGTACTTCACCATCATCAAAGACCAAAGGTAGATAAAACCACAAAGATGGGAAAAAAACAGAGCAGAAAAACTGGAAACTCTAAAAATCAGAGCGCCTCTCCTCCTCCAAAGGAACGCAGCTCCTCACCAGCAACGGAACAAAGCTGGATGGAGAATGACTTTGACAAGTTGAGAGAAGAAGGCTTCAGACGATCAAACTACTCCAAGCTACAGGAGGAAATTCGAAACAATGGCAAAGAAGTTAAAACATTTGAAAAAAAATTAGACGAATGGATAACTAGAATAAACAATGCAGAGAAGTCCTTAAAGGACCTGATGGAGCTGAAAACCAAGGCACGAGAGCTACGTGATGAATGCAGAAGCCTCAGTAGCCAATGCGATCAACTGGAAGAAAGGGTATCAGCGATGGAAGACAAAATGAATGAAATGAAGCGTGAAGAGAAGTTTAGAGAAAAAAGAATAAAAAGAAACGAACAAAACCTCCAAGAAATATGGGATTATGTGAAAAGACCAAATCTACATCTGATTGGTGTACCTGAAAGTGACAGGGAGAATGGAACCAAGTTGGAAAACACTCTGCAGGATATTATCCAGGAGACCTTCCCCCATCTAGCAAGGCAGGCCAACATTCAAATTCAGGAAATACAGAGAACACCACAAAGATACTCCTCGAGAGGAGCAACTCCAAGACACATAATTGTCAGATTCACCAAAGTTGAAATGAAGGAAAAAATGTTAAGGGCAGCCAGAGAGAAAGGTCTGGTTACCCACAAGGGGAAGCCCATCAGACTAACAGAGGATCTCTTGGCAGAAACTCTACAAGCCAGAAGAGAGTGGGGACCAATAATCAACATTCTTAAAGGAAAGAATTTTCAACCCAGAATCTCATATCCAGCCAAACTAAGCTTCATAAGTGAAGGAGAAATAAAATACTTTACAGACAAGCAAATGCTGAGAGATTTTGTCACCACCAGGCCTGCCCTAAAAGAGCTCCTGAAGGAAGCACTAAACATGGAAAGGAACAACCAGTACCAGCCACTGCAAACACATGCCAAATTCTAACGACCATCAATGCTAGAAAGAAACTGCATCAACTAATGAGCAAAATAACCAGCTAACATCATAATGACAGGATCAAATTCACACATAACAATATTAACTTTAAATGTAAATTGGCTAAATGCTCCAATTAAAAGACACAGACTGGCAAATTGGATAAAGAGTCAAGACCCATCAGTGTGCTGTATTCAGGAAACCCATCTCACGTGCAGAGACACACATAGGCTCAAAATAAAGGGATGGAGGAAGATCTACCAAGCAAATGGAAAACAAAAAAAGGCAGGGGTTGCAATCCTAGTCTCTGATAAAACAGACTTTAAACCAACAAAGATCAAAAGAGACAAAGAAGGCCATTACATAATGGTAAAGGGATCCATTCAACAAGAAGAGCTAACTATCCTAAATATATTTCACCCAATACAGGAGCACCCAGATTCATAAAACAAGTTCTTAGTGACCTAAAAAGAGACTTAGACTCCCACACAATAATAATGGGAGACTTTAACACCCCACTGCAACATTAGACAGATCAACGAGACAGAAAGTTAACAAGGATACCCAGGAATTGAACTCAGCTCTGCACCAAGCGGACCTAATAGACATCTACAGAACTCTCCACCCCAAATCAACAGAATATACATTCTTTACAGCCATACACCACACCTACTCCAAAATTGACCACATAGTTGTAAGTAAAGCACTCCTCAGCAAATGTAAAAGAATAGAAATTATAACAAACTGTCTCTCAGACCACAGTGCAATCAAACTAGAACTCGGGATTAAGAAACTCACTCAAAACCGCTCAACTACATGGAAACTGAACAACCTGCTCCTGAATGACTACTGGGTAAATAATGAAATGAAGGCAGAAATAAAGATGTTCTTTGAAACCAACGAGAACAAAGACACATCATACCAGAATCTCTGGGACACATTCAAAGGAGTGTGTAGAGGGAAATTTATAGCACTAAATGCCCACAAGAGAAAGTAGGAAAGATCTAAAATTGACACCCTAACATCACAATTAAAAGAACTAGAAAAGCAAGAGCAAACACATTCAAAAGCTAGCAGAAGGCAAGAAATAACTAAAATCAGAGCAGACCTGAAGGAAATAGAGACACAAAAAACCCTTCAAAAAGTTAATGAATCCAGGAGCTGGTTTTTTGAAAAGATCAACAAAATTGATAGACCACTAGCAAGACTCATAAAGAAGAAAAGAGAGAAGAATCAAATAGATGCTACCTGACTTCAAACTATACTACAAGGCTACAGTAACCAAAACAGCATGGTACTGGTACCAAAACAGAGATATAGACCAATGGAACAGAACAGAGCCCTCAGAAATAATGCCACATATCTACAACTATCTGATCTTTGACAAACCTGAGAAAAACAAGCAATGGGGAAAGGATTCCCTATTTAATAAATGGTGCTGGGAAAACTCGCTAGCCATATGTAGAAAGCTGAAACTGGATCCCTTCCTTACACCTTATACAAAAATTAATTCAAGATGGATTAAAGACTTAAACATTAGACCTAAAACCATAAAAACCCTAGAAGAAAACCTAGGCAATACCATTCAGGACATAGGCATGGGCAAGGACTTCATGACTAAAACACAAAAGCAATGGCCACAAAAGCCAAAATTGACAAATGGGATCTAGTTAAACTAATGAGCTTCTGCACAGCAAAAGAAACTACCATCAGAGTGAACAGGCAACCTACAAAATGGGAGAAAATTTTTGCAACCTAGTCATCTGACAAAGGGCTAATATCCAGAATCTACAATGAACTCAAACAAATTTACAAGAAAAAAACAAACAACCCCATCAAAAAGTGGGCAAAGGACATGAACAGACACTTCTCAAAAGAAGACATTTATGCAGCCAAAAAACACATGAAAAAATGCTCATCATCACTGGCCATCAGAGAAATGCAAATCAAAACCACAATGAGATACCATCTCACACCAGTTAGAATGGCAATCATTAAAAAGTCAGGAAAGAACAGGTGCTGGAGAGGATGTGGAGAAATAGGAACACTTTTACACTGTTGGTGGGACTGTAAACTAGTTCAACCATTGTGGAAGTCAGTATGGCGATTCCTCAGGGATCTAGAACTAGAAATACCATTTGACCCAGCCATCCCATTACTGGGTACATACCCAAAGGATTATAAATCATGCTGCTATAAAGACACGTGCACACGTATGTTTATAGTGGCACTATTCACAATAGCAAAGACTTGGAACCAACCCAAATGTCCAACAATGATAGACTGGATTAAGGAACTGTGGCATATATACACCATGGAATACTATGCAGCCATAAAAATGATGAGTTCATGTCCTTTGTAGGGACATGGATGAAACTGGAAACCATCATTCTCAGCAAATTATCACAAGGACATAAAACCAAACACCGCATGTTCTCACTCATAGGTGGGAATTGAACAATGAGAACACATGGACACAGGAAGGGGAACATCACACTCTGGGGACTGTTGTGGGGTGGGGGGAGAGGGGAGGGATAGCATTAGGAGATATACCTAATGCTAAATGGCAAGTTAATGGGTGCAGCACACCAACACGGCACATGTATACATATGTAACAAACCTGCACGTTGTGCACGTGTACCCTAAAACTTAAAGTATAATAATAATAAAATTTTTAAAAAAAAGAAATTTCAAAACCTAAAAAAAAAAGGACTAAAATAAGTGAAAGTGTAAGTGAAAGGGGAGACATTACAACTGATACCACAGAAATACAAATAACTATAATAGACTACTATAAACAACTATGCCTCAAACTGTGTAACTCAGAAAAGATGAATAAATTCCTAGAAATACAACCTACAAAGCATGAATTATGAAGAAATAGACAATCTGAACAAACCAATAACAAATAAGAAGATTGGATCAGTATTCACAAACCTCCTAACCTCCCAACCTCAAAAAGCCCAAGACTAGATGTCTTCACAGGTTAATTCTACCAAACAGTTAAATAAGAATTAATACCAGTCCTTCTCAAACTTGTCCAAAAAAATTGAAGAGATGGGAATATTTTCAAACTCATTTCATTACAGCATTACCCTGATACCAAAGCCAGATAAGTACACTATAAGAAAAGAAAATCACAGGCCAGTATCCCTGAACATAGATGCAATAATCTTCAACAAAATGCGAGCAAACCAAATTCAACAGCACACTGAGTGGATCATATACCATGACCAAACTGGATTTATCCCTGGGATGTAAGGATGTTACAACATATACAAATCAATAAATATGATACACCACATTGACAGAATGAAATTGAATCCTTGACTTACACCATATACAAAAATTAACTTGAAATGAATTAAAGACTTAAATGTAAGATCTGAAACCATAAAACTCCTAGAAGAAAACATAGGGAAGATTCCTTGAAATTGATCTTGGCAATGATTTTTTTGTATATGACACAAAAAGCACAGGCAACAAAAGCAAAAAGAAACACTGCAGCCTGGGCAACAGAGTAAATGAGACTCTATCTCAAAAATACATAAACAAGGGGGACTACATCAAATGAAAAATCTTCTGCAGAGCAAAGAGCACAATCAACACAAATGAAAAGACAACCCATGGAATGGGAAGAAAATGTGCAAACCATATACCGGATAAGAAATTGATATCCAAAATGTATGAAGAACTCACACAACTCAATAGCAAAACACATATAACCTGATTGAAAAATGGGCAAAGGACAAGAATAGACATTTTTTATTGCAAATGGTCAATGAGTATATAAAGTCACTCAATATTACCAGTCCTCAGAGAAATGCAAATTAAAACCACAATGAGATATCACCTCACACTTGTTAGGATGGCTATTCTCAAAAAGACATGAGATTATAAGTGTTGGTGAGGGTATGTAGAAAAGGGAACCTTTGTACACTGTTTGTGGGAATGTAAATTGGTATAGCCATTATGGAAAACAGTACAGAGGATCCTCAAAAAAATAAAATAGAACTACTACATGATCCAGCAATTTCACTTCTGGGTATATATCCAAAGGAAAAGAAATCAGTATCTTAAAGAGGTATTGGCATCCCCATTTCATTGCAGGATTATTCATGATAGCCAAGACACAGAAACAAACTAATTGTCCATCAATAGATGAATGAATAAAGACAATGTGGTATATAAACACAATGGAACATTATTCAGTCTTAAAAAATAAGGAAATTCTGCCATTTATAGCAACATGAGTGAACTGGAAGACATTAGGATTAGTGAAATAAGCCAGACACAGAAAGACAAATACTGTATGATCTCACTTATATGTGGAATTTTAAAAAGTTGAACTCATAGAAGCAGAGAGTAGAACAATGATTACGAAGGGCTAAGGGAGTGGAGATAAAGGAAATATTGGCCAAAAGGTACAAACTTTCAGTTACGAAATGAACAAGTTCCAGCTATCTGAGGTATAGCATGGGTGATGATGAATGTGTAATTTATGTAATTGTGGTAATCATTACAAGATGCATATGTATATCAAATTATCACATTGTACACCTTGAATATATACAATCTTTAATTATCACATTGTACACCTTGAATATATACAATCTTTATTTGTCAATTAAATATTTTAAAATAAGGAAATATAAAGATAAGAACAGAATCAATGAAATTGAAAATTAAAACAATAGAAAAAAATCAATGAGAAAAATAAGCTACTTCTTCAAAAAAATCAGTAAAAGTGATAAATCTCTAGTGCTGTAATCCCAGCACTTTGAGAGGCCGAGGCAGGAGGATTGTGTGAACTCAGGAATTTGGGACCAGCCTGGGCAACATAGTGAGATCTCTTCTCTACTAAAATTCAAAAAAATTTAGCCAGGTGTGGTGGTGCACACCTATAGTCTCAGCTACTCAGGGGGCTAAGGCAGGAGGATCATTTGAGTCCTGATTGTGCCACTTCATTCTATCTAGCCTGGGCACTAGAGCAGGAACCTTTCTCAAAAAAGAGAAAAAGACATAAATAACCAGTATCAGAAATGAAACAGGAATACTAAAAGGATACTACATATAACTCTAGTGTCATAAATTCAATGACATATAAAAAATGGACTGAATACTTAAAAACCACAAACTGCCAAAACTCAACCAATATGAGATAGATAATGTGACTAGTATAATAACCATTAAAGATATTAAATTTGTAAATAAAAAGCTCCTCATAAAGAAATCAAGGACCAGAAGGCTTCATTGGAGAATTCTACCAAATATTTAAAAAAGAATTAGTACCAATTTTGCTTAATATCTTCCTGAAGGTAAAAGAGGGAACACTTCCTAACTCACTTTTTGAGGCAGGTATTATCCTGTTATCAAACTCAAAGAGGCAGACAGTATAAACAAATAACACAAAAGGCCATGAACTTAGACACAAAAATCCTCAACAAAACATTAGTAATAAAACAGTGTATAAAATAATTGTACACCATGAAAAAACGGGATTTATTCCAAGTACAAAAGGTTGTTTCAACATTTAACAATCAACCAATGTAACTCACCATATCAACAGGCTAAAGAAGAAAACAGTATATTCATACCATTAGGTACAGAAAAATCATTTGACAAAATCCAACATCTGTTAATGATGAAAAACTCTCAGCAAGGTAGGAACAGACAGGTGCTTCCTCAACGTGATAAAAAGCGTCCTCAAAGCCTAGAGATAACATACCTGATGGTGAAAGAATGAATACTTTCCCCCTAAAACAAGTAACATGGGAAGGATGTACATTCTCACCATTCTTATTCAACATACAACTGAGATAAAGGCATATAGATTGGAAAGGAAGAAGTAAAACTGTCTCTATTTGCAGATGATATCATTGTCTACATAGAACATCCCAAGGGAATCTAACAAAAAAATCTTCTAGTACTAATAAATGAGTTCACCAAGTTTGCAGGAACAAGATCAATGCACAAAAATCAATTGTGGTTTATTTCATCTCTGTGCTTACTACAAACATTCTTAGCATCACTCGCACCACACGGCCTGAGCCAAGCTGAGCCTCTGCTGCAGCTACTGTGGCCCTGCTGCTTGATGCAGACACCCACCAAGCACTTTGCAGACTCATATCCACCCTGCAGGCCATTCCACATGGCAGGGCCAGGCCTGGGGAGACTGTGTCCAGGGACAGGCCATGCAATGACATCCCCCACCCCTTCCACCTTTACCCAGAGGGCAGGCAGTAGCCCAGCATGCCCAGCTGGTGCCAGGGCAGGCACAATGCTAAGTAGGGGTGGGGTGGCCTAACCCAGGGACTAGGGCCAGGGAGAGAGCTGGGCACCAAGAAGAGGGTGGGGCAAGTAGTGCCAAAGACTTGCTGGGCACTGTGGTGCATCTCCGGGCCAAGGACTGTTGCTGCTGCTGCCCCTTCATTACACATTCAAGTGAAAATTTTTCAGAAGTCAGCAGAAATATTGTGTTAAGAAAAAAAAAAAGACTGAGTTGCAGTTATCACCAAACCCAGGAGAATACACTCCCTGGAAAACTTCCCTTCAAAATAAAAAAGTAGAGCCCAAGACTCTAGCTTGACTGCTTCCAGCTCAGTGGTCCTACATCTGCCTGAATTTACCAAGGTGTGCAGCCTCCTGTTGTTCTGAAAACATCTGGATAGCAGGACTGGCAACTCCCCCACCTGCATAGCCAGATAGGCCACACCTGCTAGAGTTTCCAACCTAGCAGTCCTACTTCCACCTGAACTCTCCAGGAAGATTCAAACTTGTGTTTCCCCAAGAAGCACATGACAGCCGATTAGGGCCAACAATGTCTTGTTGGTCAACTTCATCCTCAACCTGAGGAAACCCTGTGGACCAGAATACCCAACAAAGAAATGCAGACACAGAGGTAGGAATTGGAGGGGACTCCTCCAAGACCCAGAAGCAGACTAGAATTGAAGCCAGTCAACAAAACACACTTTATACCATAATCAAACCCCCCAGGGCATCAAAGAAGAAAAAAGCAAACCAGTTCATCCAAAGTACAGCAATTTCAAAGACTGAAGGAACATCAGCCCACATAAATTAGAAAGAACCAGTGCAACAACTCTGGCAACTCAAAAAGCCAGAGTGCCTTCTTTCTTCCAAACGACTGCAATAGTTCTCTGGAAAGGGTTCTTAAGCAGGCTGAGATGGCAGAAATGACAGAAATCAAATTCAGAATATGGGTAGGAACCAAGATCATCGAGATTCAGGAGAATATTGAAACCCAATCCAAGGAAATGAAGAGTCACGATAAAATGATACAAAAGCTGACAGACAAAATAGCCAGTATAGAAAAGAATACAGTCAACTTGATAGAGACGAAAAACACACTACAAGAATTTCATAATGCAATCACTAGTATTAAAAGCAGAATAGACCAAGCTAAGGAAAGAATCTCAAAGTTTAAAGACTGGCTTTCTGAAATGTGACAGTCAGACAAGAATAAAGAAAAAAGAATGAAAAGGAATAAAGAAAACCTTCAAGAAATACGGAATTACATAGAGACTAAATCTATGCTTCACTGGCATTCCTGAAAGAAATGGGGAGAAAGGAAGCAACTTAGAAAACATTTCAGAATATCATCCATGAAGATTTCCCCAACCTAGCTGGTAAGGCCAACATTCAAATTCAGGAAATGCAGAGAATCCCTGCAAGTTACTTCACAATTGGATCATCCCCAAGACACATAATCATCAGATTCTCCAAGATTGAAATGAAAGAAAAAATGTTAAAGGCAGCTAAAGAAAAAGGACAGGCCACCTACAAATAGAAGCCCATCAGACTAACAGCAGAACTCTCAGCAGGAACCCTATAAGCCAGAAAAGATTGGGTGCCTATATTCAACATTCTTAAAGCAAAGAAATTATAACCAAGATTTTTTCACATCTGGCCAAAATAGTTTCATAAGCAAAGAAGAAATAAGACTCCTTTCACACAAACAAATGCTAAAGGAATTTGTTACCAGCATACCAGCCTTACCAGAGATCCTGAAAGAAGCACTAAATATGGAAAGAAAAGACCATTACCAGCCACTGCAAAAATACTTAAGTACATGGACCAGTGACTGTAAAGCAACCACACAAAGAAGTCTGCATAGTAACCAGCTAACAACATGATAACAGGATCAAACCACACGTATCAATGATTTACCTTGAATGTTAATGGGCTAAATGCCCCAGTTAAAAGGCACAGAGTGGCAACCTGGATAAGAAGCTAGACCCAATAGTATGCTGTCTTCAAGAGACCCAACTCTTGTGCAATGACACCCATAGTCTCAAAATAAAAGGATGGAGAAAAACCTACCAAGCAAATGGAAAACACAAAAAAGCAGGGGTTGCAATTCTAATTTCAGACAAAGCAGACTTTAAACCAACAAAGAACAAAAAAGACAAAGAAGGGGCCTGGCGCGGTGGCTCACACCTGTAATCCCAGCACTTTGGGAGGCCAAGGTGGGCAGATCACAAGGTCAGGAGCTCGAGACCACCCTGGCTAACACAGTGAAACCCTGTCTCTACTAAAAATACAGAAAAATTAGCTGAGTGTGGTGGCGGGCCCCTGTAGTCCCAGATACTCAGGAGGCTGAGGAAGGAGAATGGCAGGAACCTGGGAGGCAGAGCTTGCAGTGAGCCGAGATCACGCCACCGCACTCCAGCCTGGGTGACAGAGTGAGATCCATCTCAAAACAAAACAAAGACAAAGAAGGGCATTACATAATGGTAAAGGGTTCAATTAAACAAGAAGATCTAACTATCCTAACTCTGTAAGCACCCAACACAGGTGTGCCCAGATTCATAAAGCAATTTCTTAGAGACTTACAAAGAGACTGAGATTTATACACAATAAAATGGGACACTTCAAACCCCACTGACAGTATTAGACAGATTATCAAACCAAAAAATTCACAAAGAGATTCCAGACCTGAACTTAATGCTTGAACAAATGGACCTAATAGACATATACAAAACTCTCCACCAAAGGCAATAGAGTATGCATTCTTTTCATTGCCACATGGTACGTACTCTAAAATTGACCATTCAGTTGGACATAAAACAATCCTCAGCAAACTCAAAAAAAATTTAAATCATACTAACTATACTCTCGAACCACAGCACAATAAAAGTAGAAATTGAGGCCAAGAAAATTGCTCAAAACCATACAATTACATGGAAACTGAACAACTTGCTCCTGAATGACTCTTGGGTAAGTAATAAAATTCAGGCAGAAATCAAGAGGTTATTTTAAACTAATGAAAACAAAGACACAACACACGAGAATCTCTGGGACACAGCTAAGGCATTGTTAAGAGGGAATTTTGTAGCACTAAATGCCCACATCAAAAATCTAGAAAGATCTCAAATAAC
The DNA here is from genome assembly GCF_000001405.40 of Homo sapiens. NCBI lineage: Eukaryota > Metazoa > Chordata > Mammalia > Primates > Hominidae > Homo > Homo sapiens. The sequence goes on along the minus strand of NC_000003.12, from coordinate 46,167,455 downwards.
AACCTAACATCACAACTAGAAGAACTAGAGAACCAAGAGCAAACAAACCCCAAACTAGCAGAAGACAAGAAATAACCAAAATCAGAGGCAAACTGAAAGAGATAGAGACATGAAAAAGCATACAAAAGATTAACAAATCCAGGAATTTGTTCTTGAAAAAATTAATAAGATAGACCACTAGCTAGATTAATAAAGAAGAAAAGAGAGAAGATTCAAATAAACACAATCAGAAATGACAAAGAGGATGTTATCACTGACCTTGCAGAAATACAAATAACCGTAAGAGACTACTATGAACACCTTTATGTACACAAACTAGAAAATCTAAAATAAATAGATAAATTCCTGGACACATGCATCCTCCCAACAGTGAGTCAAGAATAAGTCCCTGAACAGACAAATAACGAGCTTGGAAATTATCAGTAATAAATAGCCTACCAACAAAAAAAGCCAAGGACCAGAAGGATTCACAGCTGAATTCTACCAGATGCACAAAGAAGAGCTGGTACTATTTCTACTGAAATTATTCCAAAAATTTGAAAAGGAGGGATTCCTCCCTAACTCATTCTATGAGGCCAGCATCATCCTGATACCAAAACCTGACATAGACACACATACACAAAAGGAAACTTTAGGCCAATATCCTTGATGACCCATAGATTCAAAAATCCTCAACAAAATACTAGCAAACAGAATCCAGCAGCACATCAAAAACCTAATCCACAATGATCAAAGTAGGCTTTATCCCTGGGATTCATGGTTGGTTCAACATGTACACATCAATAAATGTGATTCATCACATAACCAAACCAAAGACCAAAACACATGATTATCGCAATCGATGCAGAAAAGGCTTTCAATAAAATTCAACATTGCTTCATGTTAAAAACCCTCAATAAACTAAGCCTTAAAGGAACATACCTCAAAATAATAAGAGCTATCTATGACAAACCCGTAGCCAACATTATACTAAATGGGCAAAAGCTGAAGGCATTCCCCTTGAAAACCAGCAGAAGAAAATGATGCCCACTCTTACCACTCCTATTGAACATAGAATTGGAAGTTCTGGCCAAAGCAATCAGGCAAGAGAAACAAAAGGCATCCAAATAGGAAGAGAGGAAGTCAAACCATCCCTGTTTGCAGATGACATGATTCTATATCTACAAAACCCCAGAATCTCCACCCAAAAGCTCCTTGAGCTGATAAGCAACTTTAGCAAAGTTTGGGGATACAAATCAATGTACAAAAATCAGTAGCATTCCTATACTCTAAGAGCACCCAAACCAAGAGCCAAATCAGGAACATGATCCCATTCACGACTGCCACAAAAAGAATAAAATACTTAGGAATACAGCTAACCAAGAAGGTGAAAGATCTCTACAATGAGAATTACAAAACACGTTCAAAGAAGTCAAAGATGACACAAACAAATGGAAGAACATTCCATGCTCATGGGTAGGAAGAATCAATATTGTTAAAATGGCCATGCTGCCCAAAGCAATTTATAGATTCAATGCCATTCCTATCAAACTACCAATGACATTCCTCACAGAACAGAAAAAACTATTCTAAAATTTATATAAAACCTGAAAAAGAGCCCAAATAACCAAAGCAATCCTAAGCAAAAAGAACAAAGCTGGAGGAATCACATTACCCAACTTCAAACCATACTACAAGGCTACAGTAACCAAAACAGTATGGTACTGGTACAAAAACAGACACATAGACCAATGGAACAGAATAGGCAGCCCAGAAATAGAGCCATACACCTACAACTATCTGATCTTTGACAAAGCTGACAAAAATAAGCGATGGGGAAAAGACTCCCTATTCAATAAATGGGGCAGGGATAACTGGCTAGCAATATACAAAAGATTGGAACTGGTCCCCTTCCTTATACCATATACAAAAATCAACTCAAGATGGATTAAAGACCTAAATGTAAAACCTAAAACTATAAAAACCCTGGAATAAACCAAGAATATATCATTTTGGATACAGAATCTGGCAAAGATTTCATAATGAAAATGCCAAAAGCAATTGCAACAAAAGCAAAAATTTACAAATGGGACCTCATTAAACTAAAGAGTTTCTGCACAGCAAAAGAAACTATCAATAGAGTAAATAGGAAACCTACAGAATGAGAGAAAATATTTGCAAATTATACATCTGACAAAGGTCTAATATCCAGAATCTACAAGGAACTTAAACAAATGTACAAGCAAAAAACAACCCGATTAAGAAGTGGGCAAAGGATATGAACAGATACTTTTCAAAAGAAGACATATATGTGGCCAAAAAGCATGTGAAAAGATGCTCAATATCACTGATAATTAGAGAAATGCAAATCAAATCCACAATGAGATACCATCTCACACCAGTCAGAATGGCTATTTTAAAAGGTCAAATAATAACAGATGCCGGAGAGGTTGTGGAGAAAAAGGAACCTTTATACACTGCTGTGGGAGTGTAAATTAGTTCAACCATTGTGGAAGACAGTGTGGCAATTCCTCAAAGAACTGAAGACAGAACTACCATTCAACCTAGCACTTCCACTACTGGGTACTGCTAGGGTTGTTTATATACCCAAAGGAATATAAAGAGTTCTACCAGAAAGACACATGCATTTGTATGTTCATTGCAGCACTGTTCACAATAGCAAAGACATGGAATAAACCTAAATGCCAATCAATGGTAAACTGGATAAAGAAAATGTGGTACATATACACCATGGAATATTACACAGCTATAAAAAAGAACAAGATTATGTCCTTTGTAGGAACATGGATGGAACTGGAGGCCCTTATCCTCAGCAAACTAATGCAGGCGCAGAAAACCAAATACCACATGTTCTCACTTAGAAGCGGGAGCTAAATAATGAGAACACATGGACAGAAAGAGAGGAACAACAGACACTGGAGCCTATTCATGGGAGGAAGGTGGGAGAAGGGAGAGGTTCAGAAAAAAAATCAAACTATCAGGTACTATCCTTAGTACCCGGGTGACAAAATAATCTGTACACCAAACCCCCAAGTCACAAGTTTACCTATATAACAAACCTACACATGTATCCCTGCACCTAAAATAAAAGTTAAAATATTTATTTTAAAATTGGAAGTTGGGGCCACGATGGCCGATTAGAAGCAGCTACAGGGTGTGGCACTCACGGAGATGGACAAAAGGGGTGAGTAAATTCAGCACCTTCAACTAAAACATCCAGGTGCTCACATTAGGACTGATCAGAGAAACTGTTCAACCCACGGAGAATGTAGAAAAGCAGGGCAGGATGTCAGCCCACCCAGGAGCAACACAGACCCAAGGGAACCCCCACTCCCAGCCAAGAGAAGCCGTGAGTGAATGTGTGACCCAGGGAAACCATGCTTCTCCCACAGATTTTTGCAACCCTCAGATCAGGAGATCCCCCTCATGAACCCACTCCACCAGGGCCTTGGGTCTGACACACAGAGCTGTGTGGAGTCACAGCAGAGCAGCTGCTTAGGCATGCACAGAGGCCCAGGAGCTTTACATAATCTACTCTGGGATCTTTGGCAAACATGACTACAACTTAAGCAAGACAAGAGGTCCATACATACCCTTAGGAAGAGGGCTGAATCCAGGAAGCAGAGCAGCGTCAGTCTGTGGGCCCCACTTCCAAGGGACCTCACAGGATAAGATCAACTGGCTTGGAATTCCAGCCAGCCACCAGCAACAGGGTAGCACCTACTTGAGACAGGGTAGAGCTCCTGGGGGAGGGATGGGCTGCCACCTTTTTTGTTTGGATGACTCAGCCGTTCCAGCCTGTGGGCTTTGGAGGGTCCAAATGAACCAGACAAGAAAGGGATTCGCCCAGCACAACACAGCTGCTTTACCAAAATGTGGGCAGACTCCTTCTTTAAGTGGGACCCTGATCCACTCCTGCTCACTGGGCTGGACTTCCCATCCGGGGCCTCCAGCCACCCTCACCCATATTCTAAAGAGTTCTGATTTCTCCCTGGGACAGAGTGCCTGCGGGGAGGGGCAGGCCACCACCTGTGTTGTTTGGATGACTCAGCCATTCCAACCTGTGGGCTTTGGAGAGTACAAACTGACCAGACAAGAAAGGGATCTCCCAGCATACCACAGCTGGTTTACCAAATTGTGGCCAGACTGCTTCTTTAAGCGGGACCCTGATCCATTCCTCCTCACTGGGCAGGACCTCCCATCCAGGACCTTCAGCCACCCCAACTCATATCCTATGGCTGACAGAGTTCAAATTTCTCCCTAGGACAGAGTGACCACTAGGAGGGGCAGGCTGCCACCTTTGCTGTTTGGGTCACTCGGGTATTCCAGCCTGTGAGCTTTGGAGAGTCCAAACAGACTGGGGAGGAGGCAACACCCCAGCACAGTATGGCTGCTTTGCCAAGGCATGACCAGACTGCTTCTTTAAATGGAACCCTGACCCATTCCTCCTTGCTGGGCAGGACCTCCCAGCCAGGGTCTCTGGTCACCCCTACCAGTGTTCTATGGCTGACAATTTTCTGTTGTCTTCCTGGGACAGAGAGCTCAGCAGCAGGGGCTGGGGGTAGGGGGTTGAGGGCTACCACCTTTCCTGTTTGGGCATCTCAGCCTTGGAGAGCCCAAACTGATTGCACACTGAAGGGATTCCCCCAACAAAGTATAGCTGCTCTACCAAAACACAGCCAGACTACTTCTTTAAGCAGTTCCCTGATCCTGTTCCTCCTGACTGGGTAAGGCCTCCCAACTGGGGTCTGCAGCCACCTCCTACAGATCCATACCCCCCTGGGATGTAGCTCCCAGAGAAAGGGGCAGGCTGCCATTTTTGCTGTTTTGCAGCCTTCACTGGTGATACCTCTAGGTGCTGGAAAATCCAGAGTGACTAGGGTCCGGAGCAGATTCAGAACAAATTACAGCTGCCCTATGGAAAAGTGGCCAGACTGTTAAAAGAAAAATGAACAAACAAACAGAAACAAAAAACCCCACAGAAACTCTATCCAAAGGTCAGCAACTTCAAAGATCCAAGGTAGATAAGCCCACAAAGATGAGAAAGAATCAGGACAAAAACACTGAAAACTAAAAAAGCCAGAGGACCCTCTTTCCTCCAAATGACCACAGTACTTCTCCAACAAGGATTTGGAACTGGGCTGAGGACGACATTGCTGAAATGACAGAAGTAGGCTTCAGAATGTGGATAAAAACAAACTTCACTGAGCTAAAGAAGCACGTTGTAACCCCATGTAAGGAAGCTAAAAATCATGGTAAAACAATACAGGAGCTGACAGCCAAGATAACCAGTATAGAGAGGAACATAACAAACCTGGTAGAGCTGAAAAACATACTACAAGAACTTCACAATGCAATCACAAGTATTAAAAGCAGATTAGGCCAAGCAGAGGAAAGAATCTCAGAGCCTGAAGACTGACTTTCTGAAATAAGACAGCCAGGCAAGAATAGAGAAAAAAAGAGTGAAAAGGAATGAACAAAATCTCCAATAAATATGGGATTATGTAAAAAGAGACCGAATCTATGGTTGATTGAGATACCTGAAAGAGACAGAGAGAATGAAACTAATTTGGGAAACATATTTCAGGATATCATCCAGGGGAATTTCCCCAACCTAGATAGACAGGCCAACATTCAAATTCAGGAAACGCAGAGAACTCCATCTCCACAAGAAGATTATCCCCAAGACACAATCATAAAATTCTCCAAGGTCAAAATGAAAAAAAAAAAAAAAAAAAAAAAAAATGTTAAGGGCAGCCAGAGAGAAATGCCAGATCACCTACAAAGGGAAGCCCATCAGACTAACAGCAAACCTCTCAGTGGAAACCCTGTAAGCCAGAAGAGATTGGAGGCCAATATTCAACATTCTTAAAGAAAAGAAATTCCAACCCAGAATTTCATATGTGGCCAAACTAAGCTTCATAAGCAAAAGAGAAATAAGATTCTTTTCAGACAAGCAAATGCTGAGAGAATTCATTACCACCAGACCTGCCTTAAAAGAGCTCCTGAAGGAAGCACTAAACATGGAAAGGAAAAATTGTTACCAGCCACTGCAAAAACACACTGAAATACACAGACAGGTGACACTAGGAAGCAACCACATAAACCAGTCTGCAAAATAACCAGCTAGCATTATGATGACAGGATCAAATTCACATTTAACAATATTATCTTTAACCTTAAATGTAAATGGGCTAAATGCCCCAATTAAAAGACACAGAGTGGCGAACTGGATAAGGAATTGGTATGCTGTCTTTAAGAGACCCATCTCACATGCAAAGACATACATAGGCTCAGAATAAAGGGATGGAGAAAAATTTACCAAGCAAATGGAAAACACAAAAAGCCAGGGCTGAAGTCTAGTTTTTGACAAATTGACTTTAAACTAACAAAGATTTAAAAAGACAAAGAAGGGTATTACATAATGGTAAAGGGTTCAATTCAACAAAAACAGCTAACTGTCCTAAATAGATATGTACCCAACACAGGAGCACTCAGATTCATAAAGCAAGTTCTTAGAGACCTTGAAAGAGACTTAGATTCCCACACAATAACTGTGGGACACTTTAACACCCCACTGACAATATTAGACAGATCATTGAGACAGAAAATTAACAAAAGATATTCAGTACCTGAACTCAGCTATGGATCAAATGGACGTGATAAATATCTACAGAACCCTCCACCAAAAAACAACAGAATATATTATTGTCTCATCTCCACATGGCACTTACTCTAAAATTGATCAAATAATCAGGAAGTAAAACACTCCTCAGCAAATGCAAAAGAACTGAAATAATAACAAATGAATCTCCTGTACCACAGTGCAATCAAATTAGAACTCAAGACTAAGAAATCTACTCAAAACCATGCAAGTACATGGAAATTGAACAACCTGCTCCTGAATGACTCTTGGGTAAAAAGTAAAATTAAAGCAGAAATCAAGAAGTTATTTGAAACTAATGAGAACAAAGATACAATATACTAGAATCTCTGGGACACAGCTAAGGCACTGTTAAGAGGGAAATTTATAACACTAAATACCCACATCAAAAATCTAGAAAGATCTCAAGTTAATAACCTAACATCACAACTAAAGGAACTAGAGAACCAAGAGAAAACAAACCCCAAATGTAGCAGAAGACAAGAAATAACCAAGATCAGAGCTGAACTGAAGGAGATAGAGACACAAAAAAACCTTCAAAAGATCAACAAATAAAGTAGCTGGCTTTTTGAAAAAATTAATAAAATAGACCACTACCTAGGCTAATAAAGAAGATAAAAGATTCAAATAAGCACAATCAGAAATGATAAAGGAGATATTACAACTGACCCCACAGAAATACAAATAACCATAAGAGACTACTAAGAACACCTATATGCCCACAAACTACAAAACTTAGAATAAATGAATAAATTCCTGAACACGTACACCCTCCCAAGACCAAACCAGGAAGAAATTGAATCCCTGAACAGACCAATAACGAGTTCTGAAATTGAAGCAGTAATAGTCTACCAACCAAAAAAGGCCCAGGACCAGAAGTATTCACAGCTGAATTATACCAGATGTAGAAAGAAGAGCTGGTACCATTCCTACTGAAATTATTCCAAAAAATCGAAAAGGAAGGACTCCTCCTTAACTTATTCTATAAGGCCAGCATCGTCCTGACACCAAAACCTAGCAGAGATACAACAAAAAAAGAAAACTTCAGGCCAATACACTTGACAATACCTCAACAAAACACTGGCAAGCCAAATCTAGCAGTACATCAAAAAACTTAACCACCATGATCAAGTAGGCTCCGTCCCTGAGATGCAAGGTTGGTTCAACATACACAAATCAATAAATGTGATTCATCACATAAACAGAACTAAAGACGGCCAGGCACAGTAGCTCATGCTTGTAATCCTAGCACTTTGGGAGGCCAAGGCAGGCAGATTGCCTGAGCTCAGGAGTTTAAGACCAGCCTGGGCAACATGGTGAAACCCCATCTCTACTAAAAATACAAAAAATTAGCCAGCAGTTGTGGCATATGCCTGTAGTCCCAGCTACTCAGGAGGCTGAGGCAGGAGAATTGCTTGAACCCAGGAGATGAAGGTTGCAGTGAGCGGAGATTGTGCCACTGCACTCCAGCGTGGGTGACAGAGCGAGACTCCATCTCCAAAAAAAAGAATATACCTCAAAATGATAAGAACATACCATATATGACAGACCTACAGCCAATATCATACCAAATGGGCAAAAGCTAGAAGCATTCCTCTTGAAAAGCAGCACAAGAAAAAGATGCCCCCTCTCATCACTCCTATTGAATATAGTATGAGAAGTTCTGGCCAGAGCAATCAGGCAACAGAAGGAAATAAAGAGTATTCAGATAGGAAGAAAGGAAGTCAAATTATCTTTGTTTGCAGATGACATGATCCTGTAGCTAAGAAACCCCATTGTCTCATCCCAAAACCTCCTTAAGCCGATAAGCAACTTCAGCAATGTCTCAGGATATAAAAATCAATGTGCAAAAATTGCTAGCATCCCTATACATCAACAACAGGCAAAACACAGAGCCAAATCATGAATGAACTTCCATTCACAATTGCCACAAAAAGAATAAAATACCTAAGAATATAGCTAACAGGGGAAGTGAAGGATCTCTGCAAGGAAAACTACAAACCACTGCTCAAAGCAATCAGGGATGACACAAATGGAAAAACATTTCATGCTCATAGATAGGAAGAATCAATATTATAAAAATGGCCATACTGCCCAAAGCAATTTATAGATTCAATGCTATTCCCATTAAACTACCATTGACTTTCTTCACAGAATTCGAAAAAACTATCTTAAAATTCACATGGAACCCAAAAAGAGCCCAAATAGGCAAGGCAATCCTAAGCAAAAGGAACAAAGCTGGAGACACCATGCTACCCAGCTTCAAACTATACTAAAGGGCTACAGTAACCAAAACAGCATAGTACTGGTACAAGAACAGATACATAGATCAATGGAACAGAATAGAGAGCCCAGAAATAATACCACACACCTACAACCATCCGATCTTTGACAAACCTAACAAAAACAAGCAATGGGGAAAGGATTCCTTATTTAATAAATGGTGGGAGAACTGGCTAGCCATATACAGAAAATTGAGGCTGGACCCTTCTTTACACCATATACAAAAATCAACTCAAGATAGATTAAAGACCTAAATGCTTTTAAACTTAAATGTCTTTGACATAAAACCCAAAACTATAAAAGCCCTAGAAGAAAACCTACGCAATACCATTCAGGATATAGGCACAGGGAAGGATTTCATGACAAAAATGCCAAAAGCAATTACAGCAAAAGCAAAAATTTACAAATGGGATCTAATTAAACTAAAGAGCTTCTGCATAGCAAAAGAAACTATCAATAGAGTAAACAGACAATCTACAGAATGGGAGAAAACTTTTGCCATCTATGCATCTGACAAAGGTCCAATATACAGCATCTATAAGGAACTTAAACAAATTTACAAGAAAAGAACGAACAACCCCATTAAAAATGGGCAAAGGACATGAACAGACACTTCTCAAAAGAAGACATACATGCAGCCAACAAACATATGAAAAAAAGTTCAACATCACTGATTATTAGAGAAATGCAAATCAAAACCATAATGAGATACCATCTCATACCAGTCAGAATGGCTATTATTAAAAAGTCAAAAAACAACAGATGCTGCTGAGCCTGTGGAGAAAAAGGAATGCTTTTATACTGTTGGTGGGAGTGTAAATTAGCTCAGCCATTGTGGAAGACAGTGTGGTGATTTCTCAAAGACCTAGAGGCAGAAATACCATTCAACCCAGCAATCCCATTAGTGGGTATATACCCAGAGGAATATAAATCTTTCCCTATTATAAAGACACATGCATGCATATGTTCATTGTAGCACTAGTCACACTAGCAAAGACATGAAATCAACCTAAATGCCCATTAATGATAGACTGGATAAAGAAAATCTAGTACATGTATACCATGGAATACTATGCAGTTATAAAAGGGAATGAGATCATGTCCTTTGCAAGGAATGGATGGAGCTAGAGGCCCTTATCCTTAGCAAACTAATTCAGGAAGAGAAAACCAAATACCACACATTCTAACTTACAAGTGGGAGCCAAATGATGAGAACACATGAATACATAGAGGTGAACAACACACACGGGAGCCTACCAGATGGCAGAGGGTAGGAAGGATGGAGGAAGGAGGGAGAGGATCAGGAAAAATAACGAATGAATATTATTAGGCTTCATATCTTGGTGATGAAATAATCTGTACAACAAACCCCCATGACACATCCTTACCTGTGTAACAAACCTGCATATCCTGCACATGTACCCCTAAACTTAAAACAGAAGTTTAAAAAAATCAATTGCATTTTAATATACTAACAAATATACAAAAAGAAAAAATTAAAACACAATATGTTGGCAGGGAACAAAAGAATGAATACATAGAGCAAAGAGAAATTTAGAACATTGAAAATACTCTGAATGATATTATAAGAGCAAATACTTGGGAAGCCCATCAGACTAACAACTGATCTCTCAGCAGAAACTCTACAAGCCAGAAGAGAGTACATGTCATTATACATTTGTTCAAACCCAAAAAATGTTCAATACCAAGAGTGAACACCAATGTAAACTGTGGACTTTGGGTGATTATGATGTGTCAGTGTAGATTCATCAATTGTCAAAAATGTACTACTCTGGTGGAGGATGTTGATAATAGGAGCCGTTATGCATGTGTCAGGGCAGGGGTAGTATGGTGAATCTCTGTACCTTCCTTTCAATTTTGCTGTGAATTTAAAACTGTTTATAACAAATTAAGTCTCTAAAAAACACACGCATACACACAATGCAATTTTCAATTGCTCCGAAGAAAATGAAGTACTCAAAATCTAACAAAATATGTAAGGATCTATATCCTGAAAATTACAAAATGCTGATTAAAGAAATCAAAGAAGACCTAAAGAAATGTAGAGACGTGCCATATTCATGAGTCAGAAGACTCAACAACAGACTCAACATTATAAAGATGTCAAATGCCTCATTTTACTGCAATTTATACCAAAATCCTAGAAAAGTTTTTTTTTTTTGTAGACATTGACAAGCTTAATGTTAACAATCACTTTACAACAATTGCAAACAACAATTGTAGAGAAGCTTATTGTTAAATTTACATAGGAAGATACAGGACCTAGAGTAGCTAAAACAATTTTGAAAAAGAGAAATAAAGTGTGAGGAATCACTCTGCCCAGTGTTCAGTTTCACTATATAGCTATAATAACCAAGACAGTGCAATACTGGCAGAGGGATAGACACCTGGACCAATGGAACAGAACAGAAAACCCAGGAATAGACCTATACACATATGGCCAATTGATTTTTAGCAGTTTTATTTATAACAGCCCAAAACTAGCCAGAACCTAAATATTCTTCAAGAGGTGGATGGTTAAACAAACCGTGGCACATCTATACCATGGAATACTTCTAAGCAATAAAAAGGAGCAAAGCATTAGTACCTGCAACAACTTGGGCAAATCTCAGGGGAATTACATGGAGTGAAAAAGCTGATCTCAAATGTTTATATACTGTTTGATTCCATGTATATGAAATTCTTGAACTTAGGCATACGGACAACAAGGAAATTAGGAAGGGAGCCAGGAGTTCTGAACAAGGTTGGTCATGGGACTTGTCTCCCTTCCAGTTCAAGAAAAATGACCTCCCATTTCAGGACCCTGGAGGGTTTCAAATGACCCCAGAACTCTGTGAATGGTTTTCTTTGGGATGATTTTAAAATGTCCCCATAGATGAGGGTGCAGAGAGCTGCTATACCTTCTGATTTCCACCTATCCACCTCCGAGCAGGCAAAATAGACTTCCATCAGCCTTCAGAGTGTGACAGCATTGTCCAGGGGACCAGACCAGCTGTGCCATACACATTGGTGACCTAGTTTAGGCAGGAAATGTACTTTTAAAGTCCTGCTGTCCTTTCTCTACTGTGGTTCCACAAGCAGCCTGCCTTCTGGTTTCCCCATGGACTCTAGGCCTCTGGACTCTGTGTTCAAGGTTGCAGCCTTTGCATGATTTCAGGCCTTCAAGTGGAAGTTGAATCATTACAGCATAACCAAGAGGTCTTAGTGTGGGACCCTGAGTGTCTCACTGGGTGAATATTTATGAAGGACCTACTGTGTGCCAAGCACTAATGCTGGAGGACACCACAGGGAACAAGGCATGGTCTTCTGCCATCCGGTAGCTGGTGGGACATGAACAGCCCATTACAGCACAAGGAGATTAAATGCTCTGATGGGTGGGGTTGGAGAGACTTCCTGTAGGAAGTGTCATCTAAGCTAAGCTAAGAGCTGAAGGGTAATGGGAGTAGAAGTAGTTAGTATTCCAGGAGAGAGACCAAGCAGGAGAATCCAAGGGATCAAGCCACAGACTCCTAGTCTTCCTCCAAGAGGGCATGCAGATGTTGCTGTCTGTGGACCCTCAGGTCTGGGTTTTCTCTCTTCCTAAATCTGCTGCCCTGGGATCTCTGAAAAATCCAGCTTATAGCCAGACACCCACTCCAGCTTATAGCCAGACAAAGCAGCCATCAGGACAGCAGCTACCCAAATGACTGCCCTCAGGAGCTGCAGTGACCTGTGGACTCTTTGGCCATTCCCAACCATTGATTTTCCTGCTCTCAATTCCAGGAGATTCTCTTTTACTCCTGAAGTGGTCCAATTGACCTCTTCCATGGTTTCCAGAAGGGCCTAGCCAGGTCCTGCAGAATGCATCCCTTTGTGGTGGCCATCTGTCATGCCACTATCGGGCAGCAAAACATAAAATAAAGCTTGCAGAGTCACATGCAAGGGTTAAGGAATAGGCTTTATTGGGAAATGAGGAAATGTTCAAGCCAGTGTCAGCAAGAGAGAGCAGGTGGCTCCTCTGGACCTCTCTCATACCACAGAGAGTTGTGTAGAGGGCCTGGCCAAGCCACTGGCTGGGCAGCATGAGTGAGAATTCCACAGAAAGACCATGCTGCCCATTGCTTTCACTTCCTGTGGGGCAGGTAGGAGAGCAAGTTGGTCAGACTGCATGGGGGTCTGGCAGCCTGGACATGGATGCCAGCTATTTATGAAAGTGTCCAGAAGGCTGGGTGCAGTGGCTCGTGCCTGTATTCCTAGCACTTTGGGAGGCCAAAGCGGGTGGAATGTCTGAGCTCAGCAGTTCAAGACCAGCCTGGGCAACATGGCAAAACCCCACCTCTACTAAAAATTAAAAAAAATAATAATAAAAAAAATTAGCCGAGTGTGGTGGCGGGCGCCTTTAATCCCAGGTATTCAGGAGCCTGAGAATTGCTTGAACCCAGGAGGCGGAGGTTGCAGTGAGCAGAGATCGTGCCACTGCACTCCAGCCTGGATGACAGAGCGAGACTCTGTCTAAAAAAACAAAACAAAGAAAAGAAAAGAAAGTGCCCAGAAATGCCCACTGCTGGGCACTTGGAGGCCTCAGGGACCATAGAAACGTGCTACTTCTCTAATGTAGGAGACTCCTAGGGCAGCCCCTCCTCTGGGAAGAAGGAGTGTCCCTAATTCCAAGATGCTCATTGTCCAGGTAACCCAGAATGAGCATTATTGTATTATTTGGGAGTAGATTTAATTTGCTTGCTATTGTATTTATAGCATCCAGCCAGGCTTGGCACATAGTAGACACCTACAAATATTTCTTAAGTGATTGAATAAACAACTCACAAGCTCTGATGTGTCCATCCTTATTGAAGGACCTTGGTTCTGCCACCCTGTGCTTCTGTCTTTGATTCCTTTTCCTGCCCCAACATTGCCCCAGATCCAGCCTCTGCCTTGTTTATCCCCTGTTCCTCATGACCCACAGAATTCCAGCAGGAAGGACCAGACCCTGTCAGGAGGGAGGGGAGAGGTGGGAGGAGACAGGCCAACCTGGAGGGAGGGGCAGAGAGGGAGGAGGTGTGCAGAATAGAAGCCTGCTCCACGAGGCAGCCACAGAGGGGTGCTGGGGTCAGGGTTACCAATTACAAAATGAATCACTCAGCTAGTCTTCGATCTGGAAAATAGTCCAGAAACAGGCAAACACACAGCCTGCATGTTGGGGATTAATTAGAAAAAAAAAATACGGTGGTTCACGCCTGTAATCCCAGCACTTAGGGAGGCCAAGGTGGGCGGATCACGAGGTCAGGTGATTGAGACCATCCTGGCTAACGCGGTGAAACCTCGTCTCTACTAAAAATACAAAATATTAGCCGGGCGTGGTGGCGGGCGCCTGTAGTCCCAGCTACTCAGGAGGCTGAGGCAGGAGAATGGCAGGAACCCAGGAGGCGGAGCTTGCAGTGAGCTGAGATCGTGTCACTGCACTCCAGCCTGGGCAACAGAGCGAGAGGCCGTCTCAAAAAATAAAAATAAATAAATAAATAAATAAATAATTTTTAGAACAGTTTTAGAGTCACAGAAAAGGTGTAAAGATAGTATTGAGAGTTCCCATAAGACCACACCCAGTTTCCCCTATTATTAACCCCTCACATTGGTGATACATTTGTTACAATTAATAAACCAGCATTGATCATATTATTATTAATTAAAGCCATACTTTATTGAGATTTCTTTAGTTTTTTTTGTTTTTTTTTAATTATACTTTCAGTTTTAGGGTATATGTGCACAATGTGCAGGTTAGTTACATATGTACACATGTGCCATGCTGGTGTGCTGCACCCATTAACTCGTCATTTAGCATTAGGTATATCTCCTAATGCTATCCCTCCCCCCTCCCCCCACCCCCGCAACGGTCCCCGGAGTGTGATGTTCCCCTTCCTGTGTCCATGTGTTCTCATTGTTCAATTCCCACCTATGAGTAAGAACATGCAGTGTTTGTTTTTTTTTTCCTTGTGATAGTTTACTGAGAATGATGATTTCCAATTTCATCCATGTCCCTACAAAGGACATGAACTCATCATTTTTTATGGCTGCATAGTATTCCATGGTGTATATGTGCCACATTTTCTTAATCCAGTCTATCACTGCTGGACATTTGGGTTGGTTCCAAGTCTTTGCTATTGTGAATAGTGCTGCAATAAACATACGTGTGCATGTGTCTTTATAGCAGCATGATTTATAGTCCTTTGGGTATATACCCAGTAATGGGATGGCTGGGTCAAATGGTATTTCTAGTTCTAGATCCCTGAGGAATCGCCACACTGACTTCCACAATGGTTGAATTAGTTTACAGTCCCACCAACAGTGTAAAAGTGTTCCTATTCCTCCACATCCTCTCCAGCACCTGTTGTTTCCTGACTTTTTAATGATTGCCATTCTAACTGGTGTGAGATGGTATCTCATTGTGGTTTTGATTTGCATTTCTCTGATGGCCAGTGATGGTGAGCATTTTTTCATGTGTTTTTTGGCTGCATAAATGTCTTCTTTTGAGAAGTGTCTGTTCATGTCCTTTGCCCACTTTTTGATGGGGTTGTTTGTTTTTTTCTTGTAAATTTGTTTGAGTTCATTGTAGATTCTGGATATTAGCCCTTTGTCAGATGAGTAGGTTGCGAAAATTTTCTCCCATTTTGTAGGTTGCCTGTTCACTCTGATGGTAGTTTCTTTTGCTGTGCAGAAGCTCTTTAGTTTAATTCGATCCCATTTGTCAATTTTGGCTTTTGTTGCCATTGCTTTTGGTGTTTTAGACATGAAGTCCTTGCCCATGCCTATGTCCTGAATGGTAATGCCTAGGTTTTCTTCTAGGGTTTTTATGGTTTTAGGTCTAATGTTTAAGTCTTTAATCCATCTTGAATTAATTTTTGTATAAGGTGTAAGGAAGGGATCCAGTTTCAGCTTTCTACATATGGCTAGCCAGTTTTCCCAGCACCATTTATTAAATAGGGAATCCTTTCCCCATTGCTTGTTTTTCTCAGGTTTGTCAAAGATCAGATGGTTGTAGATATGCGGCGTTATTTCTGAGGGCTCTGTTCTGTTCCATTGATCTATATCTCTGTTTTGGTACCAGTACCATGCTGTTTTGGTTACTGCAGCCTTGTAGTATAGTTTGAAGTCAGGTAGCGTGATGCCTCCAGCTTTGTTCTTTTGGCTTAGGATTGACTTGGCGATGCGGGCTCTTTTTTGGTTCCATATGAACTTTAAAGTAGTTTTTTCCAATTCTGTGAAGAAAAGCATTGGTAGCTTGACGGGGAAGGCATTGAATCTATAAATTACCTTGGGCAGTATGGCCATTTTCACGATATTGATTCTTCCTACCCATGAGCATGGAATGTTCTTCCATTTGTTTGTATCCTCTCTTATTTCATTGAGCAGTGGTTTGTAGTTCTCCTTGAAGAGGTCCTTCATGTCCCTTGTAAGTTGGATTCCTAGGTATTTTATTCTCTTTGAAGCAATTGTGAATGGGAGTTCACTCATGATTTGGCTCTCTGTTTGTCTGTTATTGGTGTATAAGAATGCTTGTGATTTTTGTACATTGATTTTGTATCCTGAGACTGCTGAAGTTGCTTATCAGCTTAAGGAGATTTTGGGCTGAGACAATGGGGTTTTCTAGATATACAATCATGTCATCTGCAAACAGGGACAATTTGACTTCCTCTTTTCCTAATTGAATACCGTTTATTTCCTTCTCCTGCCTAATTACCCTGGCCAGAACTTCCAACACTATGTTGAATAGGAGTGGTGAGAGAGGGCATCCCTGTCTTGTGCCAGTTTTCAAAGGGAATGCTTCCAGTTTTTGCCCATTCAGTATGATATTGGCTGTGGGTTTGTCATAGATAGCTCTTATTATTTTGAGATATGTCCCATCAATACCTAATTTATTGAGAGTTTTTAGCATGAAGCGTTGTTGAATTTTGTCAAAGGCCTTTTCTGCATCTATTGAGATAATCATGTGGTTTTTGTCTTTGGTTCTGTTTATATGCTGGATTACATTTATTGAGTTGTGTATATCGAACCAGCCTTGCATCCCAAGGATGAAGCCCACTTGATCATGGTAGATAAGCTTTTTGATGTGCTGCTGGATTCGGTTTGCCAGTATTTTATTGAGGATTTTTGCATCAATGTTCATCAAGGATATTGGTCTAAAATTCTCTTTTTGGGTTGTGTCTCTGCCCAGCTTTGGTATCAGGATGATGCTGGCCTCATAAAATGAGTTAGGGAGGATTCCCTCTTTTTCTATTGATTGGAATAGTTTCAGAAGGAATGGTACCAGTTCCTCCTTGTACCTCTGGTAGAATTCGGCTGTGAATCCATCTGGTCCTGGACTCTTTTTGGTTGGTAAGATATTGATTATTGCCACAATTTCAGAGCCTGTTATTGGTCTATTCAGAGATTCAACTTCTTCCTGGTTTAGTCTTGGGAGGGTGTATGTGTCCAGGAATTTATCCATTTCTTCTAGATTTTCTAGTTTATTTGCGTAGAGGTGTTTGTAGTATTCTCTGATGGTAGTTTGTATTTCTGTGGGATCGGTGGTGATATCCCCTTTATCATTTTTTATGGCGTCTATTTGATTCTTCTCTCTTTTCTTCTGTATTAGTCTTGCTAGCGGTCTATCAATTTTGTTGATCCTTTCAAAAAACTAGCTCCTGGATTCATTAATTTTTTGAAGGGTTTTTGTGTCTCTATTTCCTTCAGTTCTGCTCTGATTTTAGTTATTTCTTGCCTTCTGCTAGCTTTTGAATGTGTTTGCTCTTGCTTTTCTAGTTCTTTTAATTGTGATGTTAGGGTGTCAATTTTGGATCTTTCCTGCTTTCTCTTGTGGGCATTTAGTGCCATAAATTTCCCTCTACACACTCCTTTGAATGTGTCCCAGAGATTCTGGTATGTTGTGTCTTTGTTCTCATTGGTTTCAAAGAACATCTTTATTTCTGCCTTCATTTCGTTATGTACCCAGTAGTCATTCAGGAGCAGGTTGTTCAGTTTCCATGTAGTTGAGTGGTTTTGAGTGAGTTTCTTAATCCTGAGTTCTAGTTTGATTGCACTGTGGTCTGAGAGACAGTTTGTTATAATTTCTGTTCTTTTACATTTGCTGAGGAGAGCTTTACTTCCAACTATGTGGTCAATTTTGGAATAGGTGTGGTGTGGTGCTGAAAAAAATGTATATTCTGTTGATTTGGAGTGGAGAGTTCTGTAGATGTCTATTAGGGCCACTTGGTGCAGAGCTGAGTTCAATTCCTGGGTATCCTTGTTGACTTTCTGTCTCGTTGATCTGTCTAATGTTGACAGTGGGGTGTTAAAGTCTCCCATTATTATTGTGTGGGAGTCTAAGTCTCTTTGTAGGTCACTCAGGACTTGCTTTATGAATCTGGGTGCTCCTGTATTGGGTGCATATATATTTAGGATAGTTAGCTCTTCTTGTTGAATTGATCCCTTTACCATTATGTAATGGCCTTCTTTGTCTCCTTTGATCTTTGTTGGTTTAAAGTCTGTTTTATCAGAGACTAGGATTGCAACCCCTTCCATTTGCTTGGTAGATCTTCCTCCATCCTTTTATTTTGAGCCTATGTGTGTCTCTGCACGTGAGATGGGTTTCCTGAATACAGCACACTGATGGGTCTTGACTCTTTATCCAATTTGCCAGTCTCTGTCTTTTAATTGGAGCATTTAGCCAATTTACATTTAAAGTTAATATTGTTATGTGTGAATTTTATCCTGTCATTATGATATTAGTTGGTTATTTTGCTCGTTAGTTGATGCAGTTTCTTCCTAGCCTCGATGGTCTTTACAATTTGGCATGATTTTGCAGTGGCTGGTACCGGTTGTTCCTTTCCATGTTTAGTGCTTCTTTTAGGAGCTCTTTTAGGGCAGGCCTGGTGGTGACAAAATCTCTCAGCATTTGCTTGTCTGTAAAGTATTTTATTTCTCCTTCACTTATGAAGCTTAGTTTGGCTGGATATGAAATTCTGGGTTGAAAATTCTTTTTTTTAAGAATGTTGAATATTGGCCCCCACTCTCTTCTGGCTTGTAGAGTTTCTGCTGAGAGATCCGCTGCTAGTCTGATGGGCTTCCCTTTGTGGGTAACCCGACCTTTCTCTCTGGCTGCCCTTAACATTTTTTACTTCATTTCAACTTACCTAGCACTCCTTTCTCTATGTCCAGGATGCCACATTACATTTAGTAGTTGTGTCTCCTTCAGCTCTTCTTGGCTGTGACAGTTTCTCAGACTTTCCTTCTATTGGTGAACTTGACAGTTTTGGTAGTGCTGGTCAGGTATTTTGTAGCATGTCCTTCAAGTGGGATTTGTCTAATGTTTTTCTCATAATTAGACTGGAGGCATGGGTTTTGGGGACGAAGACCACAAAGCAGAGTCCCTATCTCATCACATGATATCAAGGGCACAGACAATCAACATCCCTCATGCCTGTTCATGTTAACTGGTCATCTGGCTGAGGTAGTATTTTTCAAGATTCTTCACCGTAAAATACTCTGTTTTTCCTGAAGCAGATTTTTGAAGGACGATTGATAAAAAAAAATTGTTTATATTTAAGGCATACAACATGATGTTTTGATACACATAAGCATTGTGAATGATTACCACAATCAAGCTAATCAACATATGCATCATCTCACATACTTATCACTGTGGTGGGAACACTTAAGATCGACACTGTTAGTGAATTTCAAGTATACAATACAGCAAGGGTCCCCAGCCCCTGGACCATGGACCAGTACTTGTCCATGCCCTGTTAGGAACTGGGCCGCACAGCAAGAGGTGAGCAGCAGGGAAAGCCAGCATTACCACCTGAACTCTGCCTCCTGTCAGATCAGCGGCAGCATTAGATTCTCATAGGAGCTTTAACCCTATCGTGAACTGTGCATATGAGGGATCTAGGTTGCACACTCCTTATGAGAATCTAATGCCTGATATCTGAGGTGAAACAGTTTCATCCCAAAACCGTTCCCGCCACACTGGGTCTGTGGAAAACTTGTCTTCCATGAAACTGGTCCCTGGTGCCAGAAAGGTTGGGAACTGCTACAATACAGTATTACTAATGATCATCACCATACTGTATGTTAGGTCCCCAGAACTTACTCTTAACTGAAAGTTTGTACCATTTGGCCAACATGTCCTCAAGGGGGTTGATTTTCATTGGTTTTGTTGTTACACCATGATCCAGGAAGGTGTCAAGGACGCCAGCAGGCAGCTGTCCCCGTCACCGCAGACATTGCTGAATGACTAAACCGACACGCATGCATATCCAACCCTCCTTCCCTCACTCATGCCAGTGGACAAATCAGGGCTTTTCGTACCCTCACTGGGCCCTGCAAATTTCTACCCCCAGGAGTGGAGGTTTGGCTTGGAGTGGCAGCTCTGAGAGCTGTTGTGTCTGGGGACTACTGCTCTGCTGGTTGTGTCGGGGAACAAAGCCCAGGCCTGATGAATGGACACCTGCAACCTCCCTGGAAGTGCCAGAAATCTTGTGAAATAAGACTTGGTAGAAGATTTAGTAGCTTTTTGACAAGTAGGCAGGAGCTCAAAGTCATCAAATTATGGACATGAATGTCAACAGGAGCACACTTGTTCATGCCCATTGGTAAAGCCCAAAATGCTAAGGGTACATGCGTATGATTTTTAAAAACTGCATCCTCTTGTCATATTATGGCTTTTGCAGAGGGCAACAACTCTCTCTTACTTCCTCCGGAACTCCCCAATACAGAACTCACTCTGCAAAAGGTGAACACCTTCTAGATGGTCTGATATGTGCTTGGTCAAATATGACTAAAGTTATTTTGCGGCTGATTAATAAGGAACTCGTGGGGTTTTTTAAACATGTAAATGACTGAATGATGGAAGAATTACTGAAGATCTTTTAGTGGAAAACCTCATTTCCTGTATTTGGAATTTGATTTTTGTTTCCATCTGAGCTTATGAGTATGTAGATTTTAGAGGCCAGCCCTGGCTTCTCTCAATTGAAAGAAATGTAGGTTAATATTCTTTAAGGAATTTCTTTTCTGGACTTTTTGAGGAGTTTCAGTACAATAAAAAACACAAAGTGAATGTGTACAAAATAAGAAACTATTAAACTCTAGTCCACTGATGGTATCTGACTAGCAGCAGTGATGTGAGTTGTTTTAATGTTAATACCATCATATTTGGATGCCCTGTACTCCTTATATAGCCGTAGGCACCACTTCTTTTTGTTGTCTGTAACTACACATGTACCCCTGCTGGCCCCCAAAGATACTGTAGTGTACAACTGTGGCGCTAGAGACTCCTGCCACCCTCAAGATGAAAGGCAACCACAAGTGCTTCCAAGAATGAGCACCTTCTGCTTAAAGGAAAGAGGCCTCTTATAAAGATACCATGGGAGGCTGAATACTTGCCCCCAAGGATACCCAGGCTCTAATCCTGGAACCTGTGAACTTATATAGCAAAAAAGGCCTTGCATGTGTGATTAAGTCAAGGATCTTGAGATGGGGAGATTATCCTGCTAAGCCTTAAACATAATCACAAGAATATAAGAAGAAGGTAGAGAGAGATCTGAATACTAACGAAGAAAAGGCAGTGTGACAACAAAAGTAGAGATGGGAGTGATGCAGCCACAAGCAAAGGAATGCCATTAGCCAAGAAAAGTTGAAAGAGACAAAGAATAGATTTTCCTCTGGAGTATCCAGAAGGAGCCAGCCCTCCCAACACCTTGATTTTAGTCCCATAAGGTTCATTTCAAACTTCTGGCCTCCACAACTGTAAGAGAATACATTTGCACTAATTTAAGCCACTAAATTTTTGTTAATTTGTTACAGCAGCAATGGGAAAATAATACAGACACCATGGTCACAATTTCCATCCTTCCTAGAGCTAGCCATCCAATCTATTAGGAGTCAGTACTTTACTCCTCTTTTTCCATCCAGATGCTTGATACCATGATGTCCTCACAGCATCTGATTTTTTTAACATTTAAAATTTTATTTCAGAATTGTTTGGCAACTGTTGAGCGAGATGTTACAAGACTAGAGTCAAAATGCTCTCAATTTTTTGGTTCCACATTTGACCCCTTTGGAGACTAAAAGACTCTGCAGAATGTCAATTCCAGTGCAGGAATACCCTCTGCAATAGGTCAACAGAAGGTCATCCAGCTCCTTTCACATTCCCCTTCAGTAACTAGGACCTCACTTTCTTCCATTTGTTCACAAGGACAGGGTGTCCTTATTCTGAGTCAGCCAACTTCTGAGTAGCCCAAGACCTAAGAACTGAACAGCAGATACTGAAGACAGAAAAGCATCTGGAAAAAGACCAGAATCAGAATTGAGACCTTATTGCTAACCCTCCACATCTAAAAGAGTTGACCGTTACTTAGTGTAATGGGGCTGCTGAATTATATGTGTGGTGATCATTGTATATATTCCAAAACCAGTTGTTCATTCAACCCGAAGATAAACTATCCATAGTGAGTCTTTGATTCTTCCCAAGTGCTGGGTAGATGGTAGGAGAGTAGACTACATTTGTTTTCTAAGCCTGGTAATAATCAGCTCTTCACAATCATTTTTCTAGCAAGTGTCTCAAGATGGGCTCTTATTAGCCTAGTTGTAAGTAGGCCTTTTTTACTTATGACCTAGTCACAAAATAGTTGTTTCCCCTGAACTGATATCCATCAACAGCGCTTACCATCTCATTTTTGTATTTGGCTATTTTTTAAAGTATCAGAGCATTCCCAGATTTACTTTCTTTCTCCTTAAATTTCATCTTGTTATTTTCAGTTCAGTGACCCAGTCTGTCAAGATCCATTTGAACCTTCACCATTGCCATTCACCTTCGCATTAGCAATCCTAACCAGTGTTTTCTTCCTTAAAATTGACTAAGCAGTAAATGCTACATAGAACATTGTTCTGTAATCAATTATAAAATAATCTCTGTAAGAGAACTAAAAATTTAATTGGCATTGTTGAGCTGTGCCCGCTTCCCTTCTTTTGTGGAAGCCAAAGATCAATACCATAGAGATCAAAGTAGTGCAACGTTCCCTGGCCTGGGCAGCACTGCAGGCAGTAGTGGGCACAGAGGTGGGTCATGGGTCATGGAGCCTGGGGTGTGATCATGGATGTGTACATGGGTGTGCAAAAGGGAAAAAGGAAGAGGACTTCTGTGGGGCTCATTGAGAAAGAACAAAAGGAGACCTAGGAGGGCAGAACTGAGTGGAGACCAGGGACAGCTGATGCCAAGACCTTTTGAGATGTCCTGTAACCACTTCCACAGAGTTAATTTTGTGATCTACTTTCTGTTTCTCTGCATTTCAATACACAGCATTCTTTGGAAAGGAGTCTGTGTCCTTTCAGATCCTGCAGAGTGAAGGAAAAGAGGAAGAATCTCTGCCAAGAGGAAGCAGGGACAGTGAAAGCTCAATGTGGACCAAATCCAAAGCAGTGGAGGGAGGTAGGGCTGCCCGGAGCCCCCTTTGGCACAGCGCCCCTGCCCCACAGGGAAGGCTGCAGGATGGAGTAGGAAGCAAAGGCCTCTGCGCTTTTGATTGCATGCTGCCATCAACAACAGTTCTGGACATGTGCCTCTGACATATGAATATGCATTTGTTTATTTTTACAGATGTGTTCTACTGTAGTAGTGTCTTATGTGTAGAATAAAACACAAAAAAGAAGATAAGGGGTTGTGTGCCCAGCCCGGGCATGCAGTGGAAATGCAGGGCAGGGGAGAGGAGGCCTTCAGGGCACCACATGGGCCCCACGGTGCAGCTGGACTTCCTTCTCAACCCTCTTGCTTCCTTCAGACTGGGGTCAGATCAGCAAACAAAGGGCCTCTGATGGTGATTGTTGAATATTGCAAATATGGAAATCTATCCAACTACCTCAAGAGCAAATATGACTTATTTTTTCTCGACAAGGATGTGGCATCACACATGGAGCGTAAGAAAGAAAAAATGGAGCCAGGCCTGGAACAAGGCAAGAAACCAAAACTAGATAGCATCACCAGCAGCGAGAGCTTTGGGAGCTCCAAGTTTCAGGAAGATAAAAATCTGAGTGATGTTGAGGAAGAGGAGGATTCTGATGGTTTCTACCAGGAGCCCATCACTATGGAAGATCTGATTTCTTACAGTTTTCAAGTGGCCAGAGGCATGAAGTTTCTGTCTTCCAGAAAGTGCATTCATTGGGACCTGGCAGCAAGAAACATTCTTTTATCTGAGAACAATGTGGTGAAGATTTGTGATTTTGGCCTTGCCCAGGATATTTACAAGAACGCCGATTATGTGAGAAAAGGAGGTACTTGACTTCCTCTGAAATGGGTGGCTCTTGAATCTATCTTTGACAAAATCTACAGCACCAACAGCGATGTGCGGTCTTAGGGAGTATTGCTGTGGGAAATCTTCTCCTTAGGTGGGTCTCCATACCCAGGAGTGCAAATGGATGAGCACTTCTGCAGTTGCCTGAGGGAAGGCATGAGGATGAGAGCTGCTGAGTACTCCACTCCTGAAATCTATCAGATCATGCTGGACTGCAGGCACAAAGACCCAAAAGAAAGGCCAAGATTTGCAGAACTTGTGGAAAAACTAGGTGATTTGCTTCAAGCAAATGTATAACAGGATGGTAAAGACTACATCCCACTCAGTGCCATACTGACAGAAAATAGTGGGTTTACATACTCAACTCCTGCCTTCTCTGAGGACTTCTTCAAGGAAGGTATTTCAGCTCCCAAGTTTAGTTCAGGAAGCTCTGATGATGTCAGATACGTAAATGCTTTCAAGTTCATGAGCCTGGAAAGAATCAAAACCTTTGAAGAACTTTTGCCAAATGCCACCTCCATGTTTGATGACTACCAGGGGGACAGCAGCGCTCTGCTGGCCTCTCCCATGCTGAAGCGCTTCACCAGGACTGACAGCAAACCCAAGGCCTCGCTCAAGATTGACTTGAGACTAACTAGCAAAAGTAAGAAGTCGGGGCTTTCTGATGTCAGCAGGCCCAGTTTCTGCCATTCCAACAGTGGGCACATCAGCAAAGGCAAGGGCAGGTTCACCTACGACAACGCCGAGCTGGAAAGGAAGACGGCGTGCTGCTCCCCGCCCCTCTGGGAGTTGTAGTCGGCTAAAATTCTGTGGTCTTGTACTCCACCCGTCTAGAGTTTGACACGAAGCCTTATTTCTAGAAGCACATGTGTATTTATACCCCCAGAAAACTAGCTTTTGCCAGTATTATGCATATATAAGTTTACACTTTTACCTTTCCAGGGGAGCCGGCTGCTTTTTGTGAGTTTTTAATAGTGCTTTTTTTTTTTTTTTTTTTTTTTTTTTTGACTAACAGGAATGTTAACTCCAGACAGAGAAATGGTGACAAGTGAAGAACACTACTGCTAAATCCTCATGTTACTCAGAGTTAGAGAAATCCTTTCTAAGCCCAATGACTTCCCTAATCCAACCCCCGAGACCTCAGGGCACGCAAGACCAGTTTGATTCAGGAACTGCACTGATCACGCAATGCATCATGGACTCCACTGGGCCAGTCCCGCAGCCCAAAACCCAGGGCAATGAGCCCTGGTTTTATCTGAGCATTGTTCTCAGATAAAAGCCAGCCCCGGGGATCGCTGGCTGGCCTGAGCAACGTTTCGGGAGTCCTCTAACAGGCCTAAGACACGTGAGGAGGAAAAGGAAAAAAGCAGAAAACAAGGGAGAAAAGAGACACCGGGAGAAGGCATGAGAAAGAATTTGAGACGCACCATGTGGGCGAGGTGGGGGACAGGGCTCAGCAATGCCATTTCAGAGGCTTCCCAGCTCTGACCCTTCTACATTTGAGGGCCCAGCTGGGAGCAGACAAGACAGAGAACAGGGGACATTTTCTGGATTCTGGGAGGCAAGAAAAGGATAAACATCTCTTTTGGAGTTAAAGCACATTTTAAAACTATACCTATGGAACTGGTTCTATGTCCATTCCCATACATGGCATGTTTTGATTTATAGCACTGAGGGTGGTGCTCAACTCTGAGCCCATATTTTTGGCTCCTTTAGTAAGATGCACTGAAAACTTACCCAGAGCTAGGTTGTCTTCATGGCATGATGGTCTTACACTTAAAATGTCACATTCTATTTCGAGTATTAATATATAGTCCAGACACTTAACTCAATTTCTTGGTATTATCCTGTTTTGCACAGTTAGTTGTGAAAGAAAGCTGAGAAGAATGAAAATGCAGTCCTAAGGAGGGTTTTCTCCATACCAAAACTAGGACTGATGGAAGAAAAAGGTCAATAAGGTCGAGGGAAAACCCTGTCTCTATACCAACCAAACCAATTCACCAACACAGTTGGGACCCCAAACACAGGAAGTCAGACATGTTTCTTTTTCATTTTATGGGGATTCCACTGTCTCATACTAATCTGGAAAGGTGTGGAAGAGCATTAGCTGGTGCATATTAAGCACTTTAAGCTCCTTGAGAAAAAAGGTGGTGTGTAATTTATGCAAGATATTTCTACAGTTGGGACACAGGATATTAGTTAATGAGCCGTCACTAGAAGAAAAGCCCATTTTCCAAGGACTTCATGTCCAAAACACCAAAAGCAATGGCAACAAAAGACAAAATTGACAAATGCGATCTAATTAAACTAAAGAGCTTCTGCACAGCAAAAGAAACTACGATCAGAGTGAACAGGCAACCTACAAAATGGGAGAAAATTTTCGCAACCTACTCATCTGACAAAGGGCTAATATCCAGAATCTACAATGAACTCAAACAAATTTACAAGAAAAAAACAAACAACCCCATCAAAAAGTGGGCAAAGGACATGAACAGACACTTCTCAAAAGAAGACATTTATGCAGCCAAAAAACACATGAAAAAATGCTCATCATCACTGGCCATCAGAGAAATGCAAATCAATACCACAATGAGATACCATCTCACACCAGTTAGAATGGCGATCATTAAAAAGTCAGGAAACAACAGGTGCTGGAGAGGATGTGGAGAAATAGGAACACTTTTACACTGTTGGTGGGACTGTAAACTAGTTCAACCGTTGTGGAAGTCAGTGTGGCGATTCCTCAGGGATCTAGAACTAGAAATACCATTTGACCCAGCCATCCCATTACTGGGTATATACCCAAAGGACTATAAATCATGCTGCTATAAAGACACATGCACACGTATGTTTATTGCGGCATTATTCACAATAGCAAAGACTTGGAACCAACCCAAATGTCCAACAATGATAGACTGGATTAAGGAACTGTGGCACATATACACCATGGAATACTATGCAGCCATAAAAAATGATGAGTTCATGTCCTTTGTAGGGACATGGATGAAATTGGAAATCATCATTCTCAGTAAACTATCGCAAGGACAAAAAACCAAACACTGCATGTTCTTACTCATAGGTGGGAATTGAACAATGAGAACACATGGACACAGGAAGGGGAACATCACACTCTGGGGACCGTTGCGGGGTGGGGGGAGGGGGGAAGGATAGCATTGGGAGATATACCTAATGCTAGATGATGAGTTAATGGGTGCAGCGCACCAGCATGGCACATGTATACATATGTAACTAACCTGCACAATGTGCACATGTACCCTAAAACTTAAAGTATAATAAAAAAAAAAAGAGAAAAGCCCATTTTCAACTGCTTTGAACCTTGCCTGGGGTCTGAGCATGATGGGAATAAGGAGACTGGGTAGGAAAGAACGCCTACTCTTCAGGGTCTAAAGATCAAGTGGGCCTTGGATCGCTAAGCTGGCTGTGATGCTATTTATGCAAGTTAGGGTCTATGTATTTAGAATGTCTGCACCTTCTGCAGCCAATCAGAGGCTGGATGAGCAACAGTGGATTGCTGCTTCTGGGGGAGAAGAGTATGCTTCCTTTTATCCACGTAACTTAACTCTAAAACCTGAACTCTAAGTAACAGAAGAATGTATGTTTCCGTTCTTATGTGTCACATTCTTGTTTAAAGGCTCTCTGTATGTAGAGATGGGACTGTCATCAGCACATTCCTAAGCAGGCTCCACAAGAGCCCTGTGGTGGCTCTTGTGGAGGACTCACTAGACAGAAGAGAAGAGTGGGACAGACCTCGCCACCAAGATCTAAATCCAAACAAAACAAAGCTAGAGCCAGAAGAGGGGACAAATCTTTGTTCTTCCTCATCTTTACGTATGCGAAAGCACCTGAGACAGCTGGCAATATTATAAATCAGGTAACTGGAAGGAGGTTAAACACAGAAAAAAGAAGGCCTCAATCAATTCTCTACTTATTTTTCCAAATCAGATAATAACCCAGCAAATAGTGATAACAAAGAAAACCTTAGCTATTCACATAATGTCTTGATTTCAATAATCTAATTCTTAATCATTAAGAGACCAATACCCCTTTCCAAGAGAAAAGAAAAACCATTGGAATTATATTACTTCGCTTCTTCAAACTCAGGTTTGTAGCATGCATGAGTCCATCAGTCAAATGGTTCCATTTGGAGTCTTCATGTAGAAAGAAAAATGGAGGTTTATAATAATGACCTATCTAGTTACAAAGTGCTTGTTCATTAAAATAGCACTGAAAATTGAAACATGAATTAGCTGATGATAATATTGCAATCATTTGCCATTTATGACAAAAATGGTTGGCACTAACAAAGAACAAGCACTTCCTTTTTGGGTTTCTGAGATAATGTACGTGGAACAGTGTGGGTGGAATGGGACTGAAACCATATGCAAGTCTGTTTCTTATCAGTCCAAGAAGTGGCATCTAGATGTTAGTTTTAGGGATGTGTGCCTTGTTTCCTAGCCCATAAGAATGCAAACATCAAACAGATACTCGCTAGCCTCATTTAAATTGATTAAAGGAGGAGTGCATCTTTGACCAACAGTGATGTAATGGTGTGTGTGCGTGTGTGTGTGTGTGTGTGTGTTTTGTGCATAACTAAGGAAACTGGAATTTTAAAGTTATTTTTATACAAACCAAGAATATATGCTACAGAGATAAGACAGACATGGTTTGGTACTATATTTTGCATACCATCTTCATATAATAACATTAACTTCCAAAAACGTAAAAAAAAAGAGATAAAAGTATTCTATCCAAATAAATATAAATAGGAGTCCTATTTTCTTCCCTCACCCCCATAGAATATCTTCTATACCACCACCCTCAGCAGCCCCTACAGGTGCTCACCCCAGACTCAGCTGGAATAAAGGGCATAGCCTTGGACATCAAGCAGACTGGCCTCAAATCCTCACTCTGCAGAGGCAGTCTCTCTGAGTCTCAGTTTCCCCTCTGTAAATGTCCTTTCCCTGTGACAGTATATCTTAGGGCAATTTTAAGAATTAAAACAGATAATTAATGTAAATTTCCTGGAATACAAGAGATGATCAATAAATATTAGTTTCTATTAATCTAAAACCTCCCTCGGATTCCTTTGACTTTATTTTGCCACTTAATACATACCACTGTGTGCATGTATATGTGAGTGTATGGATGTGTGTGTATGTGTGTGTTTTGTATGAGTAGGTGTATAATTGTGTGCATGAGTGTGTGTTATGTGTATGGTTGTACCTTTGTGTGACTGTGTGCGTGTGAATGTCTTAGTGTACATGTACCAGTATGAGTGTACAGGTAAGTGTGTATTTGTGACTATATGTATGGGTGTGAGCATGTATATGTGGATACTTGTGTGAACTCATATGAATCTGTGAGTGTATGTATGTGTAAGTGTGTGCCGTGTGAATGAGTAAAAGTGCATTTGTGTATGAGTGTGCATGCATGAAAGTTTGTGAATATACATATGTGTGTTTGTGAGTGTGTATATAAGCATGTATTTTTATTTTATGGTGTGTATGAATGTGTATATGTCTGTGTATATGTCAGTGTATGTGAATCCATAAGTATATATGCATATAAGTGTATATGAGTGTGTATGAGTGTGCATGTGAGCAGCTTGTCTTTTCCACTAAGCTCTGTGCTCTCAAGGACCACATTTTATTCCTATCTGTATCCATCAAGGTGTCTGGCAAAGTGCTTGGTACTGGATATGTGCTAAATCCATGCTTCATGGCAAGACGCAGACTTAGCACCACCCCAGGAGGCCCTAGTGCCCCCTCCATCATCATGCAGAGAAATGGCCTAGGAGGCAGAAGTGCCGGGGCCAGCCCCTGGGGAAAGGCTCTTCAGAGGCAGTCTCCATGGAAGCAAGGGAGGGAGGCAGCCCTAGGGAAATGCAGATGATCATGTCCAAAGGGCAGGTACAGTGGTCCAAGAGTTTTCCTTCCTTCCCACAGATCCATCATGATTGATACTCACCTTGCAAAGTGCTTAATTAATGGGAGAGGTCCCTAAAAGCCATAATCCCATTTGACCTTCACAGTAACCTATATCCACAGACCAGATATTCTTGCTATCTTTGTTTTTAAGGAAAGGAAATTACAACCCACAAAGGCTATGACTTAATTAAGATCATTGTTGAGTATATCTAGCTTGTCACAACCTTGGGGTAAACAAGACCTTCTAAGTAAGACACCAAAAGTACAAGCCACAGAAGAAAAAATAGATAAATTGGACTACATCAAATTAAAAAGTTTTGTGCTTCAAAGAATACCATTATGAAAGTAAGAAGAAAACCCAAAGAGAGAAAATATTTGCAAATAACACATCTGATAAGAGACTTGTATCTAGAACACATACAATCATACAAATGGCAAACAACCCAATTTAAAGATGAACAAAGGGTCTGAATACATATTTTCTCAAAAAAGATATATAAGTGAAAAGATGCTTAACATCTGCCAGCAGGACAACGCAGATCAAAACCACAATGAGATATGACTTCACACCCCCCAGGACGGCTATAATCAAAAAGACAGACAATAACAAGTGTTGAAAAGGATGTGGAGGAACTGGAACACTCAGGTGCTGCTGTTGGTAATGTAAAATGGTGCAGCAACTTTGGAAAACAGTCTGGCAGTTCCTCAAAAGGCTAAACATAGAGTTAACATATGATCTAGCAATTCTACTCCTGGATACATACCCAAAAGAAATAAAAATCTGTCCACAAAAAAAAGTGCACTAATGATTACAATAGACTTATTCATAATAGACAAAAAGGAGAAGCAACCTAAATATCCATCAATTGATATATGGATACATAAAATGCAATATAGTGATACAAGGGAATATTATTTGGCAATTAAAAAATGAAAGAAGTAATGATGCATGCTGTAACATGCAGAACCTGAAAATAGTATGCTAAGTGAAAGAAGCCAGTCACAAAGGACCACAGGTTATTTAATTCCACTTATGCTAAATGTCCAGAGTAGGCCAATTTCTGGGGACAAAAAGTAGATTAGTGATTGCCTAGGGCTTGGGTGGCAGTGGAGGGTGATTGCTGGGAAAGGGGGCTGACTGTTAATATGTACAGGACTTCTCTTTGGGGAGATAAGAATGTTCTAAAATTGATTGGAGTGATGGTCACATAACTCTGTAAATACGCTAAAAACCATTGAATTTTACTCTTTAAGTGGGTGAATTATGTGGTATGTGAATTATATATCAATAAAGATGTTATTTTAAAGAAAAGATGGGGCACTAACTGGTACATGCTGAGGACATCTGGAGGGCTTCCTAGAAGGGCAACCTCTAAAATGAGTTGTGAGAATAAAGAAGAACGTGGCAGTAAATGGGGTGGAATGAAGGACATGCTAGGCAGAGGGATCGACAGATAAAAAGACTTGGAAGTGAGAGAGAGTTTGACTCATTTAAGGAACTAAAAGTAGACGAGAAAGGCAGGAGCATAGAGCAGGGTGGGGTGAGCAGAGAGAGGGAGGAGACCAGGAGTGTTCAGCAGGGCCCAGACCACAAGAAGCCTTGCAAGCCACACTGAAGGTTTGGGCCCAACTCAATCAGCAAATGAGTCAAACTTGGGGAAAGACATGATCATATTTGAATTTTAGAAGAATCATTCTGGCTGCAGAAAGGACTAAGGGAGGCTAAGACAGGAGATGGGGACTCTTTTTACCAGAAGGAGGGTGAGTTCCTGAAGGGATGAAGTGGTTGTGGCCCAACATAGAGAAGTGGCAGTAAGGACAGAGCCATGTGGACAGTATTCAGGAGGAGGAATCTGCAGGACTATGAAGTGCTGGGTGTGGCAGGGAGTCCCAGGTGTCTGTTTCTGGCCATTTCATTGGGGGCACCACCATCTACTGAGATTGCAGAGCCAGCTCAGGGGTAGGAGTGTGATGACGGATTGGGTTCTGGATGTACCAGTTTCAGGTGCATATGAGATGCTCAGGGGCACCTAGAGATGTGTGCTCCCAGAAGATCTTCTAAATGCCAGCATTTAATAACCAAAAGATTTCAAATAAGATCCAGATTTCTGGCTTTTCTGGAGAATGAGACTATCTGGCCACTCTGGGTTTGCATTACCTTCAGTCCCTGGCCAGACCTCTGGTCCAGGGAAAATGTGATGAGCTGGAAGAGAAAGGGCCAGAAGTCAAGGCAGAAGCAAACTTTTAGAGACAGAAAAAGACAAGACAGTAAAGGAACAGTCAGAGAAATGGGAGGAAAACTAAGAGAGGGATGTTTTCTAGGAGATAAAAACAAAAACAATAGAGCATTTCAGGACACTAGTGGTAGTCGTAGTGTCTGGTGCAGCTGAGCAGTTGAGCAGCTACAATGAGGCCTCTGGACCTCCCAGAGGGTTTAACGAGTGACTGTGGAGTGATGAGCTTCAGTGGAATGGGGATGGCAGACATCACATTTGAGTACTTTGAGGAGCAAATAGGAGTTGAGAACGTGCATTTGGCTTCACAAAGTTTAGCTGTGAAGAGAGGTGAGCGACAGGGCAGCAGCTGGAGGGATCAAGGGAAGGATTGTGTCAATGGGAAAGATGTGGGCTATGGAGAGAGAGAGAGAGAAGATAGGCACAGCTGATGGAGCAAAGTCATTGCAGAGGGGAGCCAGGGTGGGTGGGATTCGCCTTTACCATGTGTCAGTGAGAACAAGCCCAGGAGGGCTGAAAGCACGGGTGAAGTGGGAGGATTTCTGGCAAGAAGCTAAGAGTGTTTTATCCTGACACCTTCTATTTTCTTGGTAAAATAGGTGACAGGGTCATTTGCTGATGGCGGGGGCAGGAAGAGGGTCAGAGAATTTTAGTGAGTGAAGGAGTCTGAAATACATGTAGCACAGAAAGGGGAAACTCAAAAGTGTTGCTGGGTAGGGCTGAGAACCCCCCCAAGCCTGGAGGGGGTGCTCTTTGGCGACCTCCATTCTCCTAGGCTGCACGAGGCAGCCCCAGCAGCCCAAGGAGTCACCTGAAACAGGTGAATCACAGACTTCAGTGCTCCAGGTCCCTCCTCTGCAGAAAAAAACACCAGGACAATCTTCCTCCTTTCTACCCTGGGGACATCTTAAGCGTGAGCTGTGGCCAGAAGTCAGAGAGCATTTGAATCCACACACTCCAATGAGGGGCTTCAGCAGAGCTGGAGAGAAAACTCCTCTCTTTAAATTGTGCTATGTTTACATTTAAAAAGGAGAAAAGGCAGAAGGAGATCTTTCCTTAAATCTCACTATAAAACAATGCAATTAAACATGAGTTATGAGTGAGCATCTACACAGCACCTCATATTATAAGAGTGTTCATATTGACTGGCAATCATAGGTTATGGAGCAGTCTTTCCCATTTCACCTCACAGCAGCAAACTAATGTATCCAAAGGTACACCAGAAAGGTAAAACTAAATCTGGAATTCTGAGCCCACCTTGTGATGAAAGAAAGGGCAGTGGAGGGTGTTTGCCAACAATGGGGCCCCTTTCCTTAACCTTGAATTCAAAGTCCAGCTCCACTTTTCCCAGTTCATGACTTTGGGCAACCACTTCACCTCCTCTCAGCCCTGGTTTCCTCTTTGGAAAGTGGGTGTGGGCCACAGTATTGACCATTGAGGATGGAGAGCTGAAGGGAGGGTTCACAGGGAGAATGCACAGGGTGCATGGCACACAGAAAGCAGCCAACACAGGCGAACCTAATTATGACAGTGGAAAAAGGAACGGGGTGGTTTCAGAAGACCTACTCTCGATCCAGCTTCACTTCCAGCTCTGTGACCTGAGCAGGTCATCTTCCCTCTCTGGGCTCAGTTTATCCATTGACAACATGAAGTCACTGGACTAAGTGGCCCCTATGGCTCTTTCCAGCACTGACATCTCTGAGTCCCTGGGCCAAGGTCTAGGAAGCTATAGATGCAGGGACAGCCATCAGAGGTGTCCTGAGTCTTTGTGGGCTGAATAAAGAGGTTCAGGCTCTGTCAGCCAAGCCTGAAGTAGCCACTCCCTGACCTGGTCAATTAGGAGACAGATATATATATAATCTCTGCTTCATTCACTTGACTAATTTAGGGTATATTTTGATGCTCAATCAATACTTTTTTTTAAACCACCCTAAAACTTAGTGGTTTAAAATAACAAAGCCATTCATTATGATTCTGTGGATTGACCGAGTGGTTCTTTGTATGGTCTTGGCTGGTGCTGCAGGGCTGGCAGGTGCAGATTGGCCCCCCTCACAGAGCTGGCCAGGTGGTTCTGTGTCTACCAGGAGCTCTGCTGAGGCTGTTGGTCAGGACCTCAGCCCTCCACCACCTGGCCTCTCTAAACTGGGCTTCTTATAGTAGGGGCACTGGGATCCAGAGGGAGGAACCAAGAGTGAATGTCCCTGGAGGAAGAAAACAGAAGCTGCCAGGCCGTAAGACCTGGGCTCGGAAGTCCGAGCATATCACTTCCACATTTGGTCAAAGCAGGCACAGGGCAAATCCAGACATGAGGGGAGGGGACATACATTCCCCCCCTTGACACATACAGGAAAGGACATCGGACCTGATGGTGACCACATTTGGAGATTATCTACCACTGGGTACAAACACATCTTTTTTAAAATTTCATCAGTTAATAGTTCCAGAAAAATGGTGCCCAGTGCCTCCCTCCTGAAGCCTCCTTTTCAAATAACAGAAGAACACTGAGGGCTTGAAAAGCTTTTGTCCTTCTTCCAAACATAAGCTAGGAGAGAATGGAAGGGGCTATTCTGGTCACCACTACTCTGTTCTAGAGACATCACATTGTCAGTGTTGAAGCCTTGACTGGTGCAGCCCCAGGGACAATTGCTTGCTGATGAGGCAAGGCCCTCGCTGCTCTGGCTCGCTTCAGACTACTGTCGAGGTGCCACCCACCAGCCTCCACCTGGAGGTCCTTCAGCTCACACATGCTCCAAGCCTGGAGCTCCATCGTTCCCAGGGCGTGGCCCCATGCCATAGTCGCTGGGCCAGGAGGCTGCTGGTCTTGGCTGTGCTATTCCATAATCTCCCTGCATACACACAGCAAAGCCCAGGCTCTTGCATTTAGCTCAGACTGCCTTTGCCCTGGTGAATTTACCTTTGCCCTTGGCCTACTAGTCCTTTCCTCTCACCGTAAGCCACCCTGCCAGATTTGCTCGACTCAATATCTGCAGTCCCTCCCCTAACAAGGCTTCTGGCTCCTGATGTGAAAGGGTTTCCCTTCTACTAAAGTTCTGTGTGCTGAGGGCTCCCAGGACAAGCAGCTTTCATCAGGCCACACACTGCCCTTGTGTCCTGCACCCTCCCTGAGAGCAATGAGATCCTCCTTGCTGCCATACGCTATACGCTTGCAGAACAAAAAGGGGGAAACACAAGGAAAATTGTTCCAGGGGATCGTCCTTCTGGAAGCCTCCAATTAATTAGGCCAAAAATTAATATATAAAGTAAACACCATTAAAATGATAGTGCAAATAAAACCACATGCTAGTCAGTAATTATCAATATTGGCAGAATAGATTTAAGTTGATCTTCCACAGAGAATGATTTTTAAAGAAAACAAAAAACCCAGTATTGGTTCAGTTGCTCTATTCACAAAGTTGGCTATATTCTCACCTTGAGTTTATGTTCCAGCCCAAGCAGAATCCAACCCTAAGCCTTTTCTTTGTAAGTTTCAAATTTGATATAACTTCAAATTTTATGCAGATGTTTCAAGAATAGTTCAAAGAACTCTGTCCAAAGATCATCTTATCCAGATGCACCAATGTTAATATTTTGCCCCCATTTGTGTTATTCTCCTCCCCTCACTTCTCTTCATATCTAATTTATATATTATTTTCCTGAACTGCTTGAGAGTAAGTTACAGACACCATGCCCTTAAAAACTTCCCAAAAATGCCCCATGTGTATTTTCTAAAAGTAAGGACATTCTCTTACATAGCCACAGAACAAGGATCAAAATCAGGAAATTTAACATTCATCTCATGCTGTTGTCTGGTCCATCTTCCATGTCTACATTTCGCCAATTGCCCTTAAATAGTCCCTGGTGAGCTGTCTTCCCATAACCCAGATCCAATCTGGGATCAAGCTTTGCATCAGTCACCTTTCATCTAGAAGGGCCTCAGGCTTTCTGAGTTTGGCTCACTCTTAGGCAGGCACCACGGGGCTCGGAGTCCTTCGCTTTTCTGCAGCCGCACCTGCTGCCTGCCCCAGTTAGAGCCTATCCACCTTCTTGGTCCCCTAAACCTCCCTGGATCATGCAGTTCTCCTTCATGCTGAACATGGAGTGAGTGTTCTCTGTTGTTTTCTTGTGACTTCTTTCCAGTCAGGAAAATGTGATTCTGGTAACTCCATGCTTGTTCCCTTTTCACACTAACCACAGTTCCCTTTTTACAGTAATCACATTTTGGTGTAAAAACAATGTCATGATAAAGGAAACTTCCTGAAAAGGAATGAGAACATAATCCTCCTCTAAGAACCTGTTCATTTTTACTTGTGCCGGCCTAGTAATACATTTTATACTGCAGTCATTGTGCTCATTTTTTTCATCTGCCCTTTCACGTTTTCTAAAATGCAAATTGTTCCCTGTCACTCCCCTCCTATGACACTCAGGCCAAACTGCAGACACGACCTAGTGAGGGCCCTGCCTACCCTCATCCCCTGACATATGGTCCTGGTGCTCCCCACGCCAAGCCACGCAGAGGCTCCTGAATACACCAGACTCTTTCTCAGTTGTATCCTTCCACCCCACTCTTGCGTCTGCTCCATCAGGCCCAACTAGTGAAGTTCGCACAAAGTGCCTAAGCATCACCTCCCTCCTGTGCCTGACCTCACCACTCCAGCCAGGGCCACTCCCTCACTGCTTGGTCCAACAGCGGTTATCAGAGTATCATTCTGTTTTGCAGATGGGCTTATGTGCCCGCCTCTCCCAGTGACTGTGTGTTTCCTGTGGGCAGCACCTATATCTTTTATTTCAATGTCCCTAGCACCAGGCACAGTGCACAGAGGTACCAAAAAACTCTGCAAGTGAACATTGTTGCTGTAAGGCCAGCATCCTTCTTTCACCCTGTGTTCCCTTCTAAGCTGTGCATGCAAACACCCATCTCTTTTGAGCATCATGAGAGCTGCCTGGGCCAGCCTTCTCACTCATCATCCCCACCACTCCTCACCCCCTTGGTCATGCCCCGTGTTCTCCAGCTCCTCTCTGGATTCTGAGTCTGGTTTGAGTCCCACCTCTCCCATGGACTACTGGTGTAATCTTGGGAAAGATTTTACCTTTATGCCCTTGCATTTCTTGACCTCAAATCCTTTGCCTCCCCCACCTTTCAGCTACCCACACCACAAATCTTGTCACTTCCAGGATCTGCCCTATCAAGAAATCTTTAGCATCTCCTTCTCTAACCACAACTGCCTATAGTGCCTATTCTTGCACATCCTCCTTACCATCACCCCCACCTGTGTTTCCACCCCATCAAGCACTCCCTAGAAACTTCGACCCACCATTTCCCCTGGATATTATCATCCCCTTGCTGTCTTCACTTAATTCTTGATTAAGTCACATAGTCCTTACCAGTACACTCCATTGACCACACGTGAGGTGGGTATGGCCTCATTACCCCTGGACACTCCCTGAACATACTCCAGGTATGCTCTTCTGAGATGCCTGCCTGGAAGAACCCAACCTTGACCCTGTCTCGCAATCCCATTTCTCTAGTTTTGTGCCCAACCTGCTAGAGAAATTCATCCAGGTGTAGGGAAAACACAAATCCATGATGTCTAACGTCAGCTGGCCCTCGGTATCCGAGAGAGCTAGATCTATCATTAGAAGCCATGGTGTCAAGTACTGGCTCTGCCATTTTGGGCCATGAACAGAACTTCTACCTTGTACAAACCCGGCAGCACCCTCCCTTCCCCTCCAAAGCCAGCTCCCTTCCCCTCCAAAGCCAGCAGGTTTAAAAAAGTTCCAAAGTCTCATAATATATAATGCCCCAAATTTCCAGGTTTTTTAATGTGGTAATATATATATATATATATATATATATAATCAAATGTACCATTTTAAACCATTTTAAGGGTACAGTTCAGAGGCACTAAGTACTCTCATATCACACAACCATCACTACCTTCCATCTCCAGAACTTTTTCATCTTCCCAAACTGAAACTCTGTACCCATTAAGCACTAACTCCTCCCTCCCTCCAGCCCCTGGCAACCCCTATTCTGCTTTCTGCTTCTGTAAATTTGACTATTCTTGTTATCTTATGTAAGTGAAAACATACAGTATTTCTCTTTTTGTGACTGGCTTATTTCACTTAGTGTAATGTCTTCAAGGTTCATCCATGTTGAAGTAAGTGTCAGAATTTCCTTAAGGCTGAATAATATTCCATTGTACCTATATACCACATTTCGTTTATCCATTCAGCTGTCTATAGATATTTGGGTTGTTTTCACCTTTTGGCTATTGCAAATAATGCACTATAAACTTGGGAGTACAAATATCTGTTTGAGTCCTTCCTTTCAAATCTTTTGGGTGTATATCCGGAATTGGAATTGCTGGATCACATGAAAATTCTATTTTTAATTTTTCGAGGAACTG
Source organism: Homo sapiens (assembly GCF_000001405.40). Lineage (NCBI taxonomy): Eukaryota > Metazoa > Chordata > Mammalia > Primates > Hominidae > Homo > Homo sapiens. Next base: position 46,128,602 of record NC_000003.12, on the reverse strand, counting down.
TCATACTGCTTTCCATAGCCTCTGCACCATTTTACAATCCCACCAACAGTGCGCAAGGGTTCCAGATTCTTCACATACTCTCTAACACTTATTTTCTGGTGTGTGTATGTGCGTGTGTGTGTGTGTGTGTGTGTGTGTATTTCTTTTTTGCTAAAAGCCATACTATTGGGTGTGAAGTGGTATTTTCTTGTGGTTTTGATTTTCATTTCCCTAATGATTAGGAATGTTGAACATCTCTTCATGGGCTTACTGGTCATTTGTATCTCTTCTTTGGAGAAATATCGATTTAAGTCCTTTGCCCAATTTTGAATCAGGTTATTTGGTTGTTTTTTGTTTGTTTGTTTTTGTTTTTGTTTTTGAGATGGAGTCTCACTCTGTTGTCTAGGCTGGAGTGCAGTGGTGTGATCTCCCCTCACTGCAAGCTCTGCCTCCTAGGTTCATGCCATTCTCTTGCCACAGCGTCCCAAGTAGCTGGGACTACAGGCACACGCCACCACCCCCAGCTAACTTTTTGTATTTTTTTTAGTAGAGACGGGGTTTCACCGTGTTATCCAGGATGGTCTCAATCTCCTGACCTCATGATCCTCCCGCCTCTGCCTCCCAAAGTGCTGGGATTACAGGTGTGAGCCACCGTGCCCGGCTGGTTGTTTTCTTCAAATAGTTTTATAGATCAGCTCTTACATTTAGGTTTTTGATCCACTGCGAGTTAATTTTTGTATATGGTGTAACACAGGGGCCCCACTTCATTATTCCTCTGCATGTGGATAATATCTAGTTTTCCCAAGACCATTTGTTGAAAAGACTATTCTTTCCCCCCACTGAACAGTATACTAGTTGCCTAGAGCTGTTCTAACAAAATACCACAGGCTGGTGACTCAAACAACAGAAATGTATTTCCTCACAGTTCTGCAGGCTGAAAATCAAGGATCAAGGTCCTGGTTTCCTCTGAGGCCTCTCTCCTTGGCTTGCAGATGGCTGATGTCTTGTTTCCTTTCCCCCTGGTCATTCCTCTGTACACACATGCTCCAGGTGTCTGTTCCTCTCTTTTATAAGGGCACCAGTCACATTAGATTAACACTCAGTCCTAACAGCCTCATTTTAACCTAACCAACTCTTAGACTTTCTCTCCAAATATAGTTACATTCTAAGATAACAGGGGTTGGAATTTCAACATATGAATTTTGAGGGAATATAATTTAGTCTATAACAAATGGCCTTGGCACTCTTGTCAAAAATTATGAGAGTTTAATCGTGGGCCCTCTATTCTATTGCATTTGTCCACATGTCTGTGTTTATGCTATTACCATTCTGTTTTGATTACTATATCTTTGTAGTAAGTTTTGCAATTAGGAAGCGTGAGACTTCCAACCTTGTTTTTATTTCTATTTGGGCTATTTGGGTTTCCTTGAGAGTCCATATGAATTTTAGGATGAACTTTTCTATTTCCACAAAATAGTCATTGGGATTTTGATAGAAATTGCATTGACTCTGTAGATTGTTTTGTAATACTAATAGTTAACAATATTAAGTCTTCCAATCTGTAAACACAGGATGTCTTTCAATTTATTTGTGACTTCTTTAATTTCTTTCAGCAATATTTGTGATCTGCAATATACAAGTCTTTTACCTCCTTGGTTAAGTTTATTTCTAAGTATTTCAGCCTTTTTGATGCTATTGTAGATGGAACTGTGTTCTTAATTTCCTTCTCAGGTTGTTCATTGTTAGTGCATAGAAATTCAACGAATTCTGGGGTATTGGTTTTGTATCCTGCAACTTTGCTGAATTTATGTATTAGTTCTAACAGGTGCTTTTGGTGGAATCTTTAGGATTTTCTGCATATATGATCATGTCATCTGTGAACAGAGATAATTTTACATCTTCCTTTCTGATTTGGTTGCCTTTTATTTCTTTTTCATTCCAGTTGCTCTGGCTAAGACTTCCAATGTTATATTGAATAGAAGTGGTGAGAGCAGGCACCCCTGTCTCATTCCTGATCTTAGAGAAAAAGATTTCATTCTTTCACCATTGAGTATTATATAAGCTGTGGGTTTTCTTTCACATATGACCTTTATTATACTAAGGTATTTTCCTTCTATTCCTATTTTGTTGAGTGTCTTTTATTATGAAAGGGTGTTGAATTTTGTCAGATGTTGAATAATTGAGAGGATCATTCATTTTTTTTTCCTCATTCTATTAATGTCATGTATTACCTTGATTTATTTTTGTGTGTTGAGCCACCCTTACATTCAAGGATAAATCCTTCTTGGTCATGGTGTATAACCCTTTTAATTTGCTGCTGAATTTTGTTGTGTTTTGTTGAGTTTTGCATCAATAGTCATAAAGGATATCAGTCTGTAGTTTTCTTTTCATATGTTTATCTGGCTTCACAAATATGAGTTAAGAACTGTTCCTTCCTCTTCAACTTTTTGGAAGAGTTTGAGAAGGATGGCTATTAATTCTTTAAATGTCATTAGAACTCACCAGTTAAGCCAACTGTCTGGGGCTTGTCTTCGTTAGGAGGTTTTCGATTATTGAATTAATCTCCTTACTCATTATAGGTTTATTCAGATCTTCTATTTCTCCACAATTCAGTTTGATGGAAACTGTTCCTAGGAATTTGTCCATGTCATCTAGGTTATACAATTTGTTGGCATATAATTGTTCATAGTACTTTCTTATGATCTCTTTTATTTCTGTTAAAATCAGTAGTAATGTCTCCATTTTCATTTCTGATATTAGTTATTTGAGAGTCTTCTTTCTTTTTTATCTTTGCCAATCTAGCAAAGATTGTCGTTGATCTTTCTGAAAAACCAAATCTTGGTTTTATTAATTTTCTCTATTTTTTTCCATTCTCTTTTTTATTTATCTCTGCTCTAACATTTATGATTTCCTCCTTTCTTCTAGCTTTGTGCTTAGTTTGATCTTCTTTATCTAGTTCTTTAAGGTATAAAGTTAGGTTATTAATTTGAGATCTCTCATTTCTTCCAATGCAAGCATTTATAGCTATCAAAATTTCTAAGATTTAATTGAAAATCATTCGTCTTACTAAGGACCAGGAAGATCTCAAACTAAATGAAAAAAGGGGGAATGGAAATCAATAGATGCCACACCAAGAGATATTAGAATTATCTGACAATGATTTTAAGCAATTATCATAAAAATGCTTCAATGAGCAATTACAAGCACCCTGGAAAAGAAGAAAAAAATGGAAAGCTGCAGCAAAGAAACAAAAGGCTCAGGAAAAGCTGGGTGCAGGGGCTCACGCCTATAATCCCAGCACTTTGGGAGGCTGAGGAAGCACTTTCTCAAGGCTAGGAAGCCAAGCCAAGAACTGTCCACCTACAGTTCCTAGAGATTTGGATGAATTCCTCTCTTCTAGAGGTTCCCAAAATTTCCTGGGCCAGGAAGTGACCTTTGTTTCTCATCTGTGAGACTGGAAACCTATAAATCAGGTACCAGACCAGTTTGCCCAATAGGACTTTGTAAACATTGGCTCCATAAAAATCAGTCTTAGTTCTTAAAACTGTCTGATCATTTCTAATTCTGTGACGCATTCCCAAATATGACAATTGTTGCAGCTCAGGAAACAATTCCCCAAAGTATGACACTTTGGTATGCTGATTGATAAACAGCAGGAAACAGTGGATGCAAGCAGAGGTTCTCTGAGGTCCCCATATTTGCCTAAAAACAGATCTAGGAAAGATTTTCTCTCTGGAAAAGAAATCAAAGGTCAACACATCACCTAGAGAGGTTTTGCCTCAGGCTACCCGAGAGCTGCTACCTGAGAGGTTATATCTGCACAACAAGACAACTTTTGTTCACCATGGATTTTATCCCCAAACCAACCCCACTCACTGCCCCCCGCCACCTTCCTGTAATCTGTCACCATCTCCTCCTAGAAGCTTGCACAATTCTGACTGAAAAATTAAAGTTGAGCAAATTTTCCGCTCAATGGGTGCCAAAACCATTGCAGCCAGATTAGCTGCAGACAAGAGCAAAGCTTTAAACAAGGGGGATCAAGATCCTGAAGCATTTCTTTGAAGAACTGTGTAAGAGGAGATGGAACATGGCTTTACCACTACATTACTGAAGACAAAGTACAGTCAAAGCAATGGCTACCAAGAGATGGAAGTGGTCCAGTCACAGCAAAAGTGGAGAGCAAAGGTCATGGCAACAGCTTTTTGGGATGCTCAAGGCATTTTTCTTGCTGACGTTCTAGAGGGCCAAAGAGTGATAACATCTGCTTATTATGAAAGTGTTTTTGAGAAAGTCAGCCAAAGTATTAGCAGTTGAAGTTATCCAAGTCACTTGTGGCGAATTCATAGGGGTTTGCAGCAACCTCAGTTCTTGCCTTCTCAAAAGAAAGAATTTGACTAAGGGGCATAAGGCAGAAAAAAGAGACTGCGGCAAGTTTTAGAGCAGGAGTGAACGTTTATTAAAAAGCTGTAGAGCAGAAATGAAAGGAAAGTAAAGTACACTTGGAAGAGGGCCAAGTGGCCATTTTGGAGGTTAAATGTGGGCTTTGATCTTTTGACTTGGGATTTTATATGCTGGCATACCTCTGGGGTCTTGCATCCCTTTTCCCATGATTCTTCCCTGAGGGTGGCCCGCTGGCATGCAAGGTGGCCTAACACCCTGGAGGCGAGCATATGCAGTGTGTTTACTAGAATTGTATGCATGCTTACCTGAGGCATTCTTCCCTTTTCCAGTGGAATACCTACCAAAGGTCATACTCCACAATTATGCCTCTTAATGCTTGCCCAATTTTTGAGATGTTAATGGGAAGCGGCTGATCACCAGTTCCAGGTGTTTTAGCTATTGGGAAACTGCTTTTCCCTGGCAATTATGGTCACCTGACATTCCTGGTGTGGGGGAGCCTTCCCCTGCTCTGCTCATGCCTGGGTAGCTACCTACTCTAACAAAAGCTTTAGCAGAAAAATACTCAGAAAAGCTTCACCAGAGAGGCCTTCACCACAAGATTGCTCCTGCACATTCCCCCCATCAAATGTGGGCAATTTTGCAAGAGTTTCGATGGGAAATCACTGGGCATCCACCTTACGGTCCTGATTTGACTCCTTCTGACTTCTTTTTGTTTTTTAGTCTTAAGAAATCTTTAAAGGGCACCCATTTTTCTTTAGTTAGTAAATTTCTTATCTTTTAATTTCATTTTTCTATGAATTTTTTGAAGCCCCCTCATATAGCCAACTTATCTTTTACAGGTGCGTAAAAGCAATTCAATGGAGGAAGAATTGTCTTTTCAACATGGTACTGGAGGAACCCATAGGGAAAAAATTAACCTTAACCCAAGATCAAGCTACATACAGATCTAGAGAAAATTTGCAAACAATATGTATTAGTCAGGGTTCTCTAGAGGGACAGAACTAATAGGTTATATATATTATATATATATTTATATATATAATATTAGTTTATTAAGTAGTATTTACTCACGCAATCACAAGGTACCACAATAGGCCATCTGCAAGCTGAGGAGCAAGGAAGCCAGTCTGAGTCCCAAAGGTGAAGAACCTGGAGTCTGATGTTCAAGGGCAGGAAGCATCCAGCACGGGAAAAAATGTAGGCTGGAAGACTAGGCCAGTCTAGCCTTTTCACATTTTTCTGCCTGCTTTATATTTTCTGGCAGCTAATTAGATGGTGCCCACTCAGATTAAGGGTGGGTCTGCCTTCCCCAGTGCACTGACTCAAATGTTAAGCCCCTTGGCAACACCCTCACAGACACACCCAGGATGAATATTTTGCATCCTTCAATCCAATTAAGTTGACATTCAGTATTAACCATCACACCACATATCTGAAACACTTCTATTTTCAATATGCAAACACCTCTCAAAATTTAACATTTTTAAAAAACCCAAACAATCCAATTAGAAAATGGACAAAAGCGTAAAGAGATATTTCACTGAAGAGGTTATAAAGATAGCAAATAAGCACATTAAAAGATGTGCAACATCACTTGCCATTAGCAAAATGCAAATTAAGAGCTTAATGAAATATCACTACATATCTGCTGGCCAGGATGCAGAGAAACTGGATCACACATACATTGCTGGTGGAACTATAAAATGGTGTGCAACAAGTCTGGAAAACAGTTTAGCAGTTTCTTAGAAAACTAAACATGCAAATGCTTTATAATATAGCAATTGAAACACTGGGCATTTATCCCAGAAAAATAAAAAGTTCTGTCCACACAAAAAGCTGTATGCCATTGTTAATAGTTTATTTGTAATAACCCCAAACTAGAAAATGGCACAAATGTTCCTCAACTATAGATTGGAGAAAGAATTGTAGTACATCTATATCAAACACTACTACTCAGCAATTCAAAGGAATGAGCTACTGATAAACACAACTTGAATGCGCCTCGAGGGCATTATGCCAATCTCAAAATAGTATATGATTTATCATTCCATTTGTGTAACATTCTCAGTGACAAAATTATAGAAATAGAAAACAGAATAGTGGTTTTCAGGGGTTAGAGATGATGGGAGGGAGGAGGTGCTGGTGTGATTATCAATGGGTAGCACAAAGAGCTGTTTGTGATAATGGAATAATTTTGTATTTGAGGTGGGAAGATCGTTGCTTAAGCCCAGGAGTTCAAGACCATCCTGGGCAATATATCGAGACCCTATCTCTACAAAAAAATTAAAATTAGCTGAGCATGGTGGCACACACCTATAGTCCCAGCTACTTAGGAGGCTGAGGCAAGAGGATAGCTCAAACCCAGGAGTTCGAGGCTGCAATGGACTCTGATCATGCCACTGTAGTCCAACCTGGGTGACAGAGTGAGGCTCTGTCTCTAAAAAAAATTGTATTTGAATACAATGATGATCATATTAAATATGAACCTACACATGTGATAAAAATGACTTAGAACTACACACACACATTGTGCCAAAGTCAAATCCCTGTTACTGATATTGTACTATAATTGTGTACAGTTGTAACCACTAGGGACACTGGGTGAGGGGTTTGTGGGACTTCTCTGCACTTACTATTCACTACTTATGAATCTTTATCTCAACATTAAAAGCGTGAAGAATTTCCAGACCTAATTTTGTTAAAATCACCTTCCTTTCCCTTTCAGTTGCTGCCCAACTTTTGTCTTGCTCATTCTCTTCACATTTAGTTGCTCTACTCTTCCCAGAGTGTTCCTACTCTTTCAAGTAGTCCATATTCTGCCTCGATTTTTCTTTTCCATTCCCTGTACTGAGCACTCCACTGGCAACTTCCCAGCTGCAAAATGCAATTTAACCTGTTCAGTCCTTATTTCATCTACTTGTATTGTTATTGGATGTTACTGACCACTCCCACCTTCTAGACACTCTTTCCTCCTGTTTCACACATCCTCCATTCCCTCTGGGGTGATATGCCCTGGGGTTCCATTCTTAATACTCCTCTATCTCGTGGTACACACCCTCCCTTAGTGATCTCACCACAAATGGCTCCAGTAACTGCAATATCCAAATTGCCTGCTAAACATCTCCCTTGGGACATGCCAAAGAACTTCAAACCCAGCATGTTCTACATGAACCTGAATTCATTGTCATTCCTCCTGAACTGAATCTTTGCCAGCATCCTCTGATCTAAGTTAGGGCAGCACCCACCCAGATTCCCAAATCAATAACCTGGAATATCATTTGCCTGCTCTCTCAGCTCCCACATTCAAACAGGCACTGAGGCCAGGCAAATATGCTTCCTACTTAATTCCTTTGGAAGACATCCCTCTTCTCCACCCCAACCTTTCTACCTTAACCCAGACACATGACTTTGGGAACCTCCTGGTCAGGTTGACTGGCCTCATCCTCCACCCTACAGGCACAGAGAGCTGACTAAAATACACATCTGAGGATCCTTCTCCAACATAAAATACCTTCAATGGCTCCTCATTCTCTTTATAACAAAATTCACTCGCATATTTAACAAATTTTTATTAAGCATCTGCTATGCATCAGATACTATTCTAGGCATAAGGAATAGACTATTCAATAGATCCTATTTGGTAAAGCAATAAAAAAGCAAAGTCCCCACCTCCATGGAGCTTTCATTCTAGTAGACGTTAGGGTCAAAGATAGAAAATAAATACTAGAAGAAAAATACAGCAGAGTTAGAAGACAGAGAACAGCAGAGTAGGTGGCAAGAGCAGCATGCTATATTGTCCAAGTTTATCAGACGTAATCTCTCTGCTTAGGTAATACTATCAGGCAGACATTTGAGGGAAGAGAGGAAGAAAGCCAAACATACACCTGGGGGATAGCATTCTGGGCAGAGAGAAGAGCATGTGCAAAGGTCCTGAGGTGGAAGCATGATTGGGGAATGGCAAGGAGACCAATGTGGTTGGAGCAGAGTGGTTGGGATGGGGGAGGGATAGGACATATGATCAGAAAGGTGATGGGATCAGAACACATACGGTGTTGTAAAGAATATAAACTCCATAGAAAGCCACGTGAAGCTTTTCATAACCCAGTCCCTTCCTCCTTCAGCCTTCTCTCATACAGTTCCTCCTCCAGTCCCTTCCATCACACTCCTCACCTTTTACTCCACAGTCTGTCTGCCCTATAGCTAGTTAGGTAGGATGCCTGTTTTTCTCTCTGCCTGGCCAAGCCCTCTTCCTCTTCAAAGATCAGCCTAGACATACCTTGTCTGGGAAACTATATCCCTGACATCCTCAGGTTACATGGAGCACTCCTACCTGTGATTTCATAGTGCCCTGAAGCTAGATCCTGTAAGAGCCCTTAGTGTTCCAAATTGTAATTTTCTGTCAAGGTTGGTCATTTTTGTGTTCCCACCTCCAATGCAATGAGTGGCTCATAACAGACACTGAAATGTTTTAACGAGTGATCTGGCCCCCTCTGACCTCTCCTAACCAGAGGGGCAGATGTCCTGGTGTGTTCTTCTTTTGCCCTGAGCACCAGTTAAGTTGGAGTCCTTCTTATGTCTTAAACATCTATGCCTGGCTCTTGGTTTGAGCTGAGTGTATCAGGGTATCACCCAGGGCAGAATGGCAAATTTTTGCCAAATAAATTTAATAAGGAGGACCGAGGCTACTATATTAATAAATCATTACAGACTTCTCTTCTTGCTATGTGCTTTTTCCAGATTTTGTATTCTCATCAGCATGTGATCTTGTTATGACTACATGAATCAGCTAAGGTTGGAGTCTTCATGTATTTCAGCAAAAGTGCCAGGAGGGTGCCTATGGGAGGATGGAACAGCTCATTCGTCGCTGGAGAAGGTGGGATTAAAATTGGCACACACTTTCCAGAGGGTATCTTTCTCTAACTGTATTCTTAGATCTTAAAATTTTTCATACCTTTTGACCCAAGAACTTCATTTCTAGAAATTATCCTCAAAAACAAATCAGAAATATTTGTACAAGAATATTCAATGCTCAACTAACATTTACATTGAAAACTTGGAGGAAGCCTAAGTGTCTAACAGTAAGTTCCTGGTTAAATAAAATATGATGCACCTATATGATAAACTACATATATCATTAAAAATAATTTTGTAGAACTCAAATGATACAAGGAAATACACACAAGACAATGCTAAGTGATAAAAATGGAAAACAGTTTGATCTCAGTTTTACCAAAAAATAAAAAAAGACCAGAAGGAAACACCTCACAACATTAAAAGTGTTGCTGAGTTATGTTATTACAGGGGAAGTTTTGTTTTTATTTTTATTGTATTTTTCTAACTTTTCTATAATAAACAAGTATTACTTTTATTAGAGTGATTTTAATATTAATTATGAAATATTTCAAATATTCAAATATGCAGAAAAAAATTAACACATGCATTAGTTTTCTACTCACACACACACAAAAATTAATCCCAGATTGATTATGGTACATAAATATGAAAAACAAAATGGAGAAACTTTGATAACAAAATATAAAAGACCCTGTATGTGAAAAATCATTTTAAATGGTCCATTTTCAAGGCATGATAATTCTAAGTACTGGCAACCAGCCTGCAAATGTAATAAACCACATGGCTCATGCACCTAGAAAGTCACAATAAATGAACAGAATGTAGAGGAGGGGTCAGCCCATAAAAGGGAAGAAAGTTTCATTATTGGGAAATGGAAACTTAATCAGGGAAGGGGACCAGAGTATAACCTTATAAAGGGGATAATGAAACTTAGGCAATATCTGGAAAGATTGTAACCCCATAGTACTCAACCAATGAGGAACTGGGGGAGGGACTTGCATGCTAGGAGATAAATTACCTGCTGTAACTGCCCCGGGTATGCCTGCCTACCAGACACCTGATCTTGCAAGACTGCCATTAAAAGTCTCGCTTCTGCTGTTCTTCCTATCTCCAAGTATCTTCCTTGAGTTTGGATGGGAGAATATGTTTCTTACAAACTTGGGAATCCATCCGGGATCTCTGTGTTTGCATGGAGTGGGACTCTGGCCAAGAGGGGAGATGCAGCCCACTCAATTTAGGAGGCCCACTCTGTCCGGGTGTCCCAGCTCCCCATAGAGGCCTTAGACAAATCTGAGACTGTTATTCAGGAGGCAACAGAGGCAACACAGGGAAAAAAGCAGGCACCACAACAACCAGGTAACCTGGTGCACAAGCCAAGGTAGGAGAATTGGACTATAAGTACTGCCTTGGTGGTTGGACATTTTCGGAGGTTGAGCATGTGTGACTGAGATGTATCCTAGATACAAAGCGAGTGCAGAGTCCCAATCCGCAGTTCCGTTCTCCTGCAAGTAATTCTCAGGGTGTGCAAGAAACCTCCAGGAGGGAGTGTTGAGTACACAGGGAAACGCTCAGACACAGAGACTGACTGAAAATGGGAAACAGAAATTCTAGGCCTAGGGGACAAAGGAAAGAGGGAGCTAAAGACTCCCTCTGACATTCCCATGGATAGTCCTTTGGGGAGAATGCTACAGGTTTTGAGGGACAACCCTTGAACCAGGGACAAGGAAAAGCAAAAGATAATAAAGCTTTGCTGTTTTATCTGGCCCAAAGACTCCATTCATAATCCTTCAGTCTTTTGGCCTAAGTTTGGTTCAGACAAGTGTTGGGTGTGCTGAGCTTTAATTCTCTATGTAAATAATAAAACCCCATCCTCACAAGAAGAGATAGGTTATGCTGTCTGCCAGATCAAGGAATTAGTTCCCATGTTCCCCCTCAAGAAAGGAGAAAAAGAGCCTAGTAAAAGCTCTGGGACCCCCCTATCATGCTTGCCTCCTCCATACGTCTCACAAAATAGGGGACAGGAAGATCAAGGGGCAACAAAGGGATTAGGGGAAGATTAGAAACCATGGGGGAGCCAAACCATCTACTTCTTTAAATCCTTATCCAAATCTAAGAAAACAATTACAACAGTGTAAGAGGACTACTGAGAACTTCCCTATCCCTTCCGCACAGCAAGCATCTAGCATGTTCCCTCTTAGGGAAGTTTCCATGGGACTGGGAGAGCTTGGCTTTGTAAATCCTCCTCTTATAAGTACTGATGTTAGGAATTTCAAGAAGGAAATGAAACCACTCCTAGAAGATCCCCTCGGTTTAGCAGACCAGCTGGACCAATTCCTAGACCCAGCTTTTACACCTGGGCCGAAATGATGTCTATTATGAATATCCTGTTCACAGGAGAAGAAAGGGGAATAATTAGGAGAGTGACCATAACCAACTGGGAGAGGCAACACCCTCCCAGGCAAGAAGTCTTGCCAGCCAAACAAAAATTTCCAAATGTCAATCCCGAATGGGATAATAATGATCCCAGGCACCAGGCCTGAATGCAAGACTTCAGGGAACTAATAATTAAAGGGATCAAAGAGTCCACTCCTAGGACACAAAATGTTTCAAAGGCATTCAAGATTCAACAAGAAAAAGGAAGAAACTCCCTCTGCATTCCTACAGAGGCTCAAAGATCAGATGAGAAAACACTCTGGATTCTATCCAGAGGACCCATTAGGGCAAGGCCTTTTGAAGGTCTTTGTAACTAAGAGCTGGCCTAACATTATAAAACAATTACAAAAGATCGATGGATGGAATGAGAAACAACCAGGAAAAGTAGTTTGCAGAAAACAATATCCCATTTCTATTGAAGGGAGAAAAGGTCTCCAAGCAGTAATAAAATGATAAAAGATGGACTATTAGAACCCTGCAGGTCACCATACAATATTCCAATTCTCCCAGTCAAAATATCTGGTGGGTCATATAAATTGTTGCAAAATCTAAGGGCTGTAAATCAAATTGTCCAGACCCACCACCCTAGGGTGCCTAAACCCTACACCCTCCTTAGTAAGATACCCTATAAACATAAGTGGTTCAGTGTGGTGGATCCAAAAGACACATTCTGGGCATTTCCCCTAGACTTTAGGAGTAGGGACCTCTTTGCCTTTGAATGGGAAATTCCTATAACTGGGAGAAAACAACAGTACCACCAAACTGTGCTGCCACAAGTTTTCACAGAAGCCTCAAACTTAATTGAAAAAGTCTTAGAAAAAGTCCTGAAGGAATTCCAACCTTCCGAGGGAACCCAGATGTTACAACATGTAAATAATCTTTTAATTTCTGGGGAGAGGAGGCCCGAGGAATCAAAAACCACCCTAAACTTGCTTAATTTCCTAGGAAAAAGGGGATTACGAGTCTCTAAGAACAAATTGCCATTTGTAAAAAAAAGAAGTTAAATATTTAGGAGACCTGATTAGTGAAGGGAAGTAGAAAATAAACCCAAAGAAAATATCGAGGATAGTGGCTCTGCCTTTGCCTTAGACAAAGAGAAACCTCCAAAAATTTTTAGGTTTAACTGGCTATTGTAGGTTATGGATGAACTCATATGCTCAAAAGACAGAGATTCTGTATCTCAAGTTACTAAAGAGGAACCCAATCCCTTGCAATGGTCCCCAAAGGAAATTCAGGCAGTAAAAGAGCTAAAGCAGGCCCTCATCACAGCCCCGGCCCTGGCCCTTCTGTCTTTAAAGAAACTATTCCATCTGTTCGTCACAGTAGATCAGGGCATGGCCCTTGGAGTGCTCACTCAAATCTGGGGAGGGAAGAGGCAACCTGTTGCTTTTGTCTCCAAGCTTCTCAATCCTGTCTCTCAGGGGTGGCCTGAATGTGTGCAAGCAGTAGCTGCCACAGCCCTGCTGGTAGAAAAGAGTTGAAAACTAACCTTTGGTGGGGCCCTAATAGTAAGCATTCCATACCAGGTCAGGAATGTATCAAATTGAAAAGCCGGGAGATAGTTAACGGATTCTCAGTTTCTAAAATATGACGCCATATTACTAGAAAAAGATGATTTGGTTGTAACCACAAATGCTTGCCTGAATCCAGCCAGTTTCCTATGGAAAGGAGAGGAGAACAAAGAGATATCAGACTGTAACTGTTAGATATCATAGAATACCAAACCAAAGTTAAATCAGACCTCAGGGAAGCTCCACTACATGATGGGACAAGGCTGTTTGTGGATGGGTCATCCCAATGATAGATGGCAAGAAAAATAATGGTTATGCTGTCCTTAATGAAAATAAACACTCCTTATGTGAGAAGGGTAGATTACCTAATGGCTGGTGGGCCCAAACTTGTGAATTATATGCTCTTAACCAGGCCCTAAAACTCAAAGGCCAAAAAGGCACCATACATACTGATTCTAAATATGCTTATGGGGTGGTACACATTTTTAGAAAAATCTGAACAAAGCAGGCCCTAATAAATAGCAGGGGAAAATAATTGGTGCATGGGGAACTGGCCAAACAGGTTGTAAAAAGCCTCCTGCTTCCAGCAAAGTAGCCATAGTTTATGTAAATGGTCATCAGAAAGGGAACACTATAGAAGCTGCAGGAAACAGGCTTGCAGATAAAGCTGCTAAGCAAGCCTCCCTGGAGGAAGATATTATACTATTTAGCTGGATCCCAGACATTCCTAAGGTAGTATTAAGGCCCCAGTTTACCAGAGAGGAGAAGGAAGAATTAGACAGACTAGGGGTCACTTAAACTAAAAATAAGAAATGAGTACTTCCTGATGGGAGAGAAACAATCAGTAAACCCTGATGAGAGAACTAATGTCTATATTACACAAAGGGAGTCACTGGGGACCTCAGGCTCTCCGTGATGCAATACTACAGGAATTTTACCCTCACTAAACAAGTATGTGGAAGTTGTGTAATTTGTCAAAGGATAAACAAAAAGGTAATTAGAAAACAGCCCATGGGAGGAAAACCTCCCAGACTAAGACCATTTCAAAGCATTCAAGTAGATTTCACAGAAATGCCCAAAGTAGGAAAACTAAAGTATTTACTGGTGATCACAGATTACCTTTCTGGCTGGGTGGAAGCCTTCCCCCTTCCCACAGCCACCACCAAGAATGTGGTCAAAATAATATTAAAACAGATTGTGCGTAGATTTGGCCTGGTGGAAAATACTGATTCAAACAATGGGAGCCACTTTACCTCAAGGATGTTAAGGGGAATTATGTAAGGTTTACAAATTAGATGGGATTATCACACCTCGTAATGTCCCCCTTCCTCTGGAAAGGTAGAAAGAATGAATCAAACTCTCAAAAAGCATATCACCAAACTAATCTTAGAAACAAAAATGTCTTGGACTAAATGTCTCCCAATACACTGCTTAGGATTACAACAGCCCCAAGAAAAGACTTAGGATTGTTCCCCTATGAGTTATTACATGGGGTCCCATATTTAGGCAGAGCTACAAATCTCCCTACTATGGAAACCAAGGATCAATTCTTAAGAAATTACATACTGGCCACATCCTCCACCCTGTCATCCCTCAGGTTAAAAGGACTTCTGACTCAAACTCTACCTCTTAAATTCGCAGTTCACCACTTCCAGCCTGGCGACTTGGTGCTGATCAAGACTTGAAAAGAAGACAAGCTCCACCCAAGCTGGGAAGGTCCCTATCAAGTGCTCCTGACCACTGAGATGGCCGCGCAAACAGCTGAACAGGGGTGGACTCACTATACTCAAGTCAAGGGACTGGTAACAGAGACCCCAGAAGAGAGAGGAAAAAGACCAGTGGAAAGTGCACGGGTCAGCTGAGGAACCCTTAAAGTAAACTTTGAGAAAAATCTAAAAAGAAAAAATGGGCTGGCCCCATTTCTGAAAGTTAATATGGCTGGGATAGGCTACTATACAAAGAGCAGAAGCTCAAAATGTAAAATGGCAGGGGACTTCTCCCTACCCAATAAATGTAACCAAGATGGTAGCACCCCAGACTGTAAGATTTGATGCCTGCCAGGTCTTACTCTGTGGTAATTTAGAAAATCAGAGACTGCTCTTGCAGGCGAATAAATATATTTGCCCTAAACCAGATACAGGTTACAGTAGGGCATCATCCTGCCCCAGCTGGGATGATGTATGGTAAACTGATCAATTTCAGGGTTGAAGAGTAAACATGAGATGAGTAACTCTGAGCTGGAAACCCTTAAAGAATAAACTACAGCTGTCCAAGGGAAGGGCTCCTTGCCAAATAACTGTCAGAATTTAGAATGCAATCCTATACTCATCACCATTGACAATCCAGATGTTCTAAACCAAGAACCAAAAGTAGCATCTCGGGTATATGGGTTAGGGGCAGACATCACAAGGAAAGACCCCCCTACGGCAATTTGTTCTCAAACCAATCAAGAACTCAACCTCCCATTTGCCTGGGACTACTCCAACCCCAAACCCTAATAAACACTTTAGTCCACCAAATAATAACCCTAAAAGAGTAAAAATAATTGAGGTAAAGGATTTAAGGCAAACCTTAAAAATTAAAACAGGGTACAGGGATGTGAATGCCTGGGTGGAATGGGTCAAATTTTGTGTACAAGCCCTCAACAAGAGTAACTGCTACACGTGTGCTGTAGGACAACCTCAGGCACAGGTGGTTCCATTTCCCCCAGGATGGGATACCGATCTTGAAGGAATGCATTGCATGTTGGCTCTATACCAAAACGAAGATGCATGAAGAAATGAGACTTGTAAGAGTCTCTCATTGCTCTTTCCCACATTGCAGAGGTCAGATCCAAGAGCAATCCCCTTGTTCTCTGTAGGAAATATGAACCACTCCTCTTGCCTCTCTAGGCACGTGGCAGAGTTCAATAAGCCTGTGGTAGAATTCTCGACTTGTACCCACATCCTAAACATCACTGGTGAGTCAGGCAATGGCAATTACTCAGCCCTCACATACCCTGGGCTAATGTCTGGTGGTATTGTGGGAAAAGGAACCTCCATAACCTGTTACCCTCCAATTGGACTGGGACTTGTGCTATAGTCCAATTGGCCATTCCCTTCACCTTGGCATTCCATAAGATACCACAAAATACACATGGCCACCAAAACCAGAGAGATTTGACAAATTCTTTTAATCTCAATATATGTGTTGACTCAATAGGAGTCCGTAGTGCGGTGCCTAGTGAATTTAAGGCCCAAAACCAAATAGTGGCTGAGTTTAAGTGAACACTCTTCTGGTGGTCAACTATTAATAAGAATGTGAATTGGATTAACTACATCTATTATAATCAACAGAGATTCATCAGTTATACTCGGGACACCCTCAAAGGGGTGGTTAGCCTATTAAATGCCACCAGCCAAATGGCCTGGGAAAACAGGCTTTCACTAGACATAATCCCAGCAGAAAAAGGGGGTATATGTGTTATGCTGGGTAGGAAATGTACTTTCATTCCCAGCAATACTGCCCCAGATGGGACCATCACAAAAACTTTACGAGGACTGACAACTCTAGCCAACAAACTGGCACAAAATGCTTGCATTAATAACACATTTATGGGTTGGCTAAAAGGTTGGTTTGAAAAATAAAAAGGCTTCAATTTTTACATCTCTCATAATTGTAGCAGGAGTCTTAACAGCTGTGGGATGTTGTATTATCCCCTGTGTGAGGGGACTAGCACAGAGATTAATTTAAGCAGCTATTAGTAAATAAATGTCCATGCTTTACCAGCAAAATAACCTGCTACTAGTAGAATCCAAATTAAACTCACTCTTCCATAAGGAAGAAAGTGACTTCTAAAGTGATTCAAGGACCAAAAGAGTTTAAATGAAATTGAGACCAAAGGAAGTAAATAGAAAAGAGGAGGGAATTTGTAAGAAAATATTTTAAATGGTCCATTTTCAAGGCATGATAATTCTAAGTACTGGCAGCCAGCCTGCGAATGTGACAAATTGCATGGCTCATGCACCTAGAAAGTCACAATAAGTGGACAGAATGTAGAGGAGGAGTCAGCCCATAAAAGGGAAGAAAGTTTCATTGTTGAGAAATGGAAACTTAAGTGGGGAAGAGGACAGGGCATAACCTTATAAGGGGGATAGTGAAACTTAGGCAACGTCCGGGAAGACTGTAACCCCATATACTCAACCAATGAGGAACAGGGGGAGGGACTTGCGTGCTAGGAGACAAATTACTTGCTGTAACTGCCCTAGGTGTGTCTGCCTGCCAGACACCCAATCTTGCAAGACCGCCTTTGAAAGTCTCGCATCTGCTGTTTTTCAGGTCTCCAAGTCCATTCTTTGTGTTTGGACTGGTGAGTGTTTCTCACACTCTATAATCGCAAAGTAGGGAGGTATCTCTTCAAGAAGACAAGTGTCATTCAAATATTTCTGCATAACAAACCAGTACAAAACTTAGTGGCTTAATGTAATAAACGTTTGTCATTGCTGATGATTCTGCAAGTCAGCAATTTAGGCTGAGCTCTGCAGGGCAATTATGGTTACACTCACGCAACTATGGCCAGCTTCCAGTTTAGCTTGGGACTGGCTATTAGCTGGGGCAACAGGGGAGTCTGAGTCATACATCTCACCATCCAGTAGGCTACCTTAAGGTCATTTACATGGTGGCTGGCAGAGTTCCAAAAGAGAGCAAAATCTGGAAGGCTTCTGTGCTTAGAACTGGCACAGCATCACTTCCACATTCATTTAGCCAAAGCAGGAGTAGAAATTCAAAAGAGTGGAAATAGATTCCACATCTAGACAAGAGGAGCTACCAAGGCACGATGTACAGTCATGAATACCTAGAAAGAGAATATTGCATCCATTTGTGCAATCTACCAGGAGAGATAAAATATATAAACCATAAAGGAAAAGATTAATACATTTGAATACAGTAAAATTAAAACTTATATATGAAAAAAGATACCTTGAATATGTATTACTTTTATAATCATAAGGCAAAGTTAAAAATTAAGGATTTAGGATGCTGTACCCGACCACATTATTATTGTTTTTAAAGCACTAAAATATAATATCTATGCAAAAATCTGAACTTCCAAAATGAAGAAGTTATTAAATCAATAATTTTATTATGCTTGAAAGTGTTCTCCTCAAACAGATGCATTACAAACTTTAGTTAAATATTAAAGCCCTCCTACTGCATTTGAAAAATAATTCCTTCCCCAGAAACTGTTATTCCGGGAGATATCTATTATACGAAATAAGGTGTGTGCCTATGTAAAATTTTAAGTGTTTCACCATCTTAATTTCTTTCATTCCAGAAAAATTAGCAAACCAATCACCAGAATCTTGGAGGGAAGTTCTCTTTTTAAAGAAGCAATAAACCAGGGGAGCTGATGTCTTTTCTGTCTTCAGGAAAGAGTAAATAAAAGAAGGAGTGTGTCCAGAGAGTGAAAATGTTTTTTCTCGATCAATACTCAAGAGTTTGACCTCTTCCTTTTTCATGACTTTGGATGTGCCCCAAACACCAGACACCGCTATGGTCCTATCTCTGTGGCCCACTTCAAAGCCAAATATGAAAAATTTGGAGTCAGGCCATGTCATGAGTTATCCTAGTAACTTATGCCCCTTGACAGTGTGAAGAGAGGGGGTTGAGGTTTCTCAAGAACATTAACACAAATGCACCTCTGTGGGCAGCAAGAAGCCTGCTGGGTGTGTCAAAATCAGAAGAAAAACTTTCAGCTGAGAAAAGCAGTCCTGGTTCCTCTCTGGGTATCCAGATAGGATTGGTAACAAATAAAGGAGAGAGAGGGGTGAGGGGACCACAGGATCCTCCAGATGCTTCTGTTTCACCTTCCCCCCATCTTGTTTAGCCACCACACCAGCCAGCACCCTGGAAAGAGCCAGGGCTGGCTTAGAAACCTTACGTAGAGAACACTGGGGTAGTGAGTCACCACTGACTTTGAAGGGCCATCAAAGGTGACAGCTGGGAGGTGATGTGGTCTTTCTACACAGCCATGCACAGCAGCTTCCTGCCAAAGGAGGGAGAGACACGAATCACACCCGCAGGGCTTGCTGGCCCAGGGAGGGGGATGGCCAGGATGATGCCACATTTATATATGACCAGGGCCCTGTGAGAAGGGGTTCTTCAATTCAATAAAATGGCAGCATCATGGCCCTGGGCCAGCTGGCTCAGGCCTGGGAGGCCTTGAAGCACTGTGTGGATGGCCCAGGAAAAAAAGAGAGAGGGAGAGAGCCTTGGTTACACAGAGAGCTGCTCCCAGCCTGGGAAGAGACTGCTAGGGTAAGGACCACACAGTCCTACTCACAGAGGACCAGGAAGTTGGGACCTATGGTTGGTCCAGGAAGATGCACAGAGAAAGGGAACTGTAGGGAGAGGAAGTGATGTGTTTAAAAGCATGAAGCATGGTGTGTTGGAGAACTTCCCACAAGTTGGCATTACTAGTGTAAGACCATGGGCACTTGCTGGTGCTTGGAGGTATTGGGAAAAATTAAAAATCCTACCAACCTAGAGAATCCTCTCCACAATAGGTAGAAAAGAAAGACAACAGCTTTATTATTGAGTAAGCGTTAAACCAGATTACAAAGTGTATGGCAGGTAGCTGAGATGACAAAACCAAAAGAAATTTTTATACCGCCAAACAGTTACCATCCATTACATATCTGTGCTCAAGATTAACAGCAACTTGTCTTCCTGTAGGATTTGGCAGCACCATTTTCTGTGCATTCTTTTATTATTCATCCATGTTCACCTACTAATTAGCCTACTAATTGCCTATATCCGAATTGCCTTTGCCTCCATGACGGGCAGTAGTTACAGCTTGAAGCAGAGTGCCAAGGCCAAACTCTCATGATGACCAGGAAGTAGGGACGCTGTCTTCCTTGATGTTTTTATATCAAAGAGACGGCTCCCAGACCCGTAAAGCATTCCCATGTTGTAAAGCTGACAAGAGTCTTTCTTAGACTTTACAAATATTTGCAAACATATCAAAGGGACAGAAGAAGGATTCATAAACACTAGATTTCCCACAGGAATGTTCTAAGAAAGGGGAGGGGTTCTTTCCATTTAACCACCGGGAAAGTTCAATTTTTATATTTACCCTTGCATGGGTGATGATGAGGCACTGAGACATGGGTGTGGCATGGGCCTCCTTCCCCAAATTCTGTGGGAAATTCCACAGTCAGCTACCTTTCAAATTTCTAGAGGGAAACAATTAGAAAGCTGGCCAGGACCAAAGACCAACACAAAGTAAATTTCTTCAAGACTGGGAGGTGGGGACTGCTTTCCTGGGGGAATCAGACGGAAGGTTCTTTCAAGAAGCTTGCCCTATTTAGTTTGGTGTTATCTCTGCTCTTGTGAGAACTCCATGCACAGGAAGTGCCTGGCCAGGTGTGAAACCGACCGTCCTCACAGGTTCAGCCTTGGAGGGGCTTCTTTTTGTGGGGCACAGCATCTCTTTGGTGGGGCCCCTTCTTGACATCTAAACTACCCCATTTCTGCATGGCATGCAGTCATTTCCAGTACTAGAAACTTGCAAACGTTTCCAAAGTTGCTTCCGCAACCCACAGAAATTGCCCACAGCATCCCATCCTCCACCTCAAGTCACAGGTGTCCTGGAGCCTGCAGCAACCTCAGCAGGAGGGAACTTGCTCTCACAAAGACCAAAGGAGCCCTCAGTCTATTGTGAAGATCACTCCATTGCATCCCCAATCCACCTGCCAAGAGAAGTGGCCCCACTCAGCAGCACAGAGGCTCAAAAACAGACACAGAGGGGAGAGTATGACTCTAGGAAAAGTGGATGCTTTTAGAAGCAGCTCAAACCCATCATTAAGTCCTCAGGGTCTTCTCTTGTTAATTTTGTACCATTTCAAGGCCCAATGCAAATGTCCTCTCTTTCTTTCATGGAGTTTTCCTGCTTTCCTGCCATCCCCAATTGCCTCTGATCCTGCCCACCTCCCACCCTCCCCAGCCCAGAGCCTGTGTTTGCCTTGCTTCCATGACATCCTCATGTCAACTGGACAACTAAATAACTGCAATACTTTTTTTTTTTTTTTGAGACAGGGTCTCACTCTGTCACCCAAGCTGGAGTGCAGTGGCATGATCTGGGCTCACTGTAGCCTTGACCACCTGGGCTCAAGCGATCCTCCCACCTCAGCCTCCTGAGTAGCTGGGACTACAGGCATGTTACAATGCTGGCTAATTTTTGTATTTTTTGTAGAGATGGGGTTTCACCATGTTGCCCAGGCTGAATGCAATAGTTTTTTTTAAAAATTTTCAGAAGAATGAGGTAGCTGTGGAAATGTCTTAAAGTTAGATAACAGGGAAGTTTGCCAGATTCATCAACTCTTTCTTTCATACCATTTCACTCTACAGCATGTGATTCTGGTTGGTAACAGTTTACCCACAGCAGCAGTGCTTTTAAAATTAAAGTCTATCCTCTCAAACTTTGCCTCTGACTTATCAACTAAGTTTATGTAATATTCTCATTCTTCAGGAGCCACCACCCTGATCATTCAGCAGCCATAAACATCAAGACAAGACCCTCCATCAGTAAAAAGATTACAACTCACTGAAGGTTCAGATGATTGTTAGCATTTCCAGGCAATAAAATATTTTTAATGAAAAAAATGTGCATTTTTAGAGATAATGCTCTTGCATACTTAATAGACTACAGTATAGTGTAAACATAACTTTTATATGAAATGGGAAACTAAAAAATTCTTATGAATCACTTTATTGTGATATTTACTTTGCTATAATATTTGTTTTCTTGTAGTGGTCTGCAACTGAACCTGCAGTATCTCCAAGGTATTCCTGTACTTTAACTGGATGAATTGTATGTGATGTGAATTAACACTCAATAAAGCTGTTTTGAATTAAAATCACAAATATTCTCATTTTGGTAGACATCCTTCCATTCTCTGTCTTGTGCATTTTTATATACTTTAAAAAAAAAGTAATGGTCAGACTGAATGCATTGCTTTGTAACCTGCTTTGCCCCCTTAAGTCAGATGATGTATATTTTTCCCACATTCTTCTGGAACATGATGTTAGTGTTCAAAGACCAGTCTATTTGAGGCAGTAGAGCATGATGATTAAAAGTGTGCACTCGGGTTGGATCACCTGAGTTGAAATCTTGGCTTGATGAACTTGGGCAAATCACTCAACTTCTCTGAGCTCAGTTTTCTTATCTGTAAAATGGAGGAGATATCAATAGTACCTCTCTCACTAGGTTGTTGTGGAATATCAAATATATGGAAAGCACTTAAAACAGTGTCTAGCACATATAAGCACTACGCAAACTGCTGTTCTTGATTTGTTTATAGTCCCCTAGAGTTGAGCATTTAAGGGTCAAGTTTGCTATTCTAAGCATCACTGCAGTGACTGTCCATGACTTTTCCTTAAGATAAATGGAATTTCTGGGTTATAGTGTTTGCACATTTTAAGGTTCTTATATGTATTGACAAATGGCTTTCCATTGATAGGGTACTGTTTCAACTCTCAGCAGTGGTGTGTGGCAATGCCTGTTCTCCCATCAGCATCACCAGCAGCCCCTACTGACCAGCACTGGCTTGTTCCCTCACACACTCACATGCCTCATTATACATGCTTACACCCAAACGCACACACACACTCCACACACACTTACACACATAAGCTCAAATGCTCATACACACACCTACACACTTACACACACACCCAACATTTACACACCTACACAATTACACACACACCCAAACACTTATATACACACCTATGCACTTATACACACACAAACACACAGATTTATTAAGCTCGGATATAATCACGTAATGCATTTATTTTAAACCAATTTGATAGGCTGAAAAACATCCTCTTCCTCTCTTAATTTGCATAGCCCTGATTGTTAGCAAGGCTCATCGCTTATTGCAATGTTCACTGACCATGTGTCTGTAGCAGGATGTTGACAGCCACTTCTCTTGCTGCCTGAGAAATGGCTACTGTGAACCAAAGGGCATCAAGAAACAAACAACTAGGGGGTCAATCACTGCTTCCTTGGCTAATTCAGAGGAAGCTGAACTTTTCTGATACTTAGAAAGAAAAGAGAATATTAAGAATAGAAAGTCATAGGGGAGAGTGCTGTGGCTTTTCCTCTCTGGTAGAAGAGGTAGCTTTCCTGATCACCTCCATCCCTTCACTCCCCTAGGCCATGTGAGTAGGGGCTTCAAGAGAATCTCTTGTGCGTTTAGGAGGTGGCTTTGAGAACGGAGATTGACATCTTGCTCCCTAGCTGGAGTCTGTTTAAGCACGGCTATTTAAGCAGGGGAGGAGGGAAGACTCTGAGAAAGAGAGGATGAATTGGAGAAGGAGCAGGAATAACTTGCAAGGGGGTGGCCCTGCAGCAGCCTGCTTTTGCAGCATTAGGAGATAAGAATGCAAGAGTCTCCTACAGACCAGTTGGACAATCACAGAAAGCAGCTGCACTTGCACCATCTTGCCAGGACCTCACCCAGAAAGTCTGGCCACCTAGAAAGGAGAAACCTGCAGAACAAGAAGCAGTGGGTTGGGAGCTGAGTGAGGTCTGGCCAGGGTCAGACCTGAGTAGAACCACATCAGGGAGTGTACAGAGACGGGCTTTGAGAGCTCCTCCATGCAGCCCCCCATCTCTGGGTGGGAACAGGAGACAGTCACAAAGAGAAGGCTGCAGCCCCACCAGGAAGTTAGAGATTGTATCTCTCTCCTCCTCTTTCTCCCCACTGCCCAACCCTAAGGAATCAAGCTGGGGCGGGGGGGCAGGCAGTAAAGACAATGTTCCCTTCAAGGGAAAAATCTGGCAGGTGCTTAAGGCAGAGGATGAAACAAGGGCTAAATTGTGTAGGAGACTGGAGCTTTAACCTGCGCTGCTCTGGACTGGACCTGTCCCTTCTATATTGGGAAGTGACTGGAAGGCCACAGGAGCTGACCAAATATCATCAAAGAATGGGAAAGAAAAGCTCAACACAGGACAATGGACAGCAATGATTAGAGAAACAAAAACATTTATGGCCATGCCCCTCCACTGTCAGATAATTTAATCAATCTGCTACATATTTTTCTTCCTTTATAAATCCATAGGTTGGCAGTGCGTGGTAGCTCACATCTGTAATCCCAGCACTTTGGGAGGCCGAAGTGGACAGATCACGAGGTCAGGAGATTGAGACCATCCTGGCTAACACGGTGAAACCCCACCTCTACTAAAAATACAAAAAAATGAGCCAGGCGTGGTGGCGGGCGCCTGTAGTCCCAGCTACTTGGGAGGCTGAGGCAGGAGAATGGTATGAACCCAGGAGGCGGAGCTTGCAGTGAGCCGAGATCGTGCCACTGCACTCCAGCCTGGGCAACAGTGCAAGACTCTGTCTCAAATAAATAAATAAATAAATAAATAAATAAATAAATAAATAAATAAATAAATCCATAGGTTGTGCCTGTGACAGGTGTTTCTGGATCTTCTCTGCTAAAGAGGAAGCACTGAGAGGCTGAACTGTCTCTGACTAAATATTTTTAATGTTTTGAAAAGAAGCAAACTTGGGTCCTTTAAAAGAAAAGCAAGTCTGTGTTGGAGGTGTAGATTGGAGAGTTGGTAAATAAATTTCTCTTCTGTCAGTTTCACATTAGCTTTTCTGCCACCAGGTCCCAAAGCACTGTCCATTTCACCCCTTGAACCCAGCCTTATGCTGTCAGTTGTAGGGAAGATCCTCCCTGTGGACTGGAAAAGCCATCCCATAATAAAGAGCACACAGGGCCAGGCGCGGTGGCTCATGCCTATAATCGCAGCACTTTGGCAGCTGAGGCAAGCAGATCACGAGATCAAGAGTTCAAGACCAGCCTGGCCAACATGGTGAAACCCTGTCTCTATTAAAAATACAAAAATTAGCTGGGCATGGTGGCACGTGCCTGTAATCCCAGCTACTCAGGAGGCTGAGGCAGAATTGCTTGAACCGGGACCCAGGCGGCAGAGGTTGCAGTGAGCTGAGATCATGCCACTGCACTCCAGCCTGGACTACAGAGCAAGACTCCATAAAAAAAAAAAAAAAAAAAAAAAAAAAAAAGCACACAGAGGTGATTGCCAGCAGTCAAGCCACGTGGGGAAAAGCCAAACACTCCATCCCTCCCAGAAGAACCCAGTAAATAGGCGCCAGTGGACACCATGAGAACCCAGGGCTATTGGGAAGAAATGTGTAACAGAAGATTCCTGGAGGGTTAACCTTTAATGTGACAAGGTTCTTAAGGCCTCATGGCTTCACCAGTGTTCAGAAGAGGCAAGAAACAGGAGGGAGCATTCTCTTCCTTTGTAGAACACTTTGCAGTTATAAAGTACATTCTTATTTGAGTCTCATCACAATTCTTCAACATAGGTAAGGCAAGGCTAGTATCTCCAC
This sequence comes from Homo sapiens, assembly GCF_000001405.40. Taxonomy (NCBI): domain Eukaryota; kingdom Metazoa; phylum Chordata; class Mammalia; order Primates; family Hominidae; genus Homo; species Homo sapiens. The sequence continues at coordinate 46,103,011 of NC_000003.12, read as the reverse complement.
TATGCAGGAGAAACATGAGGCCCAGTAAGTTAAAGTGATATATCAAAGGTCATATGACTCAGCATGACAGAATCAGGTCATCTTGACTCTCCATTGCCTACTCCAATGTATAACTGGGGTCTCTGCTTAGGCCAGGGCAGCACCTAGGCTGGAAATCAAGTGGTGGGCACCTCTAGAAATGCTTGGTGAGATGGTCACTAGGTGACTATCAGAGTTTGCAAATTTTAAATCTTGCAATAATTCATTTTGTAACTATATTATATTGATATTCATCAACACTAACTGATTCATTCTTGCAACTTCTGGTGGTTTTTGAAACGTGCTTGTAAATTATTTGACACTCTGCACATTAAGAGACAGAGTCAGTATCCTCACCTCTTGAACTTGGGCGGGCCCTTGTGGCTGCATTAATGAACAGAATGTAGTAGAAGTGTGACTTCTGAAGTCAGATTAGAAAAGATCATGCAGCTTCTACCAGTGTCTCTTTAGGAAACTTACTCCAAGGCTCCAGCTGTCATGTAAGAAGTCTGGTTACCCTGGAGCCACTTTGGGGAGAGATCATATGGAGGAGATTGAAAGATAATGATAGATAGATAGATAGAAGATGATAGATAGATAGATAGATAGATAGATAGATAGATAGATAGATAGATCCTCCAGCTGTTTGAGTCCTTCAGCCCAGGTTCTAGACCTGTGAGTGAATAACTCTTCAGAATGGCCCTAACCCAGCCACTATCTTTTTGCACCTTAATGATAGACCACATAAGAACCACCTGGCTGAGCCCAGCCAACCCTAGAATGTCATTGCTTTAAACCACTGTTTGGGGTGGTTTGTTACACAGCAATAGCTAACCAGAGCACATCTTATCAATTTATCTAATAGGAGTTTATATTTATGCAAAAGTCATAATAGTATCCTGTAATCTGGGACTCCCTTGTCCATGCTTTTGGCTTGAGCTCCCAGTCCATATTCCAGGTAAAGTTATTCCCTTGGTGGCAGTGACTCCAAGAGCAGATATTGTTTCTGAAACAGAAACATAAATAGTCTTCATCAATGGCAATTGTTGTTATTTCCATTATTAATGAAACCATACTAACCAAATTAGGGCTGAATGTGGATATTAATTATTCTTCCCCTTCACATCCTCTCCTGCCCTTACTTGCTCTTTAGAAGCCTACTTTATAAGGAATCATGGAGTTTTAGAAAGTAAAAGCGATCTGGGAGACATCAGGACCCACCCAACTATTTTACAGAGGAGGAAAATGAAGCTGGGGAGAGGCTACCACTTGCCCCAGCCTGCACAGTTGATAAGAAGGCCAGGTGGGACTAGAACACAGGTCTCCAGGCAATCAGGTCCACATCCTTGATTCTCTCTTTCATCTCATTCTGTCTTGGACTGAAAATGGACTCTGCCACTTTTAGCAAGGACCCTCCTGAGGAAAATCCAGACCCTGAAGGCTGACCACTAGGTCATCTCATAGTTGAGAGGAAGCTGACTAGTGTCCTCTCAGCCACCTAGTATGACTCTAGGTCAAATCAAGATCCCATCCAGGTTAATACATTCATGTGAACAGCTATTAAAAACAAACAGAACAAACCAAAATGGAACCAAAACAAGCAAGGTTGGTGCTTTTTCTTTTTCACTGAAAGTGGGAAATAAATGAGAGTTGTCTGTGCTTCTTGATATTAATCGTGTGAGGTGGCAGAGAAAGATGTGGGACTTGAAGCAGATTCAAAATTCTCCCTCCCACCAAATCCAAAAAACACCAGAGATTTTTGTTCATTTGTTTTTGAGAAAACAGGCAAAAGTCTTCCAAACCAAGGAAGGAACAAGCATCATACCATACACTACTTTGCAAAGTGCGGTCAAAAGCAGAACTGGAAAATACTTGGCATCATCAAGTGGCTTCCCCCAGAAACAATAAGGATGGAAATGGGGTGGAGCTGGGTCAGAGGGATGTGGCCTGGAAGCTGAGTGGACAGATTCTAAAAAGTATTACTTAAATCCCCAATTTTAAGGAAGTTGATGAGGAAGGCTGATTTCTAGCTTCCTAGATGCTCAGAACACATTTTGGGGTTGCAATAAAAGTGGAAGTTATTGGTGAGGGCAGTGGCAGGGGGTGATGTCCTTCACGTTAGAGCCTCTGGAGGTTGGAAAGTACAAAGACCAGGGTGAGCATAAAAGGAAGTGATTGATGGAATGACTGGACCTAAACTGCTGTGGAAACTGGCCTTCACCATCCCACCTCTCCCTAATCCCATGGGCAGAAAATGGCAGCTTTTACCTTAAAAGCTGGAAAAATAATCCTTTTTTATTTTTATTTTATTTCAATAGTTTTCGGGGAACAGGTGGTTACAGGGATAGATTCTTTAGTAGTAATTTCTGAGATTTTGCTGCACCTGTCACCCAAGCAGTACACTGTGCCCAGTGTTTAGTCTTTTATCCCTTACCACCCTTGCACCCTTGAGAAATAATCTTTTTAAAAAGCAAATAAAAGCTGACTGGAAGGGGCTGAGGCTTCCAACATGGGAGTAACATCTTAGAGCAGGGGTCTCCTTGAATTGGTTTGACTTCTCCCACTCTCACAGAAGAAAGCAAGATTTACCCATCAGCACCCCCTTCCACAGCCAGAGAGCTCACAGTCACACCTTCTCATTCGCAGAAGGACCCCAGTCCCCCATTTACTTCAACTTAACAACCCAACCTAGAATGCATAAATAGAAATGAGCTGCCACAAACACCATTCACTCAGGAAAAGAAAAGGACCAAGATAAGTCAACAGAACAAATGAACTTGGAGGAGGTAGAACAAGGAAAGGAAAAAGAACTAAGTAAAAACCTTAAACTCTAATTATCCTCTTGGAGAACCAAGATGATACGTCCGTAAAACAAAACCCACACTTTGGGAGGCCAAGGCAGGTGGATCACGAGGTCAAGAGATTGAGACCATTCTGGCCAACATGGTGAAACCTCGTCTCTACTAAAAATACAAAAATTATCTGGGCATGGTGGTGGGCACCTGTAATCCCAGCTACTCAGGAGGCTGAGGCAGGAGAATTGCTTGAACCCGGGAGGCAAAAGTTGCAGTGAGCCCAGGTCACGCCACTGCACTCCAGCCTGGTGACAGACCGAGACTCTGTCAAAAAAAAAAAAAAAAAAAAAAATCTTCTATTAAAAAGGAGCAGTTGAAAACCAAGAGTTTGTTCTAAATCCCTTTTAAAATATATTTACTTTTTATTATCACAAATATAATACATTCAATTTTTTTGAAACCAAAAGTCAAAGACAGAAAAAATACATTAAAAATTCAAGAAGAACTTGCAGAATACAGAGTAAAATGACCAAAATAAAATGGGTAATTGGAGAAAAAAAATACATAGGGTCAATTTAGGTGGCTCAACATTTACATTGCAGGAATTTCAGAAAAGGAGAAGAAGGAAAACAGAAAGCAGAAAATTATCAAAGAAACAATTGAAAAAAATCTCCCGGAGTTGAAGAAAGATATAAGCTTTGGATTGAAAGACCCCAAGCACTGAGCACAATGAACAAAGAGTGATCCATAGAAATAACCTCTTGGAATTTCAGAGCACCAACAATCTAAGGAGATCCTAAACACTCTCAGAGAGAAACAAGAAACAAATAAACAACAAAAGAATAAGAACCAACTTTGGGAGGCCAAGGCAGGTAGATGACTTGAAGTCAGGAGTTTGAGACCAGCTTGGCCAACATGACAAAACCCCGTCCTATTAAAAATACAAAAGTTAGCTGGGTGTGGAGGCAGGCACCTGTAATCCCAACTACTCCAGAGGCTGAGGCAGGAGAATCACTTGAACCCAGGAGGTGGAGGTTGCAGTGAGATGAGATCACACCACTGCATTCCAGCCTGGACAACAAAGACTCCATCTCAAAAAAAAAAAAAAAAAAGAATAAGAACCAGATTGGCATCTTTCTCATTAGCAGTTTGCACCTCTGAAACAGAGAGGAGTTAGCTTTAAGGATTCTCAGACCCTGTTTAACTCAAAAGCTTATGAATCCAAATTTCTAGCAAGTGTGAGCATTGCCATTGAGATCATGCGACCCTGGCAATCTTGATGACAAAAATGGCTGGGCTCTATTTTCTGTTGTTGTTGGACAAGAATCTCCCTTGATATCTGAAGCTAAGAAGTGCTAAGAACCTCATGCTCCTCCAACAGCATTGCAATAACTTGCTCCAACAGAAGGCCAAGTCCACATAGATTAACCTTGATGTTCACGTAGAAAAAGGCCAAAGACCTCACACACTGAAGGCCAGCAATCCCCTGCAAGCCCTGCTCCAGCCCTTGAAGAAGCCAGCAATCATTTGGGCTGTGGCCTCCCACAGAGGAGTGAGTCTTCTCTGTTTTGCAAGAAAAGCAGGAAGTATGTTGAAAGTCATAACCACAGCAAAAAACTGCCACATCAAACTGAGAGGTGCTCTCTAAACATGGAGATATCATTCACCACCAGGAACCCAGATGAAAGTAAATCCCACTGTCCACAGAGTTACTTACACACCTGTTCATGTCTTGGCCAGGATTTTATCTAAAATGAAGTTCTGTGTGTAGTAGGTTATTAATAAAAGCAAAACAAAGAGAAACAGAAACTTCTACCCTCACCTGTCCAAGAGAAGCCACACTCGTGGTGAGATCCTGTAACAAATGACAATTAATTTGACCTTTCTAACTGGAGTGTCTGGAATTGTGGGGTCAGGTTTTGAAGATGAGAGGCTGTAACTAAGAAATATCCACTAGCTGTTAGTAGAGAGTCTACAACCTTGCCTTTTAAAGTGTAGTTCTCAGAGCAGCAGCAGCAGCTGCTGCAGCACCAGGAGGCTTTATGAGACACAGAGTCTTAGGCCACAAGCCAGACTGCCTTTCACCAAAATCTCCAGAGGATACATTTGGGCATTAAAGTTTGAGAGGTGCTGGTGTACAAGACCTGGGTGGATGTGGATGTGCATGTGCTGGGAGGGACCCTTCTTGGAATTTTGTACCAAAGATTGTGACCCTCTTAGGCAATCAAGTCTGAGTCATAGAGGAGGCCCCAGAAATTCAGCCTAGAAACGCCTGTGTTTAAAAACAGAAGGCCATGGCTTCCAGGAAGGATGATCTATTTTATAATACCGTAAGGTTTCAAAATGACTACAGCCCCCTTATCCGCCTCCACTGAGCTCCACACCGTCGTCTACCCTGACACTCTTGGTGCTGGAGACATAGGGGTCCGGAGCAAGGCAATCACAGGGGACAGGAACCTTGCTTTTTGAGACCCTGGGCCCCAGAACAGCTCTAGCCAAGGCTCCCACACCCCTCATTCTAGAAATGAGGGTTTTCTAGAAAGTCAGGCCTGCATGCAGGGAAGGGAGGTGAGGGTGCCCATGAGTGAGCCGCTCAGAAATCCCTTCTCCAGCCCCACTCTCTCAGTGACCCCACCTGGACATCATCTACTCTATCCACAAGAAGCGGGTTCAGCCGAGGGGATTGACCAGAAGCTCAGGTGTGAGCCTGAGGGCTGACTGCTGGTTATTTTTCTGTCCTGGAACACCTGACCCACCTGCCTGTCTTCATGTCGCCAGTGTGGGGAGGGAGAGAGACAACTAACTATAACCAGGAGGGTCCCCGCAGTGGCTCCGGCCTCGCCTCCCCTTTCTTGCCTGAGACACTAACTTAGTTCCTGGTTTGGTGCCTGTCGGCGCCTCCATTACCAGTAGCTTAGCTCCCACCGTGGGGAGGGAATCAAAGAGGTTGTGCCGCCCTTGCCATGTAGCTGCCCCTGAATCTCATCCAGGTCAGTTCCAGATTCTAAACTGAATTTTTTTCATGATATTGTCAAAACAGTGAGGAAACATTTTTTAAAAGCCCTATAGAAAAAAAGAAGAAGAAAGAAAGAAAGAATTGGGTTCAGCTGCAAATAACAGGAAAAAAAAATAGTGGCTTAAACCAGTGCCTCTCAAACCATCCTGTACACAGAAATCACCCGGGGATCTTGTTAAAATGCAGACCGTGATTCAGAAGCCCTGGGGCTGGCCCTGACGTTCAGCATGTCTAATGGGCTCCTGTGCGATGCCCAAGCTGCTGGTCCACAGAGCTCACTCCATAGGGAGGGCTTCAGCAAGACAGGAGTGTATTCCTCAGCCACAAGAAACCTGGAGTCTGGCCCTCCAGACTATATCCATCGCTGGTGATGGGACCATTGGTACACCAAACCTCAGCAACATTCAATTTACCCATCTAACAAATCTGCATGTGTACCCTCAGAACCTAAAATAAAAGTTGAGATAGAGGAAAAAAAAGAGTTTGTTGCTTTCAGCCTCTTGATTAGTGAGATGGAAACAAACCATCAATACACAATGCTGTCTGGCTTCCTCTGTGTGGAAAGTGCGGATAGGGATTGAGAGGGTCCTACTTGCCAAGGCCACAAGTTTGGGATGAGTCAGCTGCATCATACATCAGCAGATGAGCTGTGAGGCAGGGATGCTCCAATGGGCACAGAGCAGCCAGACCCACAACCTGCCCTGAAGCCACTCAGAGATCACAGTTCAGTTACAGGGTACATGGTGGGCGGCCTAAGAATGGGGAGAAACTGGGGACCTAGGACCCAGGACCTGGCCACACTGAGTGGACGAGATCAGCTTCAGGTCCCGGGAAAGTTCTTCCCAGAAGGCAAAAATGATTCCTGAAGCATATGGTCATTGTGATACCTTGGCTGGCAATATAATCTGTAGTCCAAACCAGGGACAGTGTTGAGAATAGAAAGCCAAAATCACTTAATAGGCCTTAACTGATCTGTGGTATGCATTAACCAGTTGTCGGCAAGTCCAGAACTGTGGACCTTCTCCTAACCCTGTGAGTGGACATCTGCCAGGTAAGCTGGCCACAAGCAGACTGCACTGGAACACTTAGGGTCTCCATTTTGGCCTAGATGATCCTCAGGTCAGGATTCAGACATGTTGGGCAGCATCAGAAGGACAGGGTGGGTGATTGTGGTCCTTGATAGCAGGCATAGGGCTTCAATAAGGAGTGAAAGCTCCTGTAAAGCAACTACTGACTGTTGACAGTGAACGGATTCATCAGAAACTCAACTCAGGCTGGGCGCGGTGGCTCAAGCCTGTAATCCCAGCACTTCGGGAGGCTGAGGTGGTTGGATCACGAGGTCAGGAGATGGAGACCATCCCGGCTAACACGGTGAAACCCTGTCTCTACTAAAAATACAAAAAATTAGCCAGGCGTGGTGGCAGGAGCCTGTAGTCCCAGCTACTCCAGAGGCTGAGGCAGGAGAATAGTGTGAACCAGGGAGGCAGGGCTTGCAGTGAGCCCCACTGCACTCCAGCCTGGGCATCAGAGCGAGACTCCGTCTCAGAAAAAAAAAAAGAAAGAAAGAAAGAAACTCAACTCAAACCAGCTTTAGCAAAAAAGGGAATCTGTGGGCTGTGTAACCAAATCACACAGAGTACAGAGGTGCAGCTAAACCCAAGGACAACTGGATTCGAAGATTTGAATATTGCCAGGACTTCCTCTTTCTTCACCTACATCTTCGTCAGCTTGGGTTGCTATGACAAGTTACTATAGACAGGGTGGCTTAAACAATAGGCATCTATTTCACAGCTCTGGAGGCTGGGAAGTCCAAGATCAAGGTGGAGACGGATTTGGTTCTAGTGATGTCCCCCTTCCTGGCTTGCAGATGGCCAGCATCTCAGTATGTGTTCCTATGACAATTCTTTGTGTGTGCACACTTGAAGAGAGAGTTTCAGTGTGTCCTCTTCCTCTTCTTTTAAGGGCACTAATCCCATCATGACTTCATCTAAACCCAATTACCTCCCAAAGTCCCCACCTTCCAAATACTATCACATAGGAGGTTAGGACTTGAACATATGAATTTGGGGTGAGGGACACAAACATTCAGTCCATAACAACCTATGTCTCTGATTCTCTCTGCATATTGGACTCATTCTCTCAGTCCAGCTGTCCCCACAAAGTCAAAGCCATGCCTGCAGGCAGCTCTGAACCAACAATGGCAGGGAGGAGAATCAGCATCCTCACCAGCTCCAGGTGGAAAAAAATCCCAGAGAAGGCTCGTGATTGGCTTTGTGGGCCCACTTGCCCATTCCTGGCCAATTGCTTTGGCCAAAGGGATGAGGCCACTGTGATTGGCCCAGGCAGATCGTGTGTTCATCCTCACACCACAGGGATGGTTGGATTGGTGAAAAAGCAGCTTTCCCCCAGAATGGGAAGGCTGTTGTAGGCAAGCCAAGCAATGAATGCCCATTGCAAAGGGAGCTGGAAGTGGTTAAGGGATGAAGCAAGGGCTGTGCTAAATGGAACTATTGGCCAGTCTCTGTAAGATGCCTGGGGCTGCTTAGAAATACTTTAGGGGACTTACTTTGCAAGGAGCTGAAATCATGAAATAACATGTTGTAAACCAAAGAAATGTGTTCATTACTGTTAATATAGGGGCTGAAGTACCCTGGTACTATGATATCTGCAATTTACTTAAAAATATATTGGCACTGAAAATGTAATCTAAGTGTGGGTGTAGCCTTTTAAATCTTCACTCCAGAGGAAGCCAGTTGCCCTAATCAAGACAACTCCAGGGTGGTAATTAGAGTGTAATCGGAAGGCCATACCCCAGACGGACACCCACAAGTGCTTCAGCTGTCTTCTTCTCTGATTAGTGCCAGCAGTTTTGTTCATTAATATAATGAACATGGACATGAGTTTTCATCAGTGAAGCATGAAACTCCACAGCAAGAAACTCCACAAACTTACATGAACAGGCCATTCGAATCTAATGGGCCTTTCTTCCTCCCTACTTAGGAATGTCACCCACGACATTTGTGTCAGCTTCTGGTTCAGGAGAATGCGGGCCAACCTCAGTCTGACTAGATGGTTCACCAATCCTACTACTAGACTGTTGTGATATTTGCCTTAACTGAACCTCTCTTTCATGCAAGATCTCGTTGGAACCTCCTAAAGAACAGAGATGCTGGACTTTATCACACTCAGGAGGTGACTGATGTGAGCCTGCTTGCTAATAAATGTCTGTTTTGGGGGGAAGAATTCAGTCTGAGACTTGCTTTTATGGTAACCTGCAGTGAGGCTGTGAGGAGGAGCTGGCCCTAAACACCTACTACAATGGTGGCTGCTTTTATTAACCAAAAAGAACCTCCCAATTGTACAAGATCAAATTGGGAAGTAGAAGGTGCCCTTGTAAGCTCAGTGTGTGTGTGGGTTGGGGAAGACAGTTTTCATCAGAAAGATCTATCATCCGTCATGTCTCAGGGTCACAACCACTAAGTCAGGAAGCCAGCCCCCAAATAGGTGGGGAAAGGGTTTTGGGTCTAAGGCAGGGCCCATTCTAGAGAGACTAGGGAATGAGCAGATTTCCATGAGGAAGAGAGAGAAGACCCAGGAAGTGAGGCAAAGGCCTAGCAGCCAGAACTGGAGCACAAGATTGGAACCAGAGCAATGAGAGGACCTCCATGGAGGTGAGCCATCCAGAATCCAGCAGGAAGGACCATGAGTATGGTTTTGGCTGTCACAATAAGAAGGCTAGAGAGACCCGGAAGCAAACCAAGCCTGACAGCCCTCCATCCATCTGAACAACACCCCAAAACTACCATGAGGAAATGCAAGGAGGTCAGAATTTACAATGCCTAACTCTTTATCAAGAACCTTGAACCATCATGTTTCCCTTCCAATGATCAGTATTTTCATGGTCATTGCAAAGACTATCAAGGAAATACCTTTGTAGCTGCTGGCATGAGGATTTCTTTGAGGAAAAAGGGCCTTTGAGAAGCCCACTTCTCAAAGAGTCAAAGGGAGCTTCCAGCCTGGACTTTGGGCTGTTCCCATATTTTCTGTGGAAGGAAAGAGATTTTCCATAGCATGAAGTAGAAACAAGGATCAGAGCTGGGTGCTGTGGGAAAGGCCAGGGAAGAAGAGGGGAGGCACTGCCATAGCCCAGGGAAGGTTTCAAGGGGTTTGCGAGACACATTATGTGTGAGGTTAGCTTTCCCTGGGTCCCTCTATTAAAATATGTAGCAAATTCTCACTGCTTATTTATGCATGTGCGCTTCCTACTGCCCAGGTGTTGAAACTGACCTAAGACAATTTGGTCATGCACAACCACAAAGTTCCTTTTGGTTACTATCAGCTGCCACCATCAGATAAGAGTGGAAACTCACCCACTCCCCTGCTATCTCAATCCAAGTTACCCCAGGAGCAAGGCTCAGAATGAATTCTGTCCTAAATAAAAACATTTATTAGCAAGCAGGTAATGTTTTCAAATGCAAGAGAATTGTTTAGAGCCACAAAGAGATGATGAGGATGAAAACAGAGACCTTAACCAAACATAAGCACATGTCTCAGTGAGAAGATATTAACTTTTTCTAACTATATTTATTTATGCACACCTGTTACTTCATTCAAACACTTATTGGAGACAGGAACAACTTGTGTTGCTTTCAAAATCCCCATGGGACCTCACTCTCCAAACAGCAGGGGTAAAATAAGATAAAACATGAACCTTGAGTGCATACAAAGGAGCCTTGTGCATTGTGAAACATTAGTGATGATTCTTTGTTCTGTGAAGGTTTAGACATTGCAGGGGTAATTATGGGATGTTGCACCTCCCAAACCAAGCACTTTCCCCCAAGGTCTACCAGGATGATCTGCAAGAAGACTCCCTCACAAAGACACAAAGGGAACCGTGGGAGTGGCAGGCTTCATCTGTCTAGCTGCAGGTGCAAGGAGGAAGTCTACTCCAGCAGGAAAGTTTAGGTGTCTGGAATCTGCATAGTTCAATAACTGCTGTGGTTTGAATGTTTGTCTCTTCCAAAAGTCATGTTAAAATTTAACCCCCAGTGCAACACTGTAGGGAGGTAGGGCCTGAAGTAACGTCTTTAATCATGGGGGCTCGGCTCACATGAATTGATTAATGCCTCTGAAAAACAGGCTCAAGGGAATGGGTTCATTCTCTTTTTTCCCTTCCACCATATGATGCCTTCTGCCACGTGATACCTTCTACTTTGCAATGACACAGCAAGAAGACACTCACCAGATGACTTGATTTGGACTTCCCAGGCTCTGGAATTATGAGCCAATAAATTTCTGTTCATTATAAGTTACCCAGTCTGTGGTATTCTGTTATAAAAGCACAAAACAGATTAAGACAGTAATAGACAAAAAAACAGATGAGCATATAGCACTTGGGCCCAACCAGACATATGCTAAGAGGGGCAGAATTCAGCACTCAACAAAGAAGACTCCAGGAGTAGTGATTCTCTGAAATCCAGGAGGATAAGCAGCAGGTGAGAAGGCACCTGGGACAACAGTGGGTTACAAGGCTATAGCCATCAGCGTGAAATTTTGGAAGCAGAGAGGACTCCAGCCCTGAGCAGCAACTGAGAGTGACAAGAGTACCAAGAATGGGTTCTGGAGGGACGGAGCTGCTCTCAGGTAGAGATTTGAATCAAGAGAATGAGAGAAAATCCAAGTTCTCAGAAACCAGGCTAAGGTCAGGGGCACACTGTCAATGCCTGATGCATAGACCTATAGTATTGAGCTAAATCTCCTTAAATTCCCCTTCCCAAAGTCAGGATTAATCCCAGAAATAGGAATACTTTCTTGAGGGTTCTTTCAGCTGCAAGTAACAGAAAACTGAACTTAAAGTGGCTTGAATACTAAGGAGACAGTTAATTCACAAAATGGGAAGTTCAGCAGAGCAGGCCTGTGCCAACCTAATCCAGTGGCCCCAGCTCTGTTTTCCACTGACAGTATTGACTTTGTGGCTCTCGGGGTGGAGGTTTCCACTGCTGCAGACTGGCGGCAAGCTGCTCCTGCCATGCTGGCCTTGGCTATAGGTAGAGCAACATGGCACGGTCAGCTTCCCTTGGAGCACATAAGCCATTTGGGCAGGGTGAATACCTGAACAAAATCAGCCTGTTGGAAGAAAGAAGGGGGGTGATTCCAGTGAGGCGACCATCAGAGTTCCCCAAGGGTGGGCTGGAGCAAGGGGGAGCAGGAGCCTGGGATTCTCCATGAGGCTGTGCCTCTGGCCAGCTAGGTAAACTGGGCAAGCCATTTCAACTCTTGAGAGCTCAGGGTTTTTCATCTTACAATCCAATGACTAAACCAGAGCATCTTCAAGGTTCTATCAAACTCTAAATTGTCTTTGACCCTTTGGAATTAGATTATTTAACTTAGATAGTAAAATATTCAATCATGACTCAATACAGGCCTTCAAATATGGGAGATTACTCTGGTCCTTTATGAGAGACTGTATTTTCCAAAAATGACCACAGCGACTTCTCCCATCCCACATGCCCATCTTCAATGGAACCTTGCCACTCTCCCATTAGGAAGGCTTCTGAGCTGCCAAACTTCACAGCTGACTCTCCCCGTGTTCCTCACGGAGCTTCTTCTGATGTCTCCAGGCTCCAGCCCCAGAAGCCCCTTCACCAGCTGTTTTTAGCAGATGCTGCCTTGACTCTTCACAGATGCATCCTCTGGGTGCTGATTTTCCTTGCTGTGGGTGTGCAAACCAAACCTCTCAATGGTTCTGTAAGATGGGCAGGGCAGATATTAATAACTCCATTGTGCTAGCCAGCCTCAGACGGCCCACAGTCGTTTGCACCATCCTTGAATAGCATTGACTTTTGTGACTAATAGGGTAGTGTAGAAATGACAGAACTTGACTTCAAAGGTTAGTCATAAAAGACAGTGTGAATTCTGTCTTGCTGTCTTAGATCGCTCACTCTGGAGGAAGCCAGGTACCTTGTCAAAGGAACTCCATACCTGAAAGACCCTAAGCTGAAACCACCCTGTGTAGTCACTCCCAAATTCCTGACCCACAGAAACTGTATAAGAAATGTTTATTGTTTAAGCCACGAAGTCTTGATTTGTTTATATAGCAAAGTATAACTAACATTAATATACCTATTACATAAATTAGAAATGAAGTCTCAGAGACATATAGCAACTAGCTCAAAGCCACACAGCTAGAGCTGCGGAAGAAGTGGGAAGAGAGCCTTCACCTTGTGACTGCTGATCCACACAACATGGGTTTCCTCATAGCCCCATGAGTCTGCACTTCTCTGATTTGGCTTCAGAAGGAGAGATGAGACTGCAGGCATGGGGCAGTGGTTGCCCAAGCAACCCTGGCACACTCAGGCCTGGGCCAACACAGCCCCTCTCACAGGAAACAGAGTCAGGGACGGGGGTAGATACTCTTGGCTCCCACTTGCTTGGGTTCTCTACCACCCAGAGAAACAATTCATGGAGACCTCTTAGGCCCATACATGCACATGCATCTTGGGCCTCCACTCGTGCTATACATGGAACTACCACTGGCCCACAGTGCTGCAACTCTTCCGGGCTGTGGTGGAAGCCTGTGATGCAGGGGCTTCTGCTCAGGGTCCCTGACTGACTGCAAGTCAGGGTCAGCCCTTGCTTTCCAGCACCCCACACTGCTGATTCATGGGGCTACTTTAGAGAAGTTGCCCCACCAAAGGGAGCTTTCAGTTCCCATGTGAGTCACTGGCCATGTGGATACCAGTCACCCATGCACAAGAGAGGCCTGGGCTATGTGAGTGCTCAGCAGTGAGCTGAGTGTTGTGGTCATGGGGTCAGCGAGTGACAAAGCCAAGCTGTCTCTGTTTTCTCATCCTTCCAACTAGATTGGACTTATTCCAGCAAGAGTTACTATGGTCCTGGGAGCAGGACTGGGATTGGGCAAGTCAAAAGGGTAGTTTAAGACAAGAGGGCAAGAAGGGCGGAGCAGTCACTGCTTGTCTCCAGGGTCTCCAGCCAAGACAGACTTGAGATGGTGAAGCTTTCTGATGAAGGACCTCAAAGGCCCAGCAGAGTGGCTTGTGCCTACATCCTCACATGGTATCCAAGCACCTCCAGGATAGGAGAGAAAAAAACAAACAGGGCATAGAACATCTGGGTTTTCATGTAAATTCAACATTCTACCACTTCGATAGCCATGAACAAGTTGTTGGCCAATTCCAGCCTCAGTTTCCTCATGAGTCAAATCAACCTAATGGTTTTCAGCCTGGGTTCCTTGGAGCCTTAGGGTTCTTCAGAGTTACCTTGGAGTTTGCCATGAGGAGGCATCCCCTACACCAGTGCTGTCCAATAGAAATATAAAGTGAGTCACATATGCAATTTTCAATTTCTGTTAGGCCTGGCGCGGTGGCTCACGCCTGTAATCCCAACACTTTGGGAGGCCGAGGGGGAGCGGATCACGAGGTCAGGAGTTCAAGACCAGCCTGACCAATATGGTAAAACCCCGTCTCTACTAAAGATACAAAAATTAGTTGGGCGTGGTGGCACACACCTGTAATCCCAGCCACTCAGGAGGCTGAAGCAGGAGAATCACTTGAACCCGGGAGACGGAGGCAGAGGTTGCAGTGAACCAAGATCGTGCCATTGCACTCCAGCCTGGGTGACAGAGTGAGCCTCCATCTCAAAAAAAAAAAATTGGTAGCTACATTTTTTTAAATCTAAAAATAAATAGGTAATTAGCCAGGTGTGATGGTGGGCATCTGGAGTCCAAGCTACTCAGGAGGCTGAGGTGGGAGGATTGCTAAAGCTCATGAGTTTGAGGCTGCAGTGAGCCAGATCATGCCACTGCACTCTAGCCTGGGTGACAGAGTAAGACCGAGTTGGTAATAAGTAAATAAATAAATGTGAAATTAATTTTAATATTATCTTTTATTTATTGAATAGATCTAAAATATCATTTCAACATGTAATCAACTGATTGCATGTATTAATAAGATGTTTTACATTCTCTTTATTGTACTAAGTCTTCAATATCTGGCGTATGGTTTGTATGTAAGCACACCTCAATTCAGACCAACCACATTTCCACAGCGCAGTGGCTGCTAGGCTGTGAAGCAGGAGGAGGAATTGTCTTTAAGAAGAGAAGACCTCTCTCTAGTGGACAAAACAGAAAAATACGAGAGACCAATGTATTAAATGAGCAGAACACTGGAAAGCACAGGCATATTTGGGGGAGCAAAGGGGTCAGTTCAGCTAGAGTGTGATTGGGAGAGTGATGGAGAAAGGAGGGAGTGTGAGAGAAAAAACCATGAGACCACTGGGCCTCTCCTGAACCCTGTGTTTTTCATGACATCGGTTTCTCTGAAAAGTGCCTTTGGATTGTGAACTATCACACAAAAGAGTTCTGTCTTTATAGCTGAGACTTAGTGAGGCATAGGGGATACAATGAAAGTAGAACATGACGTAATAGCTTAAAGCATAGACCATAGAACCCAACAGCCTGGGTTCTAGTCCTCACTCTGCCTCTTGTTGGCTGGGATAAATAGACACAGTTTCCGCATCTATTAAATGGGCATATGGCCATCAATAGTTCTTCCCATCCCTCTACATGCATGCCTGCTGTCTTCCCATCAAGATCTGGAGTTTACTTCCCTTCCTTTGAATCTAGGGTTACCTTGTGATTAACTTGGACAAATACAATGTGGCAGAAGTGATGCTGGTGGTCTCTAGGAAGCCAGCTGCTGACTGTAAAGCTTGGGCTAGACAAGCAAATGATGAGAAACCACATGAAGAAAAAAAGTCCACATGGAGGAACCTGAAGCACTAGACATGACTGAATTCTTCCTGAACCTTCAAGCTGAGCCACGGAAGAAACGAACAGAAGAACTACCTAGCTGAACCTCACCTGAAATTCCAGACCAAAGAATCATGAGAAATCATACATTGTTATTGTTTTAATCCACTAAGTTTTGAGTGGTTCTTTAGATACTAATAGATAACTGAAACAAATACGATATTTGCAATACTTATCTCATAGAGCTGTGTCAAGATCAAGTGAGATAAGGCATGTACCATGCAGTGCCTACGATAAACACTCAAAAATTGTAAATATTATTGTAATAGTAGTCATATGAGTACGGTCCATGATAACTATTGTCATTTTGATATTAGGACATGCCTAAGTAACATAAGCCAGACTCACCTACCAGTACTTTTGAAAATGAAAAGCTATTTCTTTGAGTGATCATTTGGTTCCAAAAATATCTTAAGCTGAAGTGTGGGCACTGGAAGTAGGAGGCAGATGTGGCCGTCCAGACATCAAGAATGTGCTCATAAAATAACGTATTTTTTAAGTTATCAAATGACAACAGATAATTAAAAATTCTCCCAGATGACTTGAGGACTACACAGAATACAATCCCATTTTAGGAAACACTGCTGCGCATGCCAGGGAGACACTGGGGACTTCAGGCAGGAGCAACATGACAAGACATTGCATGCTCCAGGCCAGCATGTGCAGAATGGGCGGGTGTGGGAGGATGGTGGAGGATCAGAGGATGAGAAGGGGAGTGGCACAGGAGGAGAAGAAGGCACAGGGGAAGATTTGAGTTCAGTTTGGTGTTAGTTGAGTCTGGGGTGGTGCTATCCTTGTGTCTTGGGTTGGATTTCTGAAATCAGAGCCTAAGAAAGAGATTCTTGTGCAAAGTAAGGCATGGAGAAGGGCTCTCAGGAGAAATGTGTAGGAGCGAGGGAAGCAGGATAAAGCAGAGGACAGGGTGGGCAGAAGTCTGGCCTCAGCCTGGCCACGCCCAGGGCTGGAGTAAGGTGAGGCACTGCAGAGGTGTCCCTCGCTACGACAGGTGGCTGAGCTTCTGTGGCCCAGCATCAGTCAGCCGCTAGTCATGGGCAGCTGGGAGGAGTATGAGAAAGCTCCAGAACCTCTAAGCAAGGCAGCACCCATCAGCTATGGTAGTGAGTCCCAAACATGTCTGTCTAAGGGCAACTCTTGGGCTTCAGAAATGCTGATGTCAGATCCCAACCTCAGAGATTGTGATTTCCTTGGCCTGTGGTGGGGCCTGGCTTTGGACATTTTAATATATCCCCAGGTGACTGGAATGTGCAGACGGGCTTGAGCCATCCTCCAGAGAAGAGTGCAGGTATGAGAAGTTAGCAGCCAGGACTCTTAGCACCTAAGGCATGGGTGCACCAGCAGGTAGAGGCATGGGAGAGCATTACAGTAACTGCTATGTCACAAGACATCACACTGCTCAGACTCTGTTGTGCCCAAGAATCTGCTGGGTCAGGGGAGTGTCCTACTAAAATGCAGAGTCTGATTCAGCATGTCTGGGTTGGGCCCAGAACTGCATTTCTAACAAGCTCCCAGATGCTGCTGTCACACCAAGGACTACACCAAGTAAGGAGGCCCTACACCAAGGTTGACCACTGTAGATCTGTAGCTCAAGAGGGAGGTTTGGACTGAATGTATGGGGTTGGGGGTGCCGGCATTATGCATGATTGTTGAGACATGGAAGTGAGTGGGAGTATTGGGGAACAGTGCACAGGCAGATCAGTGAGCCAGGCCAAGGCCAGACTCCTGACCTTGGGAGTGAAAACTGATGGCAGGCTTGCTGCTGGAAGGAGAGTGAACGTGGCCTATTCTTTCAAGAAATTTGCTGTGAAGGGGAGGGGCAGACAGGATGGAGTGCAAACTCAAAGTGTTTAAAATGGAGAAAAAAATACTTGGACCACAATACAGGCTGCAGAACAATTGTCATGATAAGATCGAAAGCATCAGAGGAATTCAAGAGGCTGGTTAGGAATAAAGACTGAAGCCAGCTTTGATGCTCCCTGGCTGCATGACTTTGGCCAAGTTACTTGCCTCCTTGTGCCTCAGTTCCCTAATCTGTATAGATGTAGATCACATTAGTACCTGCCTCTTGTGTTCGCGGTGTGATGAGTTGTGTTTGCGGTGATGGAACCTTTTTTTTTTTTTTTTAATAATATATGTCAAATGCTTAGAGCAGACATAGGCTGCTCCATGTATTAGCTATCATGATTACAGGAACTCCTTAAGAGGGGCAAGGTTTTCTGCAAGTGCTGTCCACCTAAAATGAAGAAGCTGAGCACAAAATGTAATTTTAAAGACTTTACTTGAGCCAATGTGAGGCCAGCTGCCCAGGACACCCTTCCAAGTTGCCTTGGGGAGTACTCCATCCAGCTTTTGTTGCATTCAGGCTTTAAAAAAAAAATCCAACTTTTATTTTAGATTCGGGAGGTACCATATGCACATTTGTTACATGGGTATATTGCAAGATGCTGAGGTTTGGGGTATGACTGATGCCATCGCCCAGGTAGTGAGCATAGTACCCAATAAGATAGTTGTTCAATTCTTACCCCACTCCTTTCTTCCACCCTCTAGTAGCCCCCAGTGTCTACGGTTTCCGTCTTTATGTCTTTGTGTGCCCAGTGTTTAGCTCTTGCTTATAAGCGTGTACATTCAGTATTTGGTTTTCTTTTCCTGCATTAATTCGCCTAGGATAATGGCCTCCAGCTACATCTGTACAAGTGGATTTTTAAAGACAAAAAGAAAGCAAGGAGTGAGCTGATAAAAAGTTGGCAGGAATTCTCATTGGTTTATAGAAATTACATTGATTAGGGATTGGCTTTACATTGTTGAGCTGGAGGATATGAGTTATGGCGTCCAGTGCATGGCATTTTATAGCTACTTGGCATCAGTTAGTCTAGAGTCCACATAGCAAGTGGCTTCAAGAGGTAATTACTTAGCTCAAGGGAGGCATGAGATGTGATAGCTTTTCATTCCAATGCTTTTCTGGGACTGATAATTTAAAAGGGCTCACATTCCTATGATTAAAAGTTTCCTTTTGCTCTCATTTCCTTCCTTTTGATCACAAATTTTTCTCCTCAAAAGCACTGATGATACAAATCTGAGTGCCAGCTTGTCCCTTGTCACCAGGAAGGCTCATTCCTGGGTAGCCCTGTCCCACATGGGGGAGTGGAGACATCTCAGTGAGGAATTTTAAGAGCACCAAAAAGCTGAATCAGGATGACAATACAGAATGGCAAAAGTGAGTCCACAAAGTATTGACTTACATAGCTGCTGTTGTTTGCTCCATCATCGCCAGTCTCTGGAATACCATGATTTTCATTTTCTCAGAAGAAATAAAACAATGAAAGATATCTAGCATTAATTGGAATAATAGAAATATATAATGCACATAGGATTAGAACCAAAAAGAGAATTTTTATGCCAGAATGAAAAAGGAATCTAGTCTGTTAAGAGTCAACTAAAAACCTCCTGAAGAAAATTAAATCTCAGTTTTTCTTTAGAGACCTGTAGTCAAGCAGCTTCTTCCCTGATTTTTCCTAGGTGAGTTTCTACTTCATGGGAAATACTTATGTATATACAACAAGAGGTATTTGCCACCACATATCCACCTCCTTGCTCAGCTAATATAGAATCTAAAGCAATGTGATTGTCTAGCACAACCTTAGTCAGTAAATCTGTAGCTTTTTGTTGAGCTGTGATGGAGACAGCAGTTTCATCAGCAATGTTTCCTAGGGTTTTAGAAGGATTTTAGATCATGTGTTCATGGGAAGTTACATCCAACAAAGGCAAAAGTATTCTCAAAGAAAAAAAAATGCATGGAGCTATCTTCTTGATGGCCAGCCAGATAATTAGCACATTTTCTCTAAATAGAATCTCCATCTAAGGTAGATCTGCAGTCATGCCTAGAGAAAAGTTTGAGGGAACTAGTCCAGTGCTGAGTTTCTTCAGAGCTGTATATAGAGAGAAGGGTAACGAAATATCCTAAGACATATTGCCCTTCAACATTCCATGCTCTTAGACACTTACAGGACCATGGCTGGTGATTTTCTCCACAGACTATAATAAATCCTGGTGGAGCACAGATAAGTACACTATAATTTAAGAACATCAGTTTTGAGGCATTACTGGATCAATGGGTCAGAAATGTTAAAGCAAGAAGACAGGATCCTGATAGCTGGAGGGGCTGTTTTCTTTGGATTTTCTAACAACATCATGGATTTTAGTACTGTCATTAGTGAGTAACGCAGCAGTGATTTTTGACAAAAGAATTCTGATGAGTTACATTGAAACATAGGACAAACAGGTTAGGATGAGTCAGGCAGACCTGATTAACAGGTTTGCTTTTATGTGGCCCTGAGTTGTGTTACAAGTGCTATCATGAACACTGGTGAAATTTAGGGCAGAATGTACCAGTGGGTCATTGTGGTCAAAAGTAGTTTTTGGTTTAGGGTAGCAAACCCAGCATCTCTTCAGATTTCCAGCAGTGGCAATGGTGTGTGGGATTCTGATCAGAGAATTATCCCTCCATGCTACAGTCAAATTTATCAGGGACGGCAAAAACAGAAACCTAGGCCAGGTGCAGTGGCTAATGCCTGTAATCCCAGCACTTTGAGAGGCCGAGGTGGGAGAATTACTTAAGGCCAGGAGTTTGAGACCAGTGTGGTCAACATAGCAAGACCCTTCTCTACAATTTTTTTTTTAATTAGCTGGGTGTGGTGGTGCACTTCTGTTGCCCCAGCTACTCGGGAAGCTGAGTCGGGAGGATTGCTTGAGCCCAGGAGTTGGAGGCCGCAGTGAGTTATGATCATGTTACTACATTCCAGCATGGGCAACAGAGCAAAACCCCATCTCTAAAAAAAGGAAAAAAAAAAAAAAAAAAAAAAGGAGCCTGATTATAGGCATTTGTTTACATATATCCTAAGAGAATATATGTGTGTGTGTGTGTGTGTGTATGCATGTATATATGCACATATAAATATATATATGATGATTTTACCAAAACAATTTTATCCAAGAGAGGATACTCACAGTATGGAGGCCTAACGCCATAAGTATTCCAGTCAATAGAAAAAGGAGAGCAAATATTTCAGGTGTGGTAGGCATTAGAATCATGAAGAACAAGTTATACAGGCTTGGTCTGGTATCTTGGGTGAAAACAGGTGACCACAAATGTCAGCTACTTTCCATTCTGGTCAGGAAGACTGCAAGTCAATTCCACTAAGATCTCCCATGATGAAAGACGTCCCCTCAGGTAGGGTTGTCTTTTTAAAATGAGAAATATGAATCTATGCATCAATGCCTTTAAGTTTAGTGGCACAGGGATTGGCCAATAGTACCTGATATGGTCCCTTCCCACTGGGTGAGAAGGAATCTTTTATTCGACATCCTTTCCAGTAATCAAAATCTCCACATATTCTCACTTGTAAGTGGGAGCTAAACATTGGGTACACACGAACATAAAGACGGAAACAAGAGACACAGGGAACTATGAGAAGGGAAAGGAAGGCAGGGAGGCAAGTGCTGAAAAACTAACTATTGGGTACTATGCTCACTACCTGAATGACGGGTTCAACCACACCCCAACCTCGGCATCACACAATATGCCCTTATAACAAAGCTGCATGTGTATCCCCAAATCTAGAATAAGATTTTTAAAAAAAAAAAAGAAAAAAAGAAAAGGAATAGTTGCAAATCACTCTAGTGGGAAATTCACAAAGGGCAAAAATGCTTGCAATGCCAAAACTACTTCACTGGTCTGTCAAATATTAGACATCAGAGACCTTTAAAAAGAAAAAAGAAATCTCCAGTTACAGGCCATGATTTTTGATGATTTCATCTCCCCAGAGCTCTCTGCAGAAGGAACTCTTGATTAATTTTGAGTTCTTAATAAGAAGTATTCTGAGACTGTGGCAGTAATGGAGGATATCACCTTTAAGAAATGCAAGTTCATAAGTTCCTTCATCTAGTCACGTGGGCCTTCCTGTTATTATTTTGAAGAGAGAGAGCTGGTGTTTTCCAAATGGTGTGGATCACAGGCTGAGCAGAACTAATGAGACAGCCTTTGGCCAGGAGAGGTTAAAAACTTCAATTAGTTTGGCCATTGAGTTTTTATTATACCATTGGTGTGTTTCACCAGTCCAGAGGATTGGGGGTTAAAAGCACAATTGGAATATAGGCCAAATGTTGCAAATGGATTGAATTACTTGACCAGTAAAATGTGTTTCTTGGCCGTTCTGGAGCTCAGATGAAACTCCCCATGAAGGAATTATCTTTTCTAATAACAATTTTCTTACTACTTGGACCATGGCTCATTGGCACGGGCAGGTTTCATCCCAATGAGAAAACACATAAATTAGCACCAGAACATATCTATAACCCTGAGACAGGGGCAGCTGGATAAAGTCCAATTGCCATATATCAAAGGGTCCTAAAGGTAAAGGAAAATGTCCCTGTAACCTATGAAGGAGTTTTCCAGGATTATGTTTGGGACAAACCATCAGCAAGAATAAACAAGAGGGGATGGTTTCCAATAATATTGCTTTCCCCAAGCTGTCGTTTCATCTGGATTCCAATGAGTCAGCTCATAAACACATCATTTAAAGGGTAATTGAAGCCCTAAGGGAAAGATTGGTCTATCATTAAGTCCACATCATAAGCCTGTTTCTGGGGAAAACTTGGTTCCTTTATCTTTCCTGAGGTCGATTTCCTTCTTGAGAGCTCCTGTTTGTGCTGCTTCTAATAAAGTTCTTGTTTGTTTGTTTGGCAGGGGGGCTGGGGTTTTTTGTTGTTTTTGTTTTTGAGACAGGGTCTCGCTTTGTCACTCAGGCTGGAGTGCAGTGGCACAATCTCAGCTCACTGCAACCTCCGCCTCCCTAGTTCAAAAGATTCTCATGCCTCAGCCTCCCAAGTAGCTGGGATTACAGATGTGAGCCACCATGCTTGGCCAAAGTTTTAAATGGGTAATAAGTCTGTAAGGACATTTCAAGGTATCTATTGTCTGATGTAACCTTCAGGACTGCATTCTTAGCGGCATTGTCAGTGAAATGATTGCCTTTGCTCTCTGGAGTATCTAATTTGGCATGACCAGGAATTTTTATATTTTTATGAGATTTCAGTTGGGGACTGCTTCCAAGAGGTTGGAGACTTGTTGGCTTTTTTTTTCTTTTTTTTTTTTTGAGACAAGGACTTGTTCTGTTGCCCAGGCCAGAGTACAGTGGCACGATTATAGGTGATCTTGGAGGCTAGCATCAGGCATTCCATTCCAGAATATTGTTAAAAGGTTTTTTTTTTAACTGTTCAAAATAATTAAGCACAAATTCATCTGGCCTTTGAGTATATTGTTGAATTATCTTCCACTCTACATTTGAGGAAAGACCCAGGAAATGGCATCACAGAGAGACTTGGCTAAAGTGTGGATCTTCTCATGGTCAGCTTCTGTTTGTTTTTCCAAATCCTCTGAGGGATTTTTCCAGATTGCCTTTTTTGCCATTCAGTGGCCCTGCCTTCTCATACCAGCATGTGAACTAATTGATAAAGGTCAGAATATCTGGGCTTATAAGTCTGGACAATTAAAGCAGATTGTTCTGCAAACCCTATGGGATCTTGGAGCAGGTCAGGGAAGTCTTTTATAATATTCTTCAGTTCAGTTTTTGTCCAAGGGGTATACATAATAGTGGTCTCACCTCTTGCTGTGGTTTTACCTGAAAAGGGGCTGCCAAAATGGGGTTTCAGGGAGGGGGTTCAAGTTCTAGGGAATTTCCTAAGGTGGTAGTGGGAGGGAAGGAAGGGCAGGACAGGGGACTTGAGATAAGAGAGGATATAAAGGTGCAGGGGTAGGATGAGGAGAAACAGCTGGAAGTGGAAGGGAGGAGGGCTTCAAAGTCTTTTTAAATTCAGAAATAGATTTAGGATCTTTTTGTTTACCTCTTGGATTGAGGCAATTTTCTCAGAATTTATCTTAAAAAAACTCTAGGTGCCATTGGAAGTAATTATCCTATTTCATGTTCTAAAACCAGCTTTTTTCTCTATTGTGCACACAAATGAATCATTTTGGGCATTTCAAAAGACCCACATTTTGGCCATTGTTGATGATCATCCTGGGCTATATGGGTCCGTTTTCCTAGATATTTACAAGAGGATGTCTCATAAGTGTTGTACATAAAACCAGATGGTGTTTCTAACAATGGTTGTCCCTTAAAAGAGCGCTCAGATTTTCAAGCTTGATTTCCCGTAACTTAGGAACTTCTTAAAAATGACCAAGGCCCAGGATGTGTTTGGGTGGAAGTGTGGTGCTTACGAGCACTGCTCCTCTAGGTGTCACCCAAAAGTCATGAGTTGCTCTCTTACGTTGTCTCAGAATGCCTCTAACCACCAGGTGGCACCAGAGTGCTAAAGGTATGAGCGATCAGTCCCGTATTTTATGCCCATGCAGATGATCGAGTCCCTAAAAAACGTTCTTGTGGTGAGGAATACCCTACGAGCGTCCTTTATATCCTAGACAACAGCCTTGACACCTCTGCAAAGTCTGCAGAGACTCTGCAAACTCTGCAAAGTCTCCAGTCACCTAGAGCACTCCAATTGGTCAAAGTGAGCAACTGCCCTTTCTCCATAGCAAGAGAACTCACTCTCATGCACTTTTCAGTTTAGAACTAATAGGAATTGGTCACAGATGAAACATCCAAGTCTGAATTTCAAACAATAGGAAGCAGCTGCAATTTTAAAAGCGTGCTATGTAAAGCAAAACCACCAATGTCAAATTGCCAATGCCTGGACCCAGACCTCCCTTCCCCAAGGCAGAGGTGAAAAAACGCTGTTCCCCCTACCCTTTTTCTTTTCTGGAACCCAAATCTCCTGCCCATTAGGCACAGATGGAAAACTCCCATTCTAGTAAGGGAGGATCGGAAAACATAGCTCAGGCAAAATCTAGACCTTCAACCAAAAAATGGGAAAGGCCCAGATCTCAGCAGGACTCATACCTTACATTCAACAATTTCTCTCAAAGTCAGAATACAAGAGGTTCCCAGAGCTGGCCAGGCGCTGAGTCTGGGAGGTAAGTCAGATAGTAGAGCCAAGGGGGTTATTCTGAATCCTTCTCATGGCACCAAAAATGCTGACCCCAAAGGAAGAAGATGAGGCACAAAATATATTCATAATTTTGAAGACTTTACTTGAGCCAACATGAGGCCAGCTGCTCAGGACACACTTCCAAGTTGCTTTGGGGAGTGCCGCATCCAGCCTTTGTTGCGAGCAGGCTTTTTAAAAAATAATTTCAACTTTTATTTTAGATTCAGGGGGTTACATGTGCATGTTTGTTACATGGCTATATTGCATGATGCTGAAGTTTGGGGTACAAATGATGCCATCAGCCAGGTAGCGACCATGGTACCCAATAGGTGGTTTTTCAGTCTTTGCCCCTTTCCTTCTCTCCCCACTCTAATAGTCCCCAATGTGTGTTGTTCCCAGCTTTATGTCCCTGTGTGCCTAATGTTTAGCTCTCACTTATAAGTGAGAACGTGCGGTATTTGGTATTCTGTTCCTGTGTTAATTCACTTAGAATAATTGTCTCCAGCTGCATCCATTCAGGCAGGTTTTTAAAGACAAAAAGTGAGCAAGGAGTGGACTGATACAAAGCTATTTGACAGGAATTCTCATTGGTTTGCAGAAATAACATTGATTAGTGATTGGCTTTATGTTGTTGAGCTACAGCAGTGGTCCCCAAAATTTTGGCACCAGGGACGAGTTTCATGGAAGACAATTTTTCCACAGACCTAGGAGGAGTAGGGGAGATGGTTTGGGGATGAAGCAAGTGCATTACATTTATTGTGCACTTTATTTCTATTATTGTTACATTGTAATATATAATGAAATACATGACTCACCATAATGTAGAATCAGTAAGAGCCCTGAGCTTGTTTTCCTGCAACTAGATGGTCCCATCTGGAGGTGATGGGAGACAGTGGCAGATCATTAGGAATTAGATTTTCGTAAGGAGCATGCAACCTAGGTCCCTCGCATGCACAGTTCACAATAGGGTTTGCACTTCTATGAGAATCTAATACTGCTGCTGATCTGACAGGAGGAGGACCTCCGGTGGTAATACTAGAAATGGGTAGCAGCAGATAAAGTTTTGCTCACTTGCCTGCCCACTGCTTACCTCCTGCTGTGCAGCCTAGTTCCTAACTGGTCTGCGTCCCAGAGGTTGAGGACCCCTGAGCTAGAGGATATGAGTTGTGGCATCCATGATTATGGTATATGGCATTTTATAGCTACGTGGCATCAGTTAGTCCAGAGCCCACAGCAAGTGGCTTCAAGAGGTAACTACTTAGCTCAAGCAGGGACTGAGATGTGACAGCTTTTTACTCCAAAGCCTTTCTGGGCTGGATATATTAAAGGGGTTTGTATTCCTCACATAAAAAGTTTCTTTTCTCTCTCAGTGCTCACACAGGGGTCAGCTTTACCCCAGTGAGATGAAATTCAAGTGCAATCCTTGACTTCTCCTATGGCAAGTCCAAGTATTCTTTCCTCAGAAGTGACAATATTACTTCAATAGAGGGCAGTGGCCCACAGCAAATTTCTCTAGCATCTGGAAAGTGAAACTATCAAGAAGGCCAACCTGATAAGGTCAGTTTGGGACCATTGAGGTATAGCCCCTTGTTTTCTATGCCCCAGCATAGAAACTTTCCTCCTTCCCAGGGAAATATGTGAACTAAACAGGAGCCACAATTCTGTCTTTTAACTTTGCTGCTGCTGATTTCAATGATATCCTATTTTTTTTTTTTTTTTCAAAATAATGGCTACCATTTGTTAAGCTTCTACAAAATGGCAATCATTGACCAACATCACATCTAAAGCACTCAACTCTGCAAGATGAGTGTCTTTCTCATTTTACAGCTGAGGAAGCTGAGGCACAAAATATATTAATAATTTTGAAGACTTTACTTGAGCCAATGTGGGGCCAGCTCAGACAAAATATTCAGCCAAGAAGTAGGAACGGCCCAGATTTCAGCAGGACTCATACCTTACATTCAACAATTTCTCTCAAAGCCAGAAGAATACAAGGGGTTCCCAGAGCTGGCCAAGTGCTGAGTGTGGGTGGTATGTCAGATGGTAGAGACAAGGGTATCTTTCAAATTTGCCTAAATTGTAGGACCACATGGAGTAATTGTTTTGCATACAAAATCCAAGTCTCCCCTGGGCAGTGGTTCTTAATCTTAGCTGCTCA
Source organism: Homo sapiens (assembly GCF_000001405.40). NCBI lineage: Eukaryota > Metazoa > Chordata > Mammalia > Primates > Hominidae > Homo > Homo sapiens. Next base: position 46,076,138 of record NC_000003.12, on the reverse strand, counting down.
TGGAATCACTTGGGGCAGGGTTGGAAGGTGACTGTTAAAAAATCTTGGTGGCCCAGGCCAGCACTATCTATCCTGTTGGCTCTTTTTCCTGGAGAACCCTGACTAACACATATGGTGCGTGCTTGGTTTTTAAGAGGCTGCTATACTCTTTTCAGAGTGGCTATGCCATGTTACATTCCCCAAACTAGATAGCAAAGTATGAGATATCTAGATTTTTCCACATCCTTGTCAGAATTTGGTATTGCCACTATTTTTACTGTTTTAACTATTATGATACATATGTGATAATATCTTATCATGGTCTTAATTTGCCTTTCCCTTGTAGCTAGTGACATTGAATATATTTTCATGTGCTCATTTGCCATTTGAAAAATCCTCTTCCATGAAATGTCTCTTCAAGTCATTTCCTATTTTTTAACTGAATTGGTTGTTTTTTGTTTGTTTGTTTTGTTTTCTTTTTAAATGTTGAATTTTGAGGATTCTATATATATTTTAGACATGAGCTATTTGTCTGATATGTGGTTGGAAAATATTTTCTCCCATTCTGGAGATGGTCTTAACAGGGCCTTTTGCAGGGCAAATGTTTTTCATTTTAATAGTTTATCTATTCTTTCTTTTATGTATTATATTTTTGGTGTTATGTCCAAGAACTCTTCACCAAGATTTAGGTCTCAAAGATTTTCTCTTATGTTTTCTTCTTAAAGTTTTATAGTTTATCCATTACATTTATATCAATGATCCAATTTGAGTTAATTTGTGTATAAGGTCAAAGGTTTAGATTGAGGTTTCTTGGTTTTGATTTTTGTTGTTTTTTTTTTTTTTTTTTTTTTGGTCTATGAGCATCTAGTTGCTCTAGCACTATTTGTTGAAAAGACTATCCTTCCCTCATTGACTTGCTTTGGCACCACTGTCAAAAACCAGTGGGCCATACTTGTGTGGGGCTACTTCTGGGTTTTTTTAACTCTCTTCCATTAATCTTTGTGTCTGTCCCTCTGCCAATATCACATATTACTATAGCTATGAAATAAGTCTTAAAATTGGGTAGAGTGATTCTTCCCATTTCATTCCTTTTCAAAGTGCTAATTATTCTTTAAATATTTGAAATAGTTTCCAGTTAAACTCTCTGGGCCTGGAAATTTTTTTCTTGGGAGATTTTAATTATGAATTCAATGTCCTTAGTAGTTACAGGGCTATTCAAATTATCTGTTTCATAGATGAGTTATAGTAGTCTGTGCTTTTTGAAGAGTGGGTTTATCTCATCTAAGTTGACAAGTTTTATGTGTGTAGAGTTGTTCACAGTACAGTTGATTCTTGAACAACATGGGTTTAAACTGGGAAGGTCCACTTAAATCCAAAATTTCGTCTACCTTTGCCACCCCTGAAACAGTAAGACCAACCCCTCCTCTTCCTCTTCCTCCTTTAGCCTACTCAGTGTGAAGACAATGAGGATGAAAGCCTTTATGATGACCTACTTCCACATAATGAATAGTAAATATATTTTTCTTCCTTATGATTTTTTTTAAAATATAAATTTAAGTGGTACAATTGCATTGTTACATGGATATATTACATAATGATGACGTCTTGGCTTCTAGTGTATCTATCACCCAAATAATGTACATTGTACCCATTAAATAATTTCTCATCCTTCACCCCCCACCACTACCTCCCGTTCTTCTGAGTCTCCAGTGTGTATTACTCCACATTCTATGTCCATGTGTATACATTATTTAGCTCCCACTTATGAAGGAGAACGTGCAGTATTTGACTTTCTGTTTCTGAGTTGTTTTACTTAAGATAATGACCTCTATCACTTGAGCCTTGGGGGTTGAGGCTGCAATGAGTCATGATTGTGCCATTGCACTCTAGCCTGGGCAACAGAAAAGAGACCCTGTCTCAAAAAAAAAAAAAAAAAAAAAAAAAAGATGGCCTTCAGTTCCATTCGTGTTGCTGCTTTATGGCTGAATAATAATTCCATTGCATATATATTGTAAATTGTGCTGTGATAAACATGCATGTGCAAGTTATCTCTGATATAACTATTTTCTTTTCCTTTGGGTAGATACCCAGTAGTGGGGTTGCTGGATTCAATGGTAGTTCTACTTTTAGTTCTTTGAGAAATCTCCATATTATTTTCCAAAGAGGTTGTACTAATTTACATTCCCACCAACAATGTATAAGAGTTCCCTTTTCTTCACATCTTCACCAGTATCTGTTGGGTTTTTTTTTTTTAATTGCCATTCTGATTGGTGTAAGATGGTATCATGTTCTGGTTTTCATCTGCATTTCTCTGATGATTTGTAATAATGAGCATTTTTTCATATGCTTTTTGGTCATTTGTATATCTTCTTTTAAAATGTCTATTCATGTCCTTTGCCCACTTTTTAATGGGGTTATTTGTATTTTGTTGTTGTTGAGTTGTTTGAATTCCTTGTAAATTCTGGATATTAGTCCCCTGTCAGATGCATAAGTCGCAAATATTTTCTCCCATTCTGCAGGCTCTCTGTCCACTCTGTTGTTTATTTCTGTTGTTTTTGTTTTTTGTTTTTTGTTTAAGAATCTCACTCTGTCTCTCAGGATGAAGTACAGTGGCATGATCTCAGCTCACTGCAACCTCCGGCTCTCAGGCTTCAAGCAATTCTCATGCCTCAGCCTCCCAAGTAGCTGGGATTACAGGTGTGTGCCACCATGCCCAGCTAATATTTTAGTAGAGATGGGATTTTGCCATGTTGGCCAAGCTGGTCTGGAACTCCAGGCCTCAAGTGATCTGCCCGCCTCAGCCTCCCAAAGTGTTGGGATTATAGATGTGAACCACTGCACCCAGCATCTGTTATTTATTTCTTTTGGTGTGCAGAAGAGTTTAACTAAGTCCCACTTGTCTATTTTTGTCTTTGTCATATGTACTTTTGAGATATTAGTCATTAATTCTTTGCCTATACCAATGTCTCGTTTTTCCTAGGTTTTCTTCTAGTATTTTTATAGTTTTGAGTCTTATATTTAAGTCTTGAATCTATCTTGAGTTGATTTTTTTATGTGGTGAGAGATATGGTTCCAATTTCATTCTTCTGCATATCGCAATTCAATTTTTCCAGCACCATTTATTGAACAGGGTATCTTTTCCCCAGTGTGTGTTTTTGTCAGCTCTGTCAAAGATCAATTGTCTCTAAATATGTGGTTTTATTTCTGGGTTCTCTATTCTGTCATACTGATCTATATGTCTACCTTTATACTAGTACCATGCTGTTTTGGTTACTATAGCCTTGTAGTATAATTTGAACTCAGATAATGTGATGCCTCCAGCTTTGTTCATTTTGCTTAGGAATACTTTAGCTATTCAGGCTCTTTTTTGGTTGCATACAAATTTTAGAATTTGTTTCTAATTCCAATAAATTATCAACATCATTTTTCTAATGATAGGAATTGCATTGAATCTGTAGATTTCTGTGGGCAGTATGGTCATTTTGACAATATTAATTCTTCTGATCCATGAACATGAGATATTTGTCCTTTTATTTGGGTCATCTATAATTTCTTTCATCAGTGTTTTGCTGCTTTTCTTGTAGAGCTCTTTCACCTCCTTGGTTAAATTTATTTCCAGGATTTTTTGTTTTGTTTTTATTTGTTTTATTTTCACTGAGACAAGGTCCCTCTCAGCCACCCAAGCTGGAGTACATTGGTACGATGTCTGCCTCCCAGACTCAAGCAATCTTCCCACCTCAGCCTCCCAAGTAACTGGGACTCTAGGTGTGCACCACCATGCCCAGCTAATTTTTTGTATTTTTTGTAGAAACAGGATTTCACCATGTTGCCCAGGCTGGTCTCGAACTGCTGGGCTCAAGCGATCTGCCCACCTCAGCCTCCCAAGATGCTGGGATTACAGGCATGAGCCACCATACCCAGCCTAAGGTGGTTTGTTGTTGTTGTTGTTTTAATTTTAGTTATTGTAAATGGGATTGCTGTCTTGATTTGGTTCTCAGCTTGATCATTATTGGTTTATAGAAATGCTACTGATTTTTGTCTGTTGATTTTGTATCCTGAAACTTTACTGAATTCATTTATTAAATCTAAAGGATTTAGTATTTTCTAGATATAAGATCATAACCTCAGCAAGCAGAAATAATTTTACTACCTCTTTTCCAATGTGGATTTTTAAAATTTGTTTCTCTTGCCTCATTCCTCTGGCTAGGACTTCCAGTATTATGTTAAATAGGAGTGGTAAATGTGGACATTCTTGACTTGTTCCAGTTCTTGGAGGGAATGCTTTCAACTTTCCACCGTTCAGTATGAGGTTGGCTATGGGTTTGTCATATATGGGGCTTTATTATTTTATGGTATGTTCCTTCTGTGCCTAGTTTGTTGAGTGTTTTTATCATGAGGTGATGCTGAATTTTATCAGATGGTTTTTCTATATCTATTGAGATGATCATATGGCTTATGTCCTTAGTTCTGTTTATGTGGTGAATCACATGTATTGATTTGCATATGTTGAATCATCCTTGTATCCTTGGAATAAAACCCAGTTGATCATCCTGTATTATCTTTTGGATATGCTCTTGGATTCTATTTGCTAGTATTTTGTTGAGGATTTTTGTATCTATGTTCACGGGGAATGTTGCTCTGTAGTTTTCTTTTCTTCTTGTATCCTTGTCTTTAGTATCAGGGTGATACTGGCTTTGTGGAATGAGTCAGGGTGAATTCCCTCCTCAATTTTTTAGAACAGTATCAGGAAGATTGGTACAGTTCTTCTCTTTACATTTGGCAGACTTCATCTGTGAATCCATCTGGTGCTGGCCTTTTTTTGAAACTTAAAAAAAAGCCACCTGGGCCTGGGATTTTTTGGAATAAAAAATCTGGCAATTTTTTTTATTATCGATGCATTCTCATTACTTGTTATTTGTATGTTCAGAATTTCTATTTCTTCCTTGTTTAATATCAGTAGGCTGTATATTTCCAGGAATTTATCCATTTCCTCTAGGTTTCTAGTTTATGACTATATAGTTGTTCATAATAGTCTCTAATGATCTTTTGTATTTCTGTGGTATCAGTTGCAATGTCTCATTTTCATTTCTGAGTATGTTTATTTGGATCTCCTCTCTTCTTTTGTACAAGAAATGCTCAAAGGAGTACTAAAGATGGAAACAAAAGGTTGGTATTCACCATCATAAAACCACATGAGAATATAAAAACTCACAGGTTTCATAAAACAATTACACAAAGGAGGAAGAGGAAGGAATCAAATGGCAACATGACAGAATACCACCAAACCACAAAGACAACAGACAAAGGAAGAAAAAGCCAAGAATTGATAAAACAACTAGATAACAATTAACAATATGACAGGAACAAAATGTCACATATCAATATTAACCTTGAATGTAAGTGGATTAAATGTTCCACTTACAAGATAAAGACTGACATAATGGATTAAAAAAACAAGATCAAACTGCATGCTGCTTACGAGGAACTCAACTTTTTGGTAGACACATATATACTGAAAGTAAAGGGGTGGAAAAAGATATTCCACACAAACAG